>NC_000016.10:29747315-30062522 GCF_000001405.40 Homo sapiens
CGAGGTGGCTCATGCCTGTAATCCCAGCACTTTGGGAGACCGAGGCGGGTGGATCACCTGAGGTCAGGAGTTTGGGAGCAGCCTGGCCAACATGGCAAAACCCCGTCTCTACTAAAAATACAAAAATTAGCCGGGCGTGGTGCCGCACGCCTATGACCCCAACTACTCAGGAGGCTGAGGCAGGAGAATCGCTTGAACCCGGTGCAGTGAGCCGAGATCGTGCCATTCCACTCCAGCCTGGGCAACAGAGCGAGACTCTGTCTCAAAATAAATAAATTAAATAAATAAATGAATGAAAAGACAGTCTCCGTCAGACTGCCCCATCCTGGTGGTTTTGAGCCCTGCTGGGAGGAGCTGGAGATGGAGAGTCCGGGGGAAACCGCCTTTGCAAAGAAAGAGATCTAACTTAACTGACTCCACCTTGCTTCTAACCTCCAAGCTGTCTTTGTTTATTCCTGGGCGTAGGCTGAACTAACTTTGGGAGAAACTTAGTTTGTAGTTTATAGTTTAAACAAAGACAGTAACAGCCCTTTCCCAAAGCAGACCTTCTTGCCTGGGGACTAGACTAACACTAGCCATAGGATTAGAAATTATGGTTTAGGAGTCATGCAGCTGGAGGCTACAAGATTCTGACCCTCCCTAAACTGCTCCTAACATCAGTGCTTGAGATATTTTGCAGACCCTGCACTTGATGGATCAGCTGGCACCACCCAGATCAATAAACTGGCTCATCTGATCTTGTGGCCCCCACCCAGAACTGACTCTGCAAGAAGACAGCTCTGACTCCTGATGATTTCATCTCTGACCAATCTGCACTCCCAGATCCCAGCACTTTGGGAGGACCAGACAGGCAGATCACAAGGTCAGGATGAGAGGTGACAGCGTGCTGGCAGCCCTCACTCACTCTGGGCGCCTCCTCGGCCTCCACGCCAACTCTCCCTGCGCTTGAGGAGCCCTTCAGCCCGCCGCTGCACTGTGGGAGCCCCTCTCTGGGCTGGCCGAGGCGGGAGCCCGCTCCCTCTGCTTGCCAGAGGTGTGGAGGGAGAGGCGCGGACGGGAACTGGGGCTGCGGGCCACGCTCGAGGGCCAGCATGAGTTCCGGGTGGGCGTGGGCTCGGTGGGCCCCGCACTCAGAGAGGCCGGCTGGCGCCATTGGCCCCAGGCAGTGAGGGGCTTAGCACCCAGACCAGCAGCTGCAGAGGGTGCGCCAGGTCCCCCAGCAGTGCCAGCCCACAGGTGCACTTGAATTCTCGCAGGCCTCAGCTGCCTCCCCACGGGGCAGGGCTTGGGACCTGCAGCCCGCCATGCCCAAGCGTCCCCCTGCCTGGGCTCCTGCACCGCCCCCTGCTCTGCGGGGCCTGGTCCCATCAACCGCCCAAGGGCTGAGGAGTGCAGGCACAGGATTGGTGGGCAGCTCCACCTGCAGCCCAGGTGCTAGGTCCACTAGGTGAAGCCAGCTGGGCTCTTGAGTCTAGTGGGCACTTGGAGAACCTTTATGTCTAGCTAAGGGATTGTAAATACACCAATCAGCACTCTGTGTCTAGCTCAAGGTTTGTAAACACACCAATCAGCACCCTGTCAAAATGGACCAATCAGCTCTCTATAAAACAGACCAGTTGGCTCTCTGTAAAATGGGCCAATCAGCAGGATGTGGGTGGGGCCAGATAAGGCAATAAAAGCAGGCTGCCAGAGCCAGCAGTGGCAACTCGGCGTACCCTTCCACATAGGAAGCTTTGTTCTTTTGATCTTTCCAATAAATCTTGCTGCTGCTTATCCTGGGTCTGCACTGCCTTTATGAGCTGTAACATCGTGAAGGTCTGCAGCTTCACGCCAGAGGCCAGCGAGACCACGAACCCACCAGAAGGAAGAAACTCGGAACACGTCCGAACATCAGAAGGAACAAACTCCGGACATGCCGCCTTTAAGAACTGAAACACTCACCGTGAGGGTCCGCAGCTTCATTCTTGAAGTCAGTGAGACCAAGAACCCGCCAATTCTGGACACAAGGAGATCGAGACCATCCTGGCTAACACGGTGAAACCCCATCTCTACTAAAAATACAAAAAATTTATTAGGCGTGTTGGCGGATGCCTGTAGTCCCAGCTAGTCCCAGCTACTCCCAGCTACTTGGGAGGCTGAGGCGGGAGAATGGCATGAACCTGGGAGGCGGAGCTTGCAGTGAGCCGAGATTGCGCCACTGCCCTCAAGCCTGGGCGACAGAGCAAGACTCCATCTCAAAAAAACAAAACAAAAACAAACAAAAAAACCCTCTGTTTCCCGAATGCTCAGGGAGACTGATTTGAGTAATAATAAAACTCCTGGCTGGACACAGTGGCTCACGCCTGTAATTTCAGCAATTTGGGAGGCCAAGGCCGGTGGATCACCTTAGGTTGGGAGTTTGAGACCAGCGTGACCAACATGGAGAAAACACTGTCTCTACTAAAAATACAAAATTAGCCAGGTGTGGTGGCAAGTGCCTGTAATCCCAGCTACTCAGGAGGCTGAGGCAGGAGAATCACTTAAACCCTGGAGGCGGAGGTTGCAGTGAGCCGAGGTGGCACCATTGTACTCCAGCCTGGGCAAAAAGAGCAAAACCGTCAAAAAAAAAAAAAAAAAAAAAAAAAAAACTCCGGTCTCCTGCACAGCTGGCTCTGTGTGAATTACTCTTTATTGCAATTTTGCTGTCTTGATGAATCGGCTATGTGTAGGCAGCGGGCAAGGTGAACCCCTTTGGCAGTTACAGGGGGAAGCTAAGGCTCAGGACACTCGCAGAAACCTGAGGAGGCTAGAATTTTACCAGATTACAAGCCTTAAAATCAAACCTGAAGTTAGTGCCAGCGAACAACACGCTTAAAAATAACTAAGATGTTCTTTCTGGCTGTTCTAGAGGTCAATATAGAAAAATGATAGTAACTTTGATGTTATTTTATGTTATGTATTTCTTTTTTTCTTTTGAGACGGAGTCTGTCTCTGTTGCCCAGGCTGGAGTGCGGTGACGCAATCTTGGCTCACTGCAACCTCCGCCTCCCGGGTTCAAGATATTCTTCTGCTTCAGCCATCCAAGTAGCTGGGATTACAGGTGTGTACCACCGTGCCTGGCAGTTATGTGTGTTTCCCTACAATCAAACAATGATTTATTGTAAAAAAAAAAAAAATCAAAATAAACAAAACCTGAAAACTTGTATGTGCTCTTTTAATCAATCTTTTTAAACAAACTTTTAGAAGAGTTAACATTATTAAAAACTGGAAAGATCAGACATGGTTTTTTCTTACTAAGATATCACTGGCTGTTTTGATTCTTTCATCACGTACAAGTTTAGGCCCTACACAATGGTTCATGCCTGTAATCCCAGCACTTTGGGAGGCCAAGACAGGTGGATCACCTAAGGTCGGGAGTTTGAGGCCAGCCTGACCAACATGGCGAAACCCCGTCTCTACTAAACATACCAAAAAAGGCCGGGTGAGGTGACTCACACCTGTAATTCCAGCACTTTGGGAGGCCAAAGCAGGCGGATCATGAGGTCAGGAGTTCGACACCAACTTGGCCAACATGGTGAAACCCTGTCTCTACTAGAAATACAAAAATTAGCCGGGTTTGGTGGCAGGTGCCTGTAGTCCCAGCTACTTGAGAGGCTGAGGCAGGAGAATCGCTTGAACCCAGGAGGTGGAGGTTGTAGTGGGCCGGGATCATGCCACTGCACTCCAGCCTGGGTGACAGGGCAAGACTCTGTCTGGGGAAAAAAAAAAAAATTAGCTGGGCGTGGTGACACATGCCTGTAATCCCAGCTACTCAGGAGGCTGAGGCAGGAGAATTGCTTGAACCCAGGAGGAAGAGGTTGCAGTAAGCTGTGATCATGCCACTGCACTCCACCCTGGACAACAGAGCGAGACTCTGTCTCAAAAAAAAAAAAAAAAAGTTTAAGGCCAGGCAAGGTGGCTCATGTTTGTAATCCCACAATTTTGGGAGACTGAAGCAGGAGGATTGCTTGAGGGCAAGAGTTTGAGACCAGCCTGGGTAACATAGCAAGACTCCCATTTCTACAAAAAATCAAAAAATTAGCCAGGCATGATGGCATGTGCTTGTAGTCTTAGTTACTTGGGAGGCTGAGAGGGGAGGATCACTTGAGCTCAGGAGTTCAAGGCTGCAGTGAGCTATGGGTGTACCACTACACTCCAGCCTGGGAAACAAAGCAAGACACTGTCTCAACAACAAAAAAAGACCAAGTATATTTAGTCATTCTATAAAATTTAAGAAGCCAGCCAAAAACATTTATGTTCAGCAATTTGTTTCAGTTATTTCTTCTTACTTGGAAATAATACACACATCTAATGAATAATAGTTAATTTAATAGAACATAATAGAAGATTTAAAATTACATGAAAAATTTATTTATAATAAATTATCCATTACATACTTTATTTTTAACAGTTTCCCTAGATTATTTATGAAAACTGAGATATTAGGCAAGGATAGTCATTATTTCAAGTTACTTCCCTGTTAATCATTTTTATAGCCTGTGACAATCAGGTATTCACCTAAGTAAGAAGCTTAAACATATGAGTAATTTCTTGATAACTCAGGAGATACAGTTTTTTTTTTTTTTTTTTTTGAGGTGGAATCTCGCTCTGTCTCCTAGGCTGGAGTGCAGTAGTGTAGTCTCGGCTCACTGCAACCTCTGCCTCCAGGTTCAAGCGATTCTCCTGCCTCAGCCCCCCGAGTAGCTGGGACTACAGGCTCCTGCCACCACACCTGGCTAATTTTTGTATTTTTAGTAGAGACGGGGTTTCACTATGTTGTCCAGGCTAGTCTTGAACTCCTGACCTCAGGTGATCCACCCACGTCGGCCTCCCAAAGTGCTGCGATTACTAAACCACCATGCCCGGCCGATATAGATGTTTTTACTAAATGAAAAATATTAAATTAGTATTACTTATCAAAAATTACACAGGCTGGGCGTGGTGGCTCAGATCTGTAATCGCAATAATCACACTTTTTCTTTTTCTTTTTTCTTTTTTTTTTGAGACGGAGTCTTGCCCTGTTGCCCAGGCTGGAGGGCAATGGCACAATCTCGGCTCACTGCAACCTCCGCCTCCCAGGTTCAAGTAATTCTCCTGCATCAGCCTCCCGAGTGGCTGGGATTACAGGCATGCACCACCACGCCCGGCTATTTTTTTTTTTTTTTTTTTTATCTTTAGACAGAGTTTCACCATGTTGGCTGGGCTGGTCTCAAACTCCTGACCTCATGATCCATCCGCCTCAGCCTCTCAAAGTGCTGATATTACAGGCGTGAGCTACTGTGCCTAGCAACACTTTTTCTTTTTCTTTTTTTTTTTTTTTTTTTTTTTTTGAGACGGAGTCTCACTCTGTCACCCAGGCTGGAGTGCAGTGGCATGATCTCAGCTCACTGCAACCTCCGCCTCCCAGGTTCAAGCAATTCTCCTGCCTCAGCCTCCCGAGTAGCTAGGATTACAGGTGTGTGCCACCATGCCTGGCTAATTTTTGTATTTTTAGTAGAGATGGGGTTTCACTATGTTGGTCTCAAACTCCTGACCTGGTGATCCACCCCCTTCAGCCTCCCAAAGTGCTGGGATTACAGGCATGAGCCACCATGCCCTGCGTCACTTTTTCTTTTAATTAATTTAAAAAAATTTGTTTTTAGACAGAGTCTCACTCTGTTGCCCAGGCTGGAGGGCAGTGGCTTGATCTCAGCTCACTGCAACCTCCACCTCCTGGGTTCAAATGATTCTCCTGCCTCAGCCTCCTGAGTAGCTGGGATTACAGGTGCGCACCACCATGCCTGGCTATTTTTTTTTTTTTTTGAGACGGAGTCTTGCTCTGTTGCCCAGGCTGGAGTGCAATGGCATGATCTCGGTTCACTACAACCTCTGCCTTCCAGGTTCAGGCGATTCTCCTGCTTCAGCCTCCCAAGTAGCTGGGATTACAGGTGCCCGTCACCATGCCCAGCTAATTTTTGTATTTTTGGTAGAGATGGGGTTTTGCCATGTTGGTCAGGCTGCTCTCCAACTCCTGACCTCAGGTGATCTGCCCGCCTCGGCCTCCCAAAGTGCTGGGATTACAGGTGTGAGCCACTGCGCCCGGCCATTTTAATTTAAATAGAGATGGGGTCTTGCTGTGTTCCCCAGGCTGGTCTCAAACTCCTGGCCTGGAGCAGACCTCCCACCTCGGTGTCCTGAAGTTCTGGGATTATAGGCATAAGCCACCATACCTAGCCTAATCTAAACACTTTGGGAGGCAGGAGGATTGCTTGAAGATAGTAGTTCAAGACCAGCCTGGGCAACACAGTGAGACTCCATCTCTACCAAAAAAAAAAAAAAATTAGCTGGGCATGGTTCCATGTGCCTGTAGTCCTAGCTACTCAAGAGGCTGAGGCAGAGGATCACTTGAGCCCAGGAGTTCGAGGTTACAGTGAGTTATATCATGCTACCTGGACAGCAGAGCAAGACCCTGTCTCTAACAACAACAAAAAATTATACAAACACAGATCATTTTGTTTAAAACTGGATTTGTAGTCTTATAACCCTTGTGTCAGACCCTGACACCTTAAAACATCTAGTAGAGATAAATATAAAACTGTCTGGCCAGTAAACCCAAGCAAAAATGTATGCTGATAATTCTGAAGACATTTCTATTTTTATTTTACCAATACTTTTTTTCTTTGTCTTTTTTTTTTTTTTTTTTTTTTTTTTAAAGAGAGTTTTCCTTGGTCACGCCAGCTGGAGTGCAGTGGCATGATCTCAGCTCACTGCAACCTCTGCGTCCTGGGTTCAAACAATTCTCCTGCCTCAGCCTCCCAAGTAGCTGGGATTACAGGCACTTGCCTCCACACCCAGCTACCTTTTTTGTATTTTTAGTAGAGACAAGGTTTCCTCATGTTGGCCAGGCTGATCTCAAACTCCTGACCTCAGGTGATCCACCCACCTCACCCTTCCAAAGTGCTGGGATTACAGGTGTGAGCCACCAAGCCTAGCCTATTTTACCAATAGTTTTAAAACCAGCTTATTTATTAAAGATTAAAGATTTACGGCAGGGCACGGTGGCTCATGCCTGTAATCCCAGCACTTTGGGAGGCCAAGGTGGGCGGATCACGAGGTCAGGAGATCGAGATCATCCTGGCTCATAGTGAAACTCCATCTCTACTAAAAAAAATACAAAAAAGTAGCCAAGTGTGGTGGCCCACGTGTGCCTGTAATCCCAGCTACTCGGGAGGCTGAGGCAGAATTGCTTGAGCCTGGGAGACGGAGGTTGCTGTGAGCTGAGATCATGCCACTGCACTTCAGCCTGGCCGACAGAGCGAGACTCTACCTCAAAAAAAAAAAAAAGAAAGAAAAAAAATTTTTTTTTCAGTTTCGGCTGATTGAGGTGGCTGGTGCCTGTAACCCCAGCACTTTGGGAGGCCGGTGTGGGAGGATTGCTTAAACCCATGAGCTCAAGACCAGACTGGGCAACAAAGTGAGACCTCATCTGTACAAAAAATGAGAAAATTACCTGGGCATAGTGGTGCATGCCTGTAGTCCCAGCTCAGGATTCAACTGGGGAGGTCGAGGCAGGAAAACTGCTTGAGCTCAGGAGGTTGAGCTGTGTTTGTGCCAGTGCACTCCAGCCTGGGCATGAGAGTGAGACTGTCTCAAAAAACTGTTTTTTATCAGTTTCAAATGAGTTTAGGGTTAAATTTTCAATTGTTTACATTTTAGCCAGGATTGGCTAAATTGTATAAGAAATACAAAATATCTAAGTGCCCTGGAACTAGTAACACGTCTATGTTTTGTTTGCTGATCTGGTTTGATTTGCAAATGTGGGCAGGAAAGAACTTTAGCAGGTGTTTTTTTTATTTTGTTTTTGTTTTTGCCTTTTGGCCTCTGTGTGACAGAAAAAGCAACATTTTTATGCTGGACAGAGATACCTTACATTATTGCTCTGAGCTCAAGGTTTCAACTTCTTTGATCTAAGAGAGTCTAACTTTTATAGACCTTTTTTTTGGTGTTTTATTTTATTTTATTTTATTTGAGACGGAGTCTTGCTCTGTTGCACAGGGTGGAGTGCAGTGGCGTGATCTTGGCTCGCTGCAAGCTCCACTTCCCAGGTTCAAGAGATTCTCCTGCTTCAGCCTCCTGAGTAATTGGGACAACAGGCACGTGCCACTGCGCCTGGCTAATTTTTTATATTTTTAGTAGAGACGGGGTTTCACCATATTGGCCAGGCTGGTCTCGAACTGTTTTTTTTTTTTTTTTTTTTTTTTTTTTTTTTTTTTTGAGACGGAGTTTCGCTCTGTCGCCCAGGCTGGAGTGCAGTGGTGCGATCTCGACTCACTGCAAGCTCCGCCTCCCGGGTTCACGCCATTCTCCTGCCTCAGCCTCCCGCGTAGCTGGGACTACAGGCGCGCACCACCATGCCCGGCTAATTTTTGTATTTTTAGTAGAGACGGGGTTTCACCGTGTTAGCCAGGATGGTCTCGATCTCCTGACCTCGTGATCCACCCATCTCGGCCTCCCAAAGTGCTGGGATTACAGGTGTGAGCCACCGTGCCCGGCCCCGGTCTCGAACTCTTGACCTCGTGATCCGCCCGCCTCAGCCTCCCAAAGTGCTGGGATTACAGGCGTGAGGCACCGCGCCTGGCCTTATAAACATTTGTCTAGTTATTTTTCTTTCTTCCTTTCTCGCTTTCTTTCTTCTTTTTTTTTTTTTTTTTTTTTTTTTTTTTTTTGAGATGGAGTCTTGCTCTGTCACCCAGGCCAGGGTGCGTTGGCGTGATCTTGGCTCACTGCAACCTCCACCTCCTGGGTTCAAGCAATTCTCTCATCTCTGCCTCCTGAGTAGCTGGGACTATAGACATGCACCACCACACCTGGCTAATTTTTGTATTTTTAGTAGTGACGGGGTTTCGCCATGTTGGGCAGGCTGGTCTCCAACTCCTGACCTCAAGTGATCCGCCTGCCTTGGCCTCACAAAGTGCTGGCATTACAGGCGTGAGCCACCACACCTAGCCTTTTTCTTTAGATTATTACTTTTTCAATTAAGTGTTTCATCACTCTAAGCAATTGTTAGGCAAACCTAATTTTATGTTTTTAAAACATGGCTAGCTGTCACGCCCGTAATCCCAGCACTTTGGGAGGTCAAGGTGGGCAGATCATGAGGTCAGGAGATCGAGACCATCCTGGCCAACATGGTGAAACCCCATCTCTACTAAAACTACAAAAATTATCTGGGTGTGGTGGCAGGTGCCTGTAATCCCAGCTACTCGAGAAGCTGAGATATGAGAATCGCTTGAACCAGGGAGGCGGAGGTTGCAGTGAGCCGAGATCACACCACTGCACTACAGCCTGGTGGCAGAGCGAGACTCTCTTTCAAAAAAAAAAAAAAAAAGAAAAAAAAAAGAAAAGGACTAACTGGTCTGAATATTGTGCACCTGTTAGTACTAGCTACTCCAGAGTCTGAGGCAGCAGGATTGCTGTAGCCCAGGAGTTTGAGGTCACAGTGAGCTACAATCATGCCACTGTACTCCAGCCTGTGCAACATAGCAAGATACTGTCTTTAAAAAAAAAGTTGTCTAGGTTGTTGGTTACCATGGAGTTGTAATTTGAAAGCCCTTTAAGACTTTTGTTTAATCTTGACTTGAATGCCATAAGCAGTAAGTGTTATCTCAACACCAGGGGAAAAGTTAGCAGATTCAAAGCAGGCAGAAAAAAAAAAAGGAGAGAAAGAGAACTTAGAAGTCTCTCCATGCTAACTCTATAGTTGTAGGTTTTATGAATAATGACCATTTGAGCTCTGAATTTTCCTTGATGTAATTTTGCTCATCAGTTTTAAAATGTGCACAAGAATGAGCCATAATATGTAGCTGGTGGAGTCCTAGAAATCCTTGCATTGGCCAGGTGTGGTGGCTTAAGCCTGTAATCCCAGCACTTTGGGAATCCGAGGCGGGTGGATCACCTGAGGTCAGGAGTTCGAGAGTAGCCTGGACAACGTGGCGAAGCCCTGTCTTTACTAAAAATACAAAATTAGCCGGGTGTGGTGGTGCATGCCTGTTATCCCAGCTACTCTGAAGGCTGAGGCAGGAGAATCACTTGAACCTGGGAGGCGGAGGTTGCGGTGAGCCAAGGTGGCACTATTACACTCCAGCCTGGGCAACAAGAGTGAAACTCTGTCTCAAAAAAAAAACCAAAACAACAACAACAACAACAAAAACCAGAAATCCTGGTACGCCTTCATGTTTGAGAATCCCATTCCATTTCTTTATCTTGTTTTTTTTTTTTGAGACAGTGTCTTGCTCTGTCGCCCAGGCTGGAGTGCAGTGGTGCGATCTCGGCCCACTGCAACCTCTGCCTCCAGGATTCAAGTGATTCTTCTACCTCAGCATCACGAGTAGTTGGGATTACAGGTGCCTGCCACCATGCCCAGCTAAATTATTTTTTTTGTTTTGGTATTTTTTAGTAGAGATGGGGTTTCACCATGTTGGCCAGGCTGGTCTCGAGCTCCTGGCCTCATATGATCCACCTGCCTCGGCCTCCCAAAGGGCTGGGATCACAAGTGTGAGCCACCACACCATCCCCATTCCATTTCTTATTCATCACTTGAGAGCAAAGACCACCCTATACATGCTGTAATTTATGGGATATTAGGAGTTTAGTCTGGTGTTTTAGACAGCAGGAACCACCCTAGTGGCTTATGTTAGCCATCCTCCACCCACTGGTTGGAATGTTTATTTTTGCTCTTGGGAGATTTTTAGAAATAAGCAAGAGAAAAGAGTCAAACCAAATCCAAAGAAACCAAGATAAGAGTGTTCACAAAAATTTTAATCCAAACTGGCCATGCAGACCAAAGGTTGCAGTGAGCCGAGATTGCATCATTGCACTCCAGCCTGGGCAAAAACAGTAAAACTCCGTTAAAAAAAAAAAAAAAGAGGGAGGCTCAGCCTGAGAGAAGACTCAGCAGGGCAGAACAGGCCTGTTGTGGAAGCAGAGAGCTCACAGCCTTCAGTGAGTGCTGCATGCCAGTTCTAAGAATCATCGATTCTTGGGAGGCTGAGGCAGGCAGATCACCTGAGGTTAGGAGTTTGAGACCAGCCTGGCCAATGTGGTGAAACCCTGTCTCTACTAAAAACGCAAAAATTAGCTGGACATGGTGGCGGGCGCCTGTAATGCCAGCTACTCAGGAGGCTGAGGTAGGAGAATTGCTTGATCCTGGGAGACGGAGGTGGCAGAGAGCTGAGATCGTACCACTGCACTCCAGCCTGGGTGACAGAGCGAGACTCCATCTCAAAAAAAAAAAAAAAAATCATCAATTCCTTCTAATAGTGATTTTTTCAGGTACCATTTCTATATATAGATATACCATGTATATCTACCTAATAACAGAGGGTCTTTAAAAGAAAATGATGTTTATTTGGGAATAGTGCAATGGGAATACATATGCTATAGCAAACAATGTGTGTATTCAGGGAGGTAAAGGAACAAAGATCAACAACAATGCCAGGCACAGTGGCTCACGCCTGTAATCCCAGCACTTTGGGCGGCTGTGGTGGGAGGATCACTTGAGGCCAGGAGTTTGAGACCAGCCTGGGCAACATAGTGAGACCCCATCTTTAAAAAAAAAAATTTTTTTTTTAAATTACCTGAGTGTGGTGGTGTGCACCTATGGTCCCAGCTACTCAGGAGGCTGAACTAGGAGGATCCCTTCAGCCCAGGAGTTTGAGGCTACAGTGAGCTATAATCATGCCATTGTACTCCAGCCTGGGTGACAACATGAGACCCCAAAAGGAGAAAGAGAGTGAGAGAGGAAGGAAGGAAGGAAGGAAGGAAGGAAGGAAGGAAGGAAGGAAGGAAGGAAGGAAGAAAAGAAAGAAAGAAAGAAAGAAAGAAAGAAAGAAAGGCAGAGAAAGAATATTAGCTGGGCATGGTGGCATGTACCTGTAGTCCCACCTACTCAGGAGGCTGAAATGGGAGGATTGCTTGAGCCCAGGAGTTGAAGACCAGCCTGGACAACATAGCAAGACCCTATCTCTACAATATATACATATTTTTTTTTTTCCTGAGATGGAGTCTTGCTTGCCCAGGCTGGAGTGCAGTGGCATGATCTCGGCTCACTGCAACCTCTGCCTCCCGGGTTTAAGCAATTCTCCTGCCTCAGTCTCCTGAGTAGCTGGGATTACAGGTGTGAGCCACCACGCCCAGCTAATTTTTGTATTTTTAGTAGAGACCGGGTTTCACCATGTTGGCCAGGCTGGTCTCGAACTCCTGACCTCATGATCCCCCTGCCTTGGCCTCCCAAAATGCTGGGATTACAGGCGTGAGCCACCTCACCTGGCCTTTTTTTTTGAGATGGAGTCTCCCTCTGTCCCCAGGCTGGAGTACAGTGGTGCGATCTCAGCTCACTGCAACCTCTGCCTCCTGGGTTCAAGTGATTCTCCTGCCTCAGCCTCCCAAATAGCTGGGATTATAGGCCCCCCCACGACGCCCAGCTAATTTTTGTATTTTTAGTAGAGACGGGGTTTCACCATGTTGTCCAGGATGGTCCTGATGTCTTGACCTCATGATCCACCTGCCTTGGCCTCCCAAAGTGTGAGATTACAAGAGTGAGCCACTGCGCCCAGCCAAAATATTGTTTTAAATTAGCCAGATGTGGTGGCACACACCTATATTCCCAGCTACTTTGGAGGCTGAGGTGGGAGGATCACTTGAGCCTAGGAGTTTGAGGCTGCAGGGAGCTATGATCGCACCAGCGTACTCCAGCCTGGGCAACAGAGAAAGACCCTGTCTCAAAAAAAAAACCAAAATAGTTATGCTCCTTGGAGTTGTGTCCTTGGCACTCTTGGTTCCTGAGTCTATATGGCGGGTTTTTGTTTGTTTGTTTGTTTTTGAGATGGAGTCTCACTCTGTTGCTGAGGCTGGAGTGCAGTGGCTCCGTGTCGGCTCACTGAAACCTCCGTCTCCCGGGTTCAAGCAATTCTCCTGCCTCAGCCTCCCGAGTAGCTGGGATTACAGGCGCCTACCACCACACCCGATTAGTTTTTATATTTTTAGTAGAGATGGGGTTTCACCATGTTAGCCAGGCTGGTCTTGAACTCCTGACCTCAGGTGATCCACCCAACTCAGCCCCCCAAAGTGCTGGGATTACAGGCGTGAGCCACCGCGCCTGGCCTACGTGGTGGTTTTAAAACATGTTTGCAAAATTTTTAACATTCCTCCTATTGAAAATAGTAAGTCTAATTCCCCTCCTCTTGAATATTGGCTGGCCTTAGTGACTGAATCCTCACAAGTAGAATGCATCAGGAGTGTCACACTATGACTTCCAAGGCTAGGTTGAAAATATAAAAGGGGTAAAGCTCTCTTTCCTCTGTCGCTCTATTTCTTTCTCTTTCTCTCTATCCCCACCCTTTTCCCTCTCCTCCCTCTACTCACCTTTGGAACCCAGCCGCTATCGAGCCCAACACACACGCAGGTGCCCTGGTTAAAGTCCTAGCTAGGGTCCCAAGTGACAGCCAGCATCAACTATAACATGTAAAGGAGCCAGTCTTCAGATGATTCCAGCCTCAGCCTTCAGGCCACTCAGCTGGTGCCAAATAGAGTAGGGATGAGCTGTCCCCACAGAGACCTGCCCAGTGCACATTGTGAGAAAGGTAAGTATTGCTCTCTGAGGCCATTAAGTTTGGGGGTGGTTTATGGCATAAAAATTGGTAATTGGAGCACTCGACTTCAAGGGTTCTCACCAGGTGTGTGAGGGTGAGGGTGGCCCTGCGGAGTGAGTGGCCTGTGGGGGCTGGTCATATTTCATCCCTAGGCTCTCCCGACCTGGCTCTGCCAGATTCTTACACGGATGAGGGCCTGGACTGGGGAGGAGGAGGGGGAGTGCAGCAGCAGCAAGGGCATGGAATTGGCTGAGAAATTCCACAGGAGGCCAGGTGCAGTGGCTTACACCTGTAATTCTAGCACTTTGGGAGGCCGAGGCAGGTGGATCTGAGGTCAGGAGTTTGAGACCAGCCTGGCCAACATGGCCAAACCCCGTTTCTACTAAAAATACAAAAATAATTAGGCATGGTGGTGGGTGCCTATAATCCCAGCTACTCGGGAGGCTGAGGCAGGAGAACTGCTTGAACCCGGGGGGCGGAGATTGCAGTAAACCAAGATTGCACCACTGAACTCCAGCCTGGGTGAAAGAGAAACTCTGTCTCATAAAAAAAAAAAAAAAAAAAGAGGCCGGGCGTGGTGGCTCATGTCTGTAATCCCAGCACTTTGGGAGGCCAAGTCGGGTAGATCACTTGAGGTCAGGAGTTCAAGACCAGGCTGGCCAACATGGTGAAACCCCCGTCTCTAATAAAAATACAAAAATTACCCGGATGTGGTGGTGCTGGCCTGTAATCCCAGCTGCTCTGTAGACTGAGGCAGGAGAAGCGCTTGAACCCGGGAGGCGGAGGTTGCAGTGAGCCGAGATAGCGCCACCGCACTCCAGGCCAGCGGACAGAGCCAGACTCTGTCTCAAAAATTAAAAAAAAAAAAACAAAAAGAAACTAGGAAACTGGCAGGAGCTGTCTCCAGGTCCCAAAAGGATAAAGTGAAAAACCCGGCAGGCCAGCAGATGGCCAAAAAAGCCATCCCTAGCTGCCCTCATTGCTCATTAGGGTAAGACACTCTCATCAGCGCCATGACAGTTTACAAATGCCATGGCAATGACCCAGAGACTATTGCCGTTTCCATACAATGACCCAGAAATTACCACCCCTTTCCTAGAAAGTTCTGAATAACTTGCCTCTTGATTTGCATTAACCCACCCCTTAATTTGCATGTGATTGAGAGTGGATATAAATACAGTTGCCACCAACCCACAAGCCTGGTTCTGGCACCCTGCCTATGAGTTAGCCTTGCTCAGCAAGGAGCAGCTCCAGTTCGATAAAAGATTGCTGAAGATTGGCCAGGCGCAGTGTCTCACGCCTGTAATCCCAGCACTTTGGGAGGCCGAGGCGGGCGAATCACAAGGTCAGGGGATCAAGACCATCCTGGCTAACATGGTGAAACTCCATCTCTACTAAAAATACAAAAAAAATTAGCCAGGCAGGGTGGCCGGCGCCTGTAGTCCCAGCTACTCGGGAGGCTGAGGCAGGAGAATGGCGTGAACCCGGGAGGCAGAGCTTGCAGTGAGCCGAGATTGCACCACTGCACTCCAGCCTGGGTGACAGAGCGAGACTCCATCTCAAAAAAAAAAAAAAAAAAAACAGATTGCTGAAGATTTCACCCCTGAATTCTTTTCTGGGCAAAGCCAAGGACCCTCTTGGGCTAAGCCCCGGTTTTAGGGCTTGCTTGCCTGCCCCTGTATTTATTCCAGAAAGTTCTGTTGGACATTGTTGATGGGTAGGACCTTGGGCACTATCCAGAGTGTGGTCTTAGAATCAGCATCATCAAGGCCAGGCGCACTGGCTCGCCTGTAATCACAACACTTTGGGAGGCCGGGTGGATTACCTGAGGTCAGAAGTTCGAGACCAGCCTGGCCAATATGATAAAACCCCGTCTTTATTAAAAATACAAAAAAATTAGCCGGACGTGGTAGCGGGCACCTGTAATCCCAGCCATTTGGGAGGCTAAGGCAGGAGAATCGCTTGAACGTGGGAAACAGAGGTTGCAGTGAGCTGAGATGGCACCATTGCATTCTGGCCTGGGCGGCAAGAGCGAAACTCTGTGTCACACACACGTACACGAAAAAAGGAATCAGCAGCATCAGGATCTCCTACCCCCTGCCCCTGGCAATTACCCATCTGCTTTCTGTCCCTGTGGCTGTATCTATTCTAGACGTTTCACATGAGTGGAATCCTGCCCTGTCATCCTTTGTGCCTGGCTGGGTTCCGGTGGCCTGATGCTTCATGGTTCACCCATGCGACTGCACGGCTCCTTGTCCATGGCATGGATAGACTGCATTTTGTTTATTCATTAGTTGATGGATATGTGGGTTGTTTCCACTTTTTCGCTGTTACAAGTAATCCTGCTATGAAAATTGATGTCCCAGTTTTTGTGTGGACATATATTTTCAGTTTATCTTGGGTATATACCCAGGAGTAGAATGCTGGGTCATATGGTAAATCTATGTTTAACTTTTTGAGGAACTGTGGGTGGCCCAATTTACAACTGCTAAGTTCATCCACTTCTTACTTTCTCCACGGAACTCACACTTACAGCAGTGATAGCTTTCACACCTCCCTCGTCCGCACTGTTAAACACTACCACAAATCAGGCTACTGGGAAAAGCCTGGAGGCCACCAGCCTCCTGCAAGAAAAGCACCAGCAGGCTGGGCACAGTGGCTCACTCAGTGGCTCATCCCAGCACTTTGGGAGGCGGAGGCACGCGGATCACCTGAGGTCAGGGGTTTGACATCAGCCTGGCCAACATGGCAAAACCCTGTCTCTACTAAAAATACAAAAATTAGCCGGGCGGGTGGTGGGCACCTGTAATCCCAGCTACTCAGGAGGCTGAGGCAGGAGAATCGCTTGAACCTGGGAGATGGAGGTTGCAGTGAGCCAAGATCACGTCACTGCACTCCAGCCTGGGTGACAGAGCAAGACTCCCTCTCTCTAAAAAAAAAAGGAAAAAGGAAAAGCACCAACACAGGTGACGCAGGTCCTCTAGGAGACCGTGTCTGGTTCTCTTCCTGCCACACGCATGCCACTCATGCCGCTGAAGCCAAAACACCTCCTCCTATGTGACCAGAATTCTGGGTCATTTTATGATTTCTTTCTTTTTTTAAATTAAAATAAAAAAATTTTTTTAGACACACGATCTCCCTATGTTGCCCAGGCTGGTCTCAAACTCCTGGGCTCAAGCAATCATCCTGCCTCAGCCTCCCAAAGTGCTGGGATTACAGGCTTAAGCCACCAAACTAGACCTTTTTTTGTTTTTATTTTTTAGGGACAAGGTCTTGCCCTGCTACCCAAACCAGAGTGCAGTGGTACGATCTCGGCTCACTGCAGCCAAAACCTCCTAGGCTTAAGTGATCCTTCCACCTCAGCCTCCCAAAGTGCTGGGATTACAGGCGTGAGCCACCACAGTAGACCTCCTTTTTGTTTTATTTTTTAGGGACAAGGTCTTGCTCTGTCACCCAGGCCAGAGTGCAGTGGCATGATCTCAACTCACTGCAGCCTCAACCTCCTAGGCTCAAGTGATCCTCCCACCTCAGCCTCCCAAAGTGCTGGGATTACAGATGTGAGCCACCATGCTTGGCCCCATGAGACATTTAAATCTTCAAGAAGAGGGTCCAGGGCTTCCTGTTGTTCTTCCCATCACCCTCGCCCCTCTGCAGGGGGTCCTAACGCAGCTAACAGTTCCAGCCTTCTTCAGGGGCTTCTTGCTGTCAGCACGGAATAAAGTCAGAGCTGAGCTCAGGAGAGTTCCGTCACTCGCCAAGACTGGCCAGGTCTCTTCTGTCCTTGGCTGTCAAGATTCCAAACTTGAGAAGTGAGAAAAACAATGGGAATGAGTTAGAAAGTTCCCAAGTGCCACCTTTCTGAAGGAATTCCAGGGTGGAACAAGCTGGGTTTTGCAGCCAGTTAGCCCTAAGATTAAATCTGAGCTTCTCTGTTTAATAGCTGTGAGAGTCTTAGCAACTACTTAATTTGGGTGGGTCTGAATTTCTATTTTTCACTAATTCCCAGCGTGAATGGCTGTCAGGGGGGTAATAGTTTATTTATTTATTTTTATTTAATTTAATTAATTAATTTATTTTTGAGACAGTCTCCCTTTGTTGCCCAGGCTGGAGTGCAGTAGTGCAATCTCAGCTCACTACAACCTCCGCCTCCTTGGTTCAAGCGATTCTCCTACCTCAGCCTCCCAAGTAGCTGGAATAACAGGTGTGTGCTACCACGCCCGGCTAACTTTTGTATTTTTAGTAGAGATGGGGTTTCACCATGTTGGCCAGGCTGGTCTCAAACTCCTGACCTCAAGTGATCCGCCTGCCTTGGCCTCCTAAAGTGCTGGGATTACAGGCGTGAGTCATTGCACCCGGCCTGGATAATACTAGTTTAGATAAACCACTTCATAAAGTGGGTATGCAATGCTTTGTTTCCTCTCACCTTGACCCAGCATTGCTTGTCATCTCTGAAAGACCACAAAGAGACCTGCCCCTCCACTTCAGGGACCCACTTGAAACCTGGTCACCATCCAGGCTTGCTCTGCCTTGGCCATCAGGTTCCCTGGGCACCAAGCCTCTCTTTTCTCCCGCTGCACCTGCCAGCCCGTCTGACAGCACTGGATCCTGCACCCTGGAGTCCGTTTGGACTCACCTGCCCTGACCTTACTTGGCTTCCTCTGTGATGTTGACTTTATCGACCGCTTTTGCCAGCCTGGTCTGTCGGCCACACCCTACCCATAAATCTTCTACCTTGGATCTATACAACTGCCTCCCTTTTGTCCTGTCCCCAGGGTAGTGAGCCCTCCAGGGCCTGCAGCCCCAGCTGTCCTGATCCTTTTCTCCTGAAGCAAAGGAAGATGTGTTCATAGTGTACCCACTGCTGATCTTTCTCCTCTGTCCAAACATCTCCAGTCCTGTGCTACTGCCCTGGACATAATCGTTTATTTTGTTTTTTTGTTCTTTTTTTTTTTTTTGACACAGAGTCTCACTCGGTAGCTCAGGCTAGAGTGCAGTGGCATGATCTTGGCTCACTGCAACCTCCACTTCCCGGATTCATGTGATTCTCTTGCCTCAGCCTCCCGAGTAGCTGGAATTACAGGCACGCACCACCTCACCTGGCTAATTTTTGTATTTTTAGTACAGACGGAGTTTCACCATGTTGGCCAGGCTGGTCTCAAACTCCTGACCTTTGGTGATCCACCCACCTTGGCCTCCCAAAGTGCTGGGATTACAGGCATGAGCCACCGTGCCCGGCCTGCCCCGGCCATATTAGATTCTGAGTCTTCTATGTCCCTGACAATTGGCTAAGCACATTTTAATATGTCTTGTATTTTTTTTTTTTTTTGAGCAGAGTCTTGCTCTATTGTCCAGGCTGGAGTGAGTGGTACAGTAGCGGCTCATAGCAACCTCTGCCTCCCGGGTTCAAGCGATTCTCCCTGCCTCAGCCTCCCGAGTAGCTGGGATTACAGGCTCCCGCCACCATGCCCGACTAATTTTTGTATTTTTAGTAGATGCAGGGTTTCACTATGTTGGTCAGGCTAGTCTTGAACTCCTGACCTCAGGTGATTCGCCCGCCTCGGCCTCCCAAAGTGCTGGGATTACAAGTGTGAGCCACCACGCCTGGCCCTAACCTGATGTTTTTATCAGCATCTGTAAGATAAGACTTCAGGAACTGGTAGATTCTGCAGGAGTAACATGGGGTGCCCATAGAGAAGGGGCCCTCTTATGACCACAGCATTTACCATAACCTGTGTAATGGGCATATTCAGTGGGTGAATATTCCTGTCACCACAAACCCAGTTGCACATGACTTGTATACAAAGCATATCAGCTGCTTCACCAGGGGTGCTCCAATTGGCGTTTATAGGGGAAGTTGGGCAGTTCCCTTCTGAGGGTAAACATATGTTTGTTTTTTTTGTTTGTTTTTTTTTTTTTGGAGACAGGGTCTCACATTGTCACCCAAGCTGGAGTACAGTGGTGCGATCACAGCTCACTGCAGCCTCAACTTCCCAGGCTCAAGCGATCTTCCCACCTCAGCCTCCTAAGTAGCTGGGACTACAGGGGCTCACCACCATGCTCAGCTAATTTTTTTATTTCTTGTTGAGATGGGATTTCATCATGTTGCCCAGGCTGGTCTTGAACTCCTAAGCTCAAGTGATCCACCCACCTCAGCCTCCTAAAATGCTAGGATTACAAGCGTGAGCCACTGTACCTGGCCAACACACTTAGCAGTGGCTTTTATCCACTCCACCAGGCTATGAGCATGCTGGCCCTTCATGAATATTCATAGGTCCTCTTATAACCTGTTGAATACGTACACCTTGTCAACCCATTCAGCATAAATTCCTGTCTCATCTTTCTCTCCCTCAAAATGATCTATGCCAGAGGCTACACTTCCCAGCTTGTCAAGATGGCCACCCTACCACCGCAACCCCTGATAGGAAATAATGTCTCCTCTCCAAATTTGTAGATATCTGTGTTTGTTTGTTTGTTTGTTTTTCCTGAGATGGAGTCTCAACTCTGTCCCCCAGACTAGAGTGCAGTGGCAAAATCTTGGCTCACTGCAACCTCCGCCTCCCAGGTGCAAGCCATTCTCCTGCCTCAGCCTCCCGAGTAGCTGGGACTACAGGCATGCGCCACCATGCGCAGCTAATTTTTGTATTTTTGGTAGAGACAGGGTTTCACCATGTTGGCAGGCTGGTCTCAAATTCCTGACCTCAAGTGATCTGCCTGCCTTGGCCTCCTGAAGTGCTGGGATTACAGGCATGAGCCACCATGCCTGGCCAGATCTCCAGATTTTAAGTTGATGCCTTAGAATATCACATTGTCGTATGTTCTAGACAGTGATCACTCTTCTGAGGAGGAAAACTAATAAAGGGAACAAAGGGCAAATAAATTAAACAAAGGTCAAAACCAAAGCATTGCAGTTGCAAAGCAATTCAGTAGGAGATGTGGAAATTGTGAAGCAGAAACTCCAAAGTTAAACAAAGTTACCATGTAAATTACACCACAATAAAAACAAACGAACAAACAAAAAACAGAAAGTTAAAACCAGGAGCTTCAGTTGTCCAAATCAATGGACATAAAATTCTTCTTCCAGTCTTATGATGCATTTGACAAGATCTCCAGTATCTACTCAAGTTAACCCATGAAATATAGCTAATGGTAGATGAGTAAGATAAAGGCTGTCCAGATCTTTATCTGAAAGAGGCCGAAAAGAAAGACCAGAGTATTTCGTGAAAATCTGAAGGGAGAATAAAAATTTCACTTACTACCTACCACGTGCCAGGCCTGTACCAGGGGGTTGAAAAAAATTGGTGGGTCTTATTATCTCCAATTTACAGATGAAAAAACTGAAGCTCCAGGCCGGGCACAGTGGCTCATGCCCTTAATCCCAGCACTTTGGGAGGCCGAGGCAGGTGGTTCACCAGATTAGGAGTTGGAGACCAGCCTGGCCAATATGGTGAAACCTCGTCTCTACTAAAAATACAAAAATTAGCCAGATGTGGTGGCACTTGCCTGTAGTCCCAGCTACTCGGGAGGCTGAGGCAGAAGAATAGCTTGAACCAGGGAGGCGGGGGTTGCAGTAAGCCGAGATCACGCCACTGCCCTCCAGCCTGGGCAACAGAGTGAGACTCCATCTCAAAAAAAAAACAAAAAACAAAAAAAAAACTGAAGCTCAGTGGGTTACATGGTAGGTAAGGGCTGGAGCCAGGTGTTAAACCCATGTATCTGTTAAAATTAAAACTTAAGACAAATTAAATTTAAGAGAGTTTAATTGAGCAAAGAACAATTCACAAATCAGGCAGCTCCCTGAACCAGCATAGGTTCAGAGAAACTCTGGGGCTGCCATATGGTTGGATAATAATTATAGACGGAAAAAGGAAAGTGACATACAGAAAATGGAGATGAGGTACAGAAATAGCCAGATTGGTTAAGGTGTGGCACTTGCCTTATTTGAACATGGTTTGAACAGTTGGCCACTTGTGATGGGCCAAAACTCTGTGGTTGGTATAAGAGAAGGTTATAGTCTATTTACATGTCCAGTTAGGCCACTAGGTGAGGAGAAACCTTTAGGCCTAAATTAAAATATGTAAGGAGGCAGCTTTAGGCTAAACTTAATTTAACAATTCTCTTGGCCATGCGCGGTGGCTCATGCCTGTAATCTCAGCACTTTGGAGGGCCAAGGCAGGCGGATCACCTGAGGTTAGGAGTTCGAGACCAGCCTGGCCAACATAGTGAAACCCCATCTGTACTAAAAATACAAAATTTAGCTGGGTATTGTGGCAGGCGCCTATAATCCCAGCTACTTGGGAGGCTGAGGCACGAGAATGGATTGAACCCAGGAGGTGGAGGTTGCAGTGAGCCAAGATTGTGCCGCTGCACTCCATCCTGGGCGATAGAGCTAAGCTCAGTCTCAAAAACACAAACGAAAACAAAGAAAACCAATTATCTCTTTTTGGCCAACTTTCAATTTTGAGAGATTGATAAAAAGCTTTAGGCATTGATGTCACTCTGTCACCACCGTGAATGGACTTTTTTGGTCTAAAATCCCACTAGGAAACATAGCAGTGGGTTTTGTAAGGTGGGAATAAGGAAATAGAGCAATAAGGAAAAACCTCGTTATTCCAGGTTACTTTTTTGGGATGGGTTGGAGCAGAGGGGAGCTTCTTATTATGCTGGAATTTGTTTTCAGGAGGAAAAACCTGGTCTGTTTTGGGATCTCTCTGCTTTCTTTGAAGTTTGAGTTTGATTATGTAGCATTTAGCATGGGTGACTCCATTTTGGTTTGGTCTTTTGGGGTCTAGTTCAGGAGCTCAGGCCAGAAAAACAGCCTCCCATAACTTTACTTAACATCTCTTTATAACATTCTGTCCACAAATGCTTGGTACGTGGCTATAGGTTTCTGGCTTAAAAAATGATTAACAATGTACCCTTACCTACCCTGAATCTGAGCCCCTGCAGCCTCTCTCATACTACTGTGGCCACCCAAGCTGCCCTGAGGTTTCCCAACCAAGGTGGCTCACATCCGTATTCCCAGCACTTGGGAGGCTGACGTGGGAGGATCACTTGAGCCCAGGAGTTCAAGACCAGCCTGAGCAACACAGTGAGACTTCATCTCTACAAAAAGTAAAAATGCAAAAATTTGCTGGGGGGTGGTCCCAGATTCTTGGGAGGCTGAGGTGGAAGGATCAATAGAGCCCAGGAGGTTGAGGCTACAGTGAGCTGTAATAGTGGCACTGCACTCCAGCCTGAGGTACAGAGTGAGACCCTGTCTCAAAAAAGAAAAAAATAAATAAAAGTGAATAAGAAAGCAAAGAAAACCCAATACAAACCCTGCAAGAAGAGAGACAGAGAGGTGAGGAAAGACAAAGGAGGAACGGTTCATAGAAGTCTCGTTGTAGCCTGGGCCCAAGGTGCTGTATTCATTGGATAACCATCCACGGATGCTTACTCTGTACCAGGTGTGATGCCAGATGCTGGGAATTTGGAGATGACTGAGTCATGGCCCCTGCCTGAGAATGAGCTCTCAGTTTAGTGGAGAAGGCTTACATGTAAACATATAAATTATAGTGCAGGGTAATTAGAACCATAATAGAGTAATGTAGGAAACACACAGAAGCCAAAGAAAGGAATGATGAATTCTATTTGAAGAGGAGGAGCTGGGAGGAGAAGAGAGCTGAGGCCTTCCTGTGAGAAGGGTGGGTGGTGGTGCAGGCTGGTGGTGGTCCCCTCTGAATAACCTGGAGGTTGCCAGGTGGGCAGAAGGAGGAGAGCATTTTAGGCAGCTGGAGTGTGCATGGGCAGAGTTGAAGATTAGCAATTGCAGGTCACTGTGGGCGGAGAGCAGGACTCCCCTTGGCAACCTGGTGAAGTCACTTCTGCCCATTACTTTATTCATTGGAACAACTAAGAGTGAACAGAAAAGCAGCGCTCATGCCGTCAGACCCTTCTTCCAAATGAAAACGTGCACCAAGGCCCAGTGTATAAATAGGAAGCAGATAATGTTTTTTTCTTAACAGGAAACAGATCTCCCACTGTTTGGAAATATATTTTGAAACTTTTTTTTTTTTTTTTTGAGACGGAGTTTCACTCTTGTCACCCAGGCTGGAGTACGATGGCGCGATCTTAGCTCACTGCAAACTCCACCTCCTGGGTTCAAGCGATTCTCCTGCCTCAGCCTCCCAAGTAGCTGGGATTATAGGTGCCTGCCACCATGTCTGGCTAATTTTTGTATTTTTAGTAGAGACAGGGTTTCACCATGTTTGCCAGGCTGGTCTCAAACTCTTGACCTCAGGTGATCTGCCAGCCTCAGCTTCCCAAAGTGCTGGGATTACAAGCGTGAGCCACCGCAACTGGCCAAAACATTTTTATTATTTTATTTTATTTATTTATTTATTTGAGACACGGTCTTACTCTGTTGCCCAGGCTGGAGTGCAATGGCATGATCATAACTCTCTACAGCCTCAAACTCCTGGGCTCAAGCAATCCTCCGACCTCAGTCCTCCAAGTACTGAGACTGCAGGTGTGTACCACTATGCCCAGCTAATTTTTTTTTTTTTTTGAGATGGAGTCTCGCTCTGTGGCCCAGGCTGGAGTGCAATGGTGCGATCTCTGCTCACTGCAGCCTCTGCCTCCCGGGTTCAAGCCATTCTTCTGCCTCATCCTCCCAAGCAGCTGCAGCAGATTACAGGCATCCACCACCATGCCCGGATAATTTTTGTATTTTTAGTAGAGACAAGGTTTCACCATGTTGGTCACGCTGGTCTCGAACTTCTGACCTCAAAGATCTGCCTGCCTTGCCCTCCCAAAGTGCTGGGATTATAGGTATGAGCCACAGTGCTCAGCCCTCAAATAATTTTTTTAAATTAGTTTTTTAGTTTTTGTGGGGATGGGTGGGGGGGGTCTTGCTATGATGACCAGGCTGGTCTCAAACTCCTGGCCTCAAGCTATCGTCCTGCCTTGGCCTCCCAAATTGCTAGGATTACAGGCATGAGCCACAGGTGTCGGAAACCTTCTGGATGGGGGTGGAGAGGCAGATCCCCACCACAGGTCTGAAATTGCATCAAAACTTTGAAAAGAGGGCAAAGCTGCTTCACCTGAGAGAGGGAGGAGCTTTCAGGGGAATTCTAGATGGGAGGGGAGAAGGTCACACCACATCTGCCATGCCTGTCTCCACTCTTACCCTGCCCAAGTCCCTCCTCCACTTTATCAAAATCAGGAGAGAGCAATCCTTCTAAAATGCAAATATGAGCATGTACCCCTCTGTTCAAAACCCTTCCATGTCTCCCCTCACTGTGAGAAAAGAAGCCAAACTCCTCCAGGCCGGGCGCGGTGGCTCACACACCTGTAATCCCAGCACTTTGGGAGGCCGAGGCAGGCGGATCACGAGGTCAGGAGTTCGAGACCATCCTGCCAACATGGCGAAACCCCGTCTCTACTAAAAATACAAAAATTAGCTGTGCGTGGTGGCGCATGCCTGTAATCTCACCTACTTGGGAGGCTGTGGCAGGAGAATCGCTTGAACCAGGGAGTCAGAGGTTGCAGTGAGCTGAGATTGCATCACTGCACTCCAGCCTGGTGACAGAGTGAGACTCCATCTCCAAAAAAAAAAAAAAGCCAAACTCCTGACCACACCTCTCAGGCTCTGCACACTCTGCCCACTGGCTGCTGCCCAGGCCTCACAGGTCGGCTTCCCTCATTTCCCTCCAGCCACCCTCCTCTCTTCATTATTTCCAAATTCATCACACTTTCAGCTTGTTATCTATGGCAGATAACCTCATTATGGCAGAAAATAAGACTGAAGCATGTGACCAAACATAGACAGACTTTTTCACAAGATAGTCAGTCTCTTGGGCTTATTCAAATTCCAAAGAGAATCATTTACAAGTTAATTCCTATCTTTCGGGTCCATTCATTTCTCCTTTTAAAATATTTTTTTTTTGTTTATTTATTTATTTATTTTGAGACGGAGTCTCGCTCTGTCACCCAGGCTGGAGTGCAATGGCATGATCATAACTCTCTGCAGCCTCAAAATCCTAGGCTCAAGCAATCCTCTGACCTCAGTCCTCCAAGCACTGAGACTGCAGGTGTGCACCACTATGCCCAGCTAATTTTTTTTTTTTTTTTGAGACGGAGTCTCGCTCTGTGGCCCAGGCTGGACTGCAATGGTGTGATCTCTGCTCACTGCAGCCTCTGCCTCCCGGGTTCAAGCGATTCTTCTGCCTCAGCCTCCCGAGTAGCTGGGATTACAGGCACCCGCTACCGTGCCCAGCTAATTTTTTTGTGTGTGTTTTTAGTAGAGATGGGGTTTCACCATTAGCCAGGATGGCCTTGATCTCCTGACCTCATGATCCGCCCGCCTCGGCCTCCCAAAGTGCTGGGATTACAGGCGTGAGCCACTGCGCCCGGCTATTTTTTTGAAACGGAGTTCTGCTTTTGTTGCCCAGGCTGGAGTGCAATGGTGCAATCTCGGCTCACTGCAACCTCCACTTCCCTGGTTCAAGCGATTCTCCTGCCTCAGCCTCCCAAGTAGCTGGGATTACATGCATGTGCCACAACACCTGGCTGATTTTTGTATTTTTTAGTAGAGACGGGGTTTCACCATGTTGGTCAGGCTGATCTCAAACTCCTGACCTCAAGTGATCCATCCGCCTCGGGCTCCCAAAGTGCTGGGATTACAGGTGTGTGAGCCACTGCACCTGGCCCCATTCATTTCCCCACAAAATCACATACTACCTCTCAACATTGCTGCACCCCCATTTCCCCTCCCCTGTGAAGAAGGCAGCTACATAAGCATCTGGACCACGTTGGGTTATTAGGTCATCGTTCTCCTGTGGTTTCCTTATGCTTGTACATGTGACATAAATTTTGTACACATTTTTCTCCTATTAATTTGCCAATTGTCAGTTCCTTTTTGGGGAGCCTTTATAGGGCTAGAGAGCAGAAAGGAAGCTTTCCCTTGGCCCTACAGCTCCTTGAGGTCGGCTGTTGACTCTTTTCTTCATTGCTGTCTCTTCAGCGTCTAGAATGGTACCTCCAATGTAGAGATGCTTGATAAACGTGTTGAGCCGGGCACAGTGGCTCACGCCTGTAATCCTAGCACTTTGGGAGGCTGAGGGTGGATCAAGAGGTCAGAGTTAGAAACAAGTCTGGCCAACATGGTGAAACCCTGTCTCTACTAAAAATACAAAAATTAGCAAGGCGTGGTGGTGGATGTCTGTAATCCCAGCTACTTGGGAGGCTGAGGCAGGAGAATCGCCTGAACCCGGGAGGTGGAAGTTGCAGTGAGCCAAGAAAGGGCAGCAGAGCAAGACCCCATCTTGAAAAAAAAAAAAAAAACAAGCAAACAAAAAACAAAAACAAACAAAAAAACATGTGTTGAGTTGCTTTCTGTTTAGTAGCAGAAAGCTCTGGAAGGGCTTTGGACATTCACGCGTGCAGGCCCGGGAACGGGATGAGGTTTAAGGCAACTTCATCTAGAGTTTAAAAGGGGCAGGTAGGCCCACAGCTGGCACGTGGGTTAAATGTAAAGTGGCTCAAACAGGATCTGATAAGGCAGAAGCAGAGATGGGGGCCTGGTGTCTCACTGCCTTCACGTTCTTCCTTCTGCCTCAGTCCCCACATGAGAGTGCACCCTAGAGGTGCCAGCATTAGCGATAGGGCAGCTTTCCTTGTTTCTGGGATGGACAGAAAATGGGCCTTGAGACCCCTCCCATCATAGGAAAGCATCTCTTGCACTCTGGAGACTGAGGACTTGCTATAGTGGAACAAGAAGCAGTCTTCGGCAATGGAGGAGATGCTGGATCTCCATACAGGCAGGGTGGGTGCAACGGAGTGGAGCTGTGGCAAATGTGGGTGCCTCTGTCCTGAGGGTCCTGGATGTGTCATGCCTGGGAACATGAGGGCGTTCTTCCAAGGTGCCCATCTCGACCTCTCTGAGCTGCCATCTTTGACTTCCTGTGTTTGGTCACAGACTAGGGGTGGTCTGTCCCTAAACAGAAGAAGACAAGCAAGGATTAGAGAGGAGAAAGAGCTAGAGAGAGAGCTTGGGAGAGATGTAGGGACAAGGAAAGAAGAGGCAGAAGGAAAAAGGCATGGAGGGAAGGAATATAAAAAAAAACCCCTTAGGCCAGGCATGGTGGCTCACGCCTGTAATTCCCGCACTTTGGGAGGCCAAGGTGGGTGGATCACCTGAGGTCATTTCAAGACCAGCCTGGCCAACATGGTGAAACCCCATCTTTACTAAAAATACAAAAATTAGCCAGGCATGGTGGTGGGTGCCTGTAATTCTAGCTACTCCGGAGGCTGAAGCAGGAGAATCGCTTGAACCCTGGAGGCAGAGGTTGCAGTAAGCTGAGATCAGGCCACTGCACTCCAGCCTGGGTGACAGAGCGAGAATCTATCTCAAAAAAAAAAAGAAAAAAGAAAAAAAGGCCGGGTGTGGTGGCTCACGCCTATAATCCTAGCACTTTGGGGGGCTGAGGAAGGTGGATCACAAGGTCAGGAGATTGAGACCATCCTGGCCAACATGGTGAAACCCCATCTCTAGTAAAATAGAAAAAATTATCTGGGTGTGGTGGTGCGCACCTGTAGTCCCAGCTACTCAGGAGGCTGAGGCAGGGGAATTGCTTGAACCCTGGAGGCAGAGGTTGAAGTGAGTCGAGATCGCGCCACTGCACTCCAGCCTGGCAACAGAGCAAGACTCCATCTAAAAAAAAAGAAAGAAAGAAAGAAAGAAAAATCCTCCCCAGAGCAGGGAAAGATGAAGACATAAAGGGAAGGAGAGTCACCAGGAAAGAGAGAGGGAGAGAGACACAAAACAAAATGGCTGGAATGAGGTGAAAGTTATAGTAGCAGGATGTGCTGACACTGACCTTGGAGAAAAAGAGAGGGGAAGGGAGGAGTGAACGTGGAATCTTTGGCTGCTGTTCTGTTTCACTCCCAGAACTCACCACCCTGGATTCCCCCCATTTCCAGATCCTCAGGCGGGACTGCCTTTGCTATCTGGGATGAGTCATTGGCCCCAGATGGTAAACCTGTGAGGGGTGGGGTGCTCTGAATGCCTGACTAGTCATTTATAATTGAGAGCACTTATTCCAGCCCCTTCTGGTCCTCCATCCTTCCCTCTTCTTGGACCTCCTGATTCAGAGAGGTCAGAGGGCCAGTCCAGGAGGGGTCAGGCACTAGGTCCCTGGAGTCAGTCTTAGGGATTTTAGGCAGAGAGGAATCAGTCCTGAAAATGAAGGGCATACAGAGAAAAAAAAAACTATGACATCACCCCTGGGGGTGTTACAGACCTAAGAAAGAAGCAATGGCCCTGGGCGGCCTACAGCCCCAGGAAGATTCAGCCATGGTACCCAGGAGACTTGAGGGCCCAAAGCCCAGAATTACCCCCAGAGGAACACCTGTAGACCTTCGGATCCTTAGCTTTGCACTTCCCATTGGACTGACTCTGTTTCCTGTGGGGCAATAGGCACGTGTTCACTGTGCACCTGCAGCCCCAGTCATCCTTCTCAGAGAGAAATGGTTTGGGAAGTGTTTGGCATATTGGGGATAAATAGATGAGTGGATAGAAAAAAAAATGCAGGCCAGGCACAGTGGCTCACGCCTGTAATCCCAGCACTTTGGGAGGCCGAGGTGGGCGGATCACGAGGTCAAGAGATCGAGACCATCCTGGCAAACATGGCGAAACCCTGTCTCTACTAAAATTACAAAAATTAGCTGGGCGTGGTGGCGCATGCCTGTAATCCCAGCTACTCGGGAGGCTGAGGCAGGAGAATCGCTTGAACCTGGGAAGCAGAGATTATAGTGAGCCGAGATCGCGCCACTGCCCTCCAGCCTGAGGGATAGAGCAAGACTGTGTCTCCAAAAAGAAGAAAGAAAAAAAAGCAATTACAGCAAAATATTAACCATAGTAGAATCTATACAGTGGTTATATAAGTGTCCACTATACAATTCTTTTTTTTTTTTTCCTTTTTTTGAGACTTGATGTTTCGATCATGGCTCACTGCAACTTTGACCTCCTCAGCTCAAGTGATCCTCTTGCCTCAGCCTCCTGACTAGCTGGGATCACAGGTGTGCACCACCATGCCTGGCTAATTGTTTTATTTTTTGTAGAGACGAGATCTCCCTATGTTGCCCATGTTGGTCCTGAACTCCTGAGCTTAAGCAGTCCTCCTGCTTTGACCTCTCAAAGTGCCGGGATTACAGGCATGAGCCACTGCACCCAGTCTTGCTATACGATTCTTTTGTTTTTTTTTTTTTTTTTTTTGAGATGGAGTCTCACTCTGTCGCCCAGGCTAGAGTGCAGTGGAGTGATCTCAGCTCACTGCAACCTCTGCCCCTCAGGTTCAAGTGATTCTCCTGCCTCAGTCTCCTGACTAGCTGGGATCACAGGCACCTGCCATCACACCCAGCTACTTTTTGTATTTTTAGTACAGATGGGGTTTCGCCATGTTGGCCAAGCTGGTCTCAAACTCCTGACCTCAGGTGATCCAGCTGCCTCAGCTTCCCAAAGTGTTGGATTATGGGTGTGAGCCACTGGGCCCAGCCACTGTACAATTCTTTAAACTTTTATATGTGTTTGGATTTTTCATAATATTAGAAAAGGGAAAGAAAAAAATGTCTGGCAAATAGTCAGCACTCGTAAGTATAAGATTTTGGGAATATATTCCCTTCTGGGAGAATCCACATTTCGAATGCCTGGGAAGGGCTCTGTTTGTCCTGACAGATGGCAGATTTCAGGTGAGAGCACCTACTAAGCCTAGAGGTGATAAGCTACTTTGCCCACCTAGAGCTGCTGGTGGTGACCTTAAGTTTACTATGTTTCTCCTGGTATACGGCACTTGGCCCAGAGTGGACTCCAGCTTGCCACCTGTCACCCAGGCTGGAGTGCAGTGGCGTGATCTTGTCTCACTGCAGCCTCAACGTCCTGGGCTCAGGCGATCTTCCCTACCTCCCTCCTGATTAGTTGAGGCTACAGGTGCTCGTCACCATGCCCGGCTAATTTTTGTTTTTGTTTTTTGTTTTGGTAGAGATGGGGTCTCACACTCTTGCCCAGGCTGAGCTAGAACTCCTGGCCTCAAGCGATCTGCCTCTGCCTCCCAAAGCATTGTAATGACAGGTGTGAGTCACCATGCCCAGCCAGGAACTCAGAGAATCTTACCCTATGCTGTAGTATCTGTTGACTATGGGGTAGAGGCAGGATAAGGTGTTCCAGACCCTGCCTGACACCTGATCCGAAGAGGTTGCTCATGTTTGCTCAGGAGGTGAGGTTCACACAATAAAGGGCAGGAGGAGGGCTTGGACCTGGTATAAAACATCTGGAAGTTTCCAGGGGGCTGCTTTGCATCTGAAACTGTCAGGTGAGGGGTGACAGAGATGCCTGAATCTGAGTTGGGGGGGAATTCAAATCTGAGCTGGCGAAGAGGATGCCTGGAAGGAATGGCAGGAAAGACTTGAGTTAATTGGCGCTTCTGGGTCTGCAGTAATCTTAGGTGCAAAGCTGTCTAGGTCTCTGCTGAAGGACTGGGGACACCTGGGATGTTCAGGAGAATAGAAATGGCCAGATGTGTGTTAGTGGAGAAAAGAATAGTGACACATAGACCAGGCACCTGGGGTCTAATATCTTGAGCTGGTCCCGACTCCTTCTGCAACTTCTCTGTCTGTCCTAGTTCCACCAGCACTGCTTGGATACTGGTGCTGGCACAGTTCCTTCTGTCACCAACTTTGCTCCCCAGGTAACATAGAGGCAACTCTAAAATGCTTCTTTCCTTGAGACCAGGTGGATGCCAGGGATTTAAACCATGCTCCAGGTGCCCCATAATCCAGGCCAATTCACCACAGATGATGAGGCTTTCTTTGCTCAGCCTCTGGGCTCAGTAAACTCAGCCATCTCTTTGCTTGGGAGAGGTCCTCTACTCCCTCCTTAGAAAACTCGTTTCCTGGCTATGGCCATACCAACCCAAATGTACCTGGGCTTGGCTGACTTCAGAAAACTTTTCTGCTTTGTGCCAGGATGGAATAAGGCTTAATCCAGATAGTTAGAGTTCATCTTCAGGCCTGAGAGAAAAAGAGGAGGGCTTGGCTACAGCCAGACCAGGGAGAGCTGGAGGGGTCAGGGACATTGAAGGTAGCATCAGAGAGGAACAGGACTACAGGCTATGGACAGTCCTTTCTAAGCTCAAGACTGGGTCTGCTAGGTCTAAGTTGAAGGACGAAGAAGGCTTGGTCTGAGCTGCAGGTCAGGAGTGCCTGGGTCAATCAAGTCAACAAGGAAGAAGGTGAATCTTCATTTGCTCTTTTCTTCCCACTCCAGCCCCAGAATGTTGACAGTCGCTCTCCTAGCCCTTCTCTGTGCCTCAGCCTCTGGCAATGCCAGTAAGTGAGATACCAGGAGCCTGGTATTGGGGACTTGGGAAGGCAGCCTTGGGCACTGCTGTTGGCCAAGGCTTTTGGAGGTTGGCTTGGGGTGGGGAGCTGAGTTGTCGGAGGAACAGGGGTGATGCAGAGAAACTGAACTCCTGGAAGATTTCTCCCTCCAACTCCTGCTTGCCCCTCCAGTTCAGGCCAGGTCTTCCTCCTATAGTGGAGAGTATGGAGGTGGTGGTGGAAAGCGATTCTCTCATTCTGGCAACCAGTTGGACGGCCCCATCACCGCCCTCCGGGTCCGAGTCAACACATACTACATCGTAGGGTAAGATTCTTTGAATTCCTGGCTGGGCGCGGTGGCTCACATCTGTCATTACAATGCTTTGGGAGGCAGAGGCAGATCGCTTGAGGCCAGGAGTTCTAGCTCAGCCTGGGCAAGATGCCAGGGATGCCAGGGATTTAAACCATGCTCCAGGTACCAAGACCCCATCTCTACCGAAGAAAAACAAAAAAATTAGCCAGGCATGGTGGTGAGTACCTGTAGCCTCAACTACTCAGGAGGGAGAGGCGGGAGGATTGCCTGAGCCCAGGATGTTGAGGCTGCAGTGAGCCAAGATCATGCCACTGCACTCCAGCCTGGGTGACAGAGTCTCTTTGTTGGCAAAATGAGTTGAAGTTCCCTGTAGGATCTTCCAGGGTTCACCCAGGCTTCACAGTCTGTAGGACTAGCCAGAGACCTCTCATCCCTATCATCACCTTTCTTTCTCCTTCCTTCCTCCCCTCTTCCTCAGTCTTCAGGTGCGCTATGGCAAGGTGTGGAGCGACTATGTGGGTGGTCGCAACGGAGACCTGGAGGAGATCTTTCTGCACCCTGGGGAATCAGTGATCCAGGTTTCTGGGAAGTACAAGTGGTACCTGAAGAAGCTGGTATTTGTGACAGACAAGGGCCGCTATCTGTCTTTTGGGAAAGACAGTGGCACAAGTTTCAATGCCGTCCCCTTGCACCCCAACACCGTGCTCCGCTTCATCAGTGGCCGGTCTGGTTCTCTCATCGATGCCATTGGCCTGCACTGGGATGTTTACCCCAGTAGCTGCAGCAGATGCTGAGCCTCCTCTCCTTGGCAGGGGCACTGTGATGAGGAGTAAGAACTCCCTTATCACTAACCCCCATCCAAATGGCTCAATAAAAAAAATATGGTTAAGGCTAGTCTGTGTGGGGGCATCTGTGGCTGGGATATCTGCCTCCTGACTTAGCCGGGGACGTGCAAATCTCACTTCTGGCTGGCTTTGGACATCTGTCTGGAAGATGGGAAGATGAGGGAGAGGTATGTAAGAATCCTGGGCTTTGTGCTATAATTTATCAAGAGGAGATGAGATTCTGGCTTGCATCAACGCTCTTCAAGGACAGCTCCTTGGAACATTGATCCAAACTGGAGTCATGGGTCTGAGGGCAAGGCCTAGTTGTGGCTTACACCAAAACCCCAGATGTCCCACTCTCCAGCTCTCCTCACCCCTGGTCCTCCCCTTGAGAAAGTGGTGAACTCACTTGCTGTGTGTGGGTGGCCAGGACCATTAGCCTTTGTTCTTTCCCAGAACCCACCTGACTCCTGAAACTTAGCTGAAGTCTGTGCCCGAGGACCCTGCCCTGTTACCAGGCCCAGTTCCTCCTCACCTCTACCCATGAGCCCCGGTGTCCTGCTAAGCCCTCTCAGATCTGGGATTCCTCCTTCCTCAGGAAGCCACCACCTTCTCAGCAGTGGAAACCCTGCCCACACTATGCTCTTAGGCTTTAGCCATCAGAAGGTTACAGTGGACTGCGGGAGGCTGACACTAGGCTGAACTCATTAAGGAATGAATGGGAGGTGAGAAGACACAGGCAGCAAGAATCGAGTGTTTCAAGAAGTTTGGCTGTGGTTTGCCAGAAATAGGCAAGTCAGTTTTCGGGGGTGTAAGGAAAAAGGGTTTTGTGTCTTTTTAAAATCCTAGACAGGAGAGTCACAAGCATGTTCACATGATAAAGAGGAAGAAAGAGAAAGAGGCTGGAGATTCTGAAAAGAGATCACTGGTGAGGTCTCAAAAGAGATAGAAGAGGATGGTTATGTAGTTGGGGAAAGAAATTTTAAGAAGGGAAGAAAATTAAAATGAGTGAAGGTATACGTTAGTTTTGTAAAAGTTATCAATATCTGGCTGGGCACAGTGCTCACACCTGTAATCCCAGCACTTTGGGAGGCCAAGGCAGGCAGATCATTTGAGGTCAGGAGTTGGAGACAAGCCTCCAACATGGTAAAACCCTGTCTCTACTAAAAATACAAAAATTAGCCAGGTGTGGTGGCAGTCACCTGTAATCCCAGCTACTTGGGAGGCTGAGGCATGAGAATCACTTGAATGCTGGAGGCAGAGGTTACAATGAGTTGAGACAGCACAACTGCACCCCAGCCTGGATGACAGAGTGAGACTCCATCTAAAAAAAAAAGGAATGTTATCAGTATCAAAATGGAGTAACATATGTCACATCCTAACAAAATGGAACCAACCTGACACCTAAATTAAGCATTGCACCTGATAACACCATGGAGGACTGGGTGGAGAATCAGCAGACAATGGCAGGGAGAGGCAGTCTGTGGACCAAGTTCAGGTGAAAGGATCACCCATCATGTTGGGCATCAGATCAGGCAGGTTCACACACTACCTGAGGAAGCTGGTCTTTGTGACAGACAAGAGCTGCTCTGCCTCTTGGGAAACACAGGCACCAGTTTTAGTGCCATCTTCTTGCACCCAAATGCTGTCCTTTAACTCATCAGTTACAGTGCTGGATCCCTCATCACTGCCAATACGGGGCTAGCAATATGTCTGCCCCAGTGAATGCAGCCGCCACGGAGCCCCAGCCTCCTCTATGGCAGGGGCCCTGTGGTGGGGAATGAGGACTTCTCTATCATTAACCTCCATGCAGTTGGCTCAAGAAAAGGATATGGTAGTTGGGCAAGGGGGCTCACACCTGTAATCCCAGCACACTTGTAATCCCAGGAGGGTCGCTTGAGCCCAGGAGTTTAAGGCCAGCCCGGGCAACATAGCAACCTGTTTGTAGGCAAAATGAGGAGTTGAAGTTCCCCGTAGGATCTTCTAGGGCTCAACCAGCCTTCATGTGCAGTGGGACTGGCAAGAAATCTGTCATCCCTGTTACCACTTTGAAGGTCTCAGTGTGTATGCAGGTCCTGAAAAGTTCAAGTCCCACCTGAAACGCAACACAGCATCATGCTCTGATTCATCAGTGATTCCCTAATCAATGCCATTGGCTTGCATTGGGACTATCTATCCCAGCCTATCCAGTGACTTCAGCAGCTGCAGAGCCCCAGCCTCTTCTTTGGCAGGGGCACTGTGGTGAGGAGGAAGGATTCCCTTATCACAAATCTCCATCCAATTGGTTCTATAAACAGATATGGTGGCCCAACTGTTGCGGGAAGTCAGGGACCCCGAACGGAGGGACTGGCTGGAGCCACAGCTGAGGAACATAAATTGTGAAGATTTCATGGACATTTACCAGTTCCCAAAATTAATACTTTTATACTTTCTTATGCCTGTCTTTACTGCAATCACTAAACATAAATTGTGAAGATTTCATGAACATTTATCAGTTCCCAAATAATACTCTTATAATTTCTTATGCCTGTCTTTATTTTAATCTCAATCCTGTTATCTTCATAAGCTGAGAATGTACGTCACCTCAGGACCCTGTGATGATTGCATTAACTAACAAATTGATTGTAAAACATGTGTGTTTGAACAATATGAAATCTGATTGTAAATGTGCATTTGAACAATATGAAATCAGTGCACCTTAAAAAAGAACAGAATAACAGTGATTTTAGGGAACAAGTGCAGAGGTTACAATGAGTTGAGATAGTGCGACTGCACTCCAGCCTGGATGACAGAGCGAGATTTCATCTAAAAAAAAAAAAAAAAGAATGTTATCAGTATCAAAATGGAGTCACATATGTCATATCCTAACAAAATGGAACAAAAAGGGAAGATAACCATAAGGTCTGACTGCCTGCGGGGTCGGGCAAAAAGAGCCATATTTTTCTTCTTGCAGAGAGCCTATAAATGGACGTGCGAGTAGGAGAGATATCGCTAAATTCTTTTCCTAGCAAGGAATATTAAATATTAAGACCCTAGGAAAAGAATTGCATTCCTTGGAGGAGGTTTACAAATGGCCACTCTGGGAGTGTCTGTCTTATGCTGTTGAGATAAGGACTGAAATATGACCCGGTCTCCTGCAGTACCCTCAGGCTTACTAGGATTGGGAAATTCCAACCTGGTAAATTTTGGTCAGACCGGTTCTCTGCTCTCGAACCCTGTCTTCTGTTAAGATGTTTATCAAGACAATACATGCACAGCTGAACATAGGCCCTCATCAGTAATTCTAATTTTGCCCTTTGTCTTGTGATCTTTGCTTTGCCCTTTGCCTTGTGATCTTTACTGGCCTCAGAAGCATGTGATCTCTGTGACCTACTCCCTGTTCGTACACCCCCTCCCCTTTTGAAATCCTTAATAAAAACTTGCTGGTTTTGCGGCTCAGGTGGGGCATTATGGACCTACCGATATGTGATGTCACCCCCCACCAGCCCAGCTGTAAAATTCCTATCTTTGTACTCTTTCTTTTTATTTCTCAGACCGGCCAACACTTAGGGAAAATAGAAAGAACCTACGCTGAAATATTGGGGGCTGGTTCTTCTGATACCCAACACCATGGCTCACAGCTGTAATTCCAACACTTCCAGAGGCCAAGGCAGGAGGATCACTTGAACCTTGGAGTTTGAGGTTGCCATGAGCTATGATTGTACCAGTGCACTCCGACCTGGGTGACACAGTGAGACCTTGTCTCTAATAAGAAGAAAAAAATGCCATTTTAAAAGTGTACACTTTCATGGTTTTTAGTATATTCACTGTATTGTACAACCATTACCACTACCTCATTCCAGAACACTTCCACCACCCCCAAAAGAAAGCAGTTACATCTGTTCACTGTAGTGCCAATTACTCAACCCCTTGTCATCCCCTGGCAACCACCACTCAGGTGTACTTTCTATGTCTGTGGGTTTGCTATTGTAATTTGAAAGTTCACTGATGTTACTTTAATTTGGTTTCATTTTGAATACAGTAAATATGGATCAAAACCCATATATACGGAGCATCTTTAGAGGCCTCATTTTTGTTTTTTTTTTTTTTTTTGAGATGGAGTCTTGCACTGTTGCCCAGGCTGGAGTGCAGTGGCGTGATCTCGGCTCACTGCAACATCCACCTCCCAGATTCAAGCGATTCTCCTGCCCCAGCCTCCCCAGTAGCTGGGAATACAGGCGCCTGCCACCACACCCTGCTAATTTTTTTATTTTTAGTAGAGAGGGGTTTTCACTATGTTGGCCAGGCTGGTCTTGAACGCCTGACCTCGTGATGCACCTGCCTCGGCCTCCCAAAGTGCTGGGATTACAGGCGTGAGCCACCACGCCCAGGCTAGAGGCCTCATTTTTTAAGACTAATGGGATCCCAAGGCTAAACGTTTGAGAAACACTGATCTAAGATTTGTGTTTTGTTTTGTTTTGTTGTTCAATCAAGTGGAACATAATGTCTAAACCAGGGCCTTACCTACCTGGAACTCAAAGGTGGAATGACCTTCCCTGGCCAAGCTTCCAGAAGGGACAGGGAGCTACTTAACAGACTGCTGGACCCTTAACGACTGGAAACCGGAACCGTGGGTGACGGAACCGACCAGACGTGACAGCCCTTTGGCTGGGGCTGCAGTCCCACGATCCACACAACGACTCTGGCTCCGCAGACGCGCCAACCACCCACGGAGGCAAGAAACTGCCGAGAGTGAAGGGAAAGGGAGCCCAGTGCTGGGCGGCACTCAGCAGCTCCCCCAGCGGCCACTGTCGCCAACGTCTCCGCGTCGGGGTTTGTACCGCAGCTCGCGTCCAGTCGTCAATGGCTGCGAGGCCCATGCGCGCTCCAGCGTCCTGACCAGGGGAACGTTTTCCTTAGGGACCCGGAGGCGAGCGCTGGAGGGAGGGATGGTTGCTAACGCAACTCTCTGCAGGGCAGACCCACCAGCACCCGCACGCAAACTACGGGCTGGAGCAGTCTAACAGAAACTCTCTCAAAGTCGCTCACGGGTTGCCATTCTAGGTAAGATTTGTGAATAAAACTAATTCTTTAAAAGCCTGAGTTTTTCTTTAGTTGACAGTTTTAATTAACATACTCTTTTCTTTCCTCTTCTGCAGACCCAGCCTCACCATTCCAATGAAGACATCAATTAACCCATGCACAGCCGCTACAAACGGGGAGCTCATTGCCTGCAGGGAAGGACCCTCTACAGAGAGCTACCTGGGGGCTGGGAAGCAGGACCCCAGGCTGAGTCCTGCCTTTTGGTAGTGCCCCGCCCCGGCCAATGCGGCTGTTATATCAAAGTACATAAAAGTGAAGGCAAAGGGTGTCCACGTGGGATAGACTGGCATAGCTTCCTGGCCACCCATGGTGCTCCATTATCTCTTCGAGGACCCCTTCTCCACGAGACCCTCCAGGTCTGGTCCTCTATCGTCCAGCCCCCATTCTCTTCTCCATCACTGCTGCTGTGTCCCAGATGACCTTAATTTAATCTTCACATATTTGAAGGACAGAATCATCGGCCTCACCCACTAATTATTATTATTATTATTTTATTTTATTATTATTATTTTTTGAGACGGAGTCTCGTTCTGTCACCCAGGCTGGAGTGCATCACTGCAAGCTCCGCCTCCCAGGTTCACGCCATTCTCCTGTCTCAGCCTCCCGAGTAGCTGGGACTACAGGCGTCCGCCACCACGCCTGGCTAATTTGTTGTATTTTTAGTAGAGACGGGGTTTCACCGTGTTAGCCAGGATGGTCTCGATCTCCTGACCTCGTGATCTGCCCGCCTCGGCCTCCCAAAGTGCTGGGATTACAGGCATGAGCCACCGCGCCAGGCCTAGACCCACTAATTATCTTTTATGGCACAAACTCTATGTTTTACTTTTGCCCAGGCTGGAATACAATAGCGGCATGATCTCCGCTCACCACAACCTAGCCTCCTGGGCTCAAGTGATCCTCCCACCTCAACTTCCCAAGTAGCTGGGAGTACAGGCATGCGCCACCACACTTGGCTAATTTTAAAATGTTTTGTAGAGAAGGGTCTCACTAGGTTGCCCAGACTGGTCTTGGACTCCTAGACCCAAGCTATCCTCCCACCTTAGCCTCCCAAAGTGCTGGGATTACAGGAATGAGCCACTACATCTGACCTCCTTTGCTTCTTTTAAAGACATAGTTTGGAATTTTTTTTTTTTTTTTTTTTTTTGAGACAGAGTCTCACTCTGTCGCCCAGGCTGGAGTGCAGTGGCGCCATCTCGGCTCACTGCAAGCTCCGCCTCCTGGGTTCACGCCATCCTTCTGCCTCAGCCTCCCGAGTAGCTGGGACTACAGGCGCCCGCCCCACACCTGGCTAATTTTTTGTATTTTTAGTAGAGACGGGGTTTCACCGTGTTAGCCAGGATGGTCTCAATCTCCTGACCTTGTGATCCGCCCATCTCGGCCTCCTAAAGTGCTGGGATTACAGGCGTGAGCCATCGTGAGCAGCCTTTTTTTGAGGAGTCTCCAACTGTCACCCAGGCTGGAGTGCAGTGGTGCCATCTCGGCTCACTGCAAGCTCTGCCTCCCGAGTTAACGCCATTCTCCTGCCTCAGCCTTCCGAGTAGCTGGAACTACAGGCACCCGCCACCACGCCCAGCTAGTTTTTTGTATTTTTAGTAGAGACGGGGTTTCACCGTGTTAGTCAGGATGGCCTCGATCTCCTGACCTCATGATCTGCCTGCCTCAGCCTCCCAAAGTGCTGAGATTACAGGCGTGAGCCACTGCACCCGGCCTGGAAGTTATTTTTTAAAAATCAATTGTTTCTTTCTCTGTCATCCCAGCAGGAGTGCACAGGCATGACCTCAGCTCACTGCAACCTCCACTTCCTGGGTTCAAGCGATCCTCCTGCCTCAGTCTCCCAAGTAGCTGGGACTATAGGCACATGCCACCACATCTGGCTAATTTTTTTTCTTTCAGATGGAGTCTTGCTCTGTCCCTCAGGCTGGAGTGCAGTGGTGCAATCTCAGCTCACTGCAACCTCCAACTCCTGTGTTCAAGTGATTCTCCTGCCTCAGCCTCCTGAATAGCTGGGATTACAGGTGTGTGCCACCACGCCGGGGTAATTTTTGTGTCTTTAGTAGAGACAGGGTTTCCCCATGTTGGCCAGGCTAGTGTCAAACTCCTGACTTCAGGTGATCTGCCCGCCTCAGCCTCCCAAAGTGTTGAGATTACAGGCATGAGCCACCACGCCTGGCCAAACCACCCTAATTTCTACCAGCCAGATGCAGATCCTTAAAACAACCCTAGGAGGTATTTCAACCATTATTCCCTTTTAATATCTGAGGAAATGGAGGCACAAAGAGGCTAAATCTCTGGTCTGGGCAGCCTGGCACCAAGGCCCTGTACCTAAATGGTTTATTCAAACATAGAAGCCCTATCTCCTTGATCTATGCTCTTTTCACTATTTCTGGCAGGTTTCTTACCAAATATCTGGAGTTGACAACAAATGTGAAAACTGAACAGCCTTTTCTGACAGGCAAGGAAGACCAAACTGCCAATTGCCAATGTCAGATGTTCTCAAAGTATGGTCCAGAGACTTCTGGGAGTCCCTGAGACACTTTCAGTGGGTCTACAAGTTCAAAACTATTTTCATAATAAAACTAAGATACCAATTGACTTCTCTTGCATTGTTTCTCAAGTATATAGTGGAGTATTCAAAATACTATATTATATGTGACATCACAACAGCATGAATGCAGAAGCAGATATGAGAATCTAGTTTTTTTGTGTGTCTTTGAGACAAGGTCTCCCTCTGTCACTGAAGCCAGAGTGCAGTGGCACCATCACGGCTCACTGCAGCCTCAAACTCCTGGGCTTAAGCAATCCTCCCACCTCAGCCTCCCAAGTAGCTGGGAATATAGGTGTGTGCCACCATGCCTGGCTAATTTTATTTTTTAAGAGATGGAGGTAGGCCAGGCACAGTGGCTCACGCCTGTAATCCCAGCACTTTGGGAGGCCGAGGCGGGTGGATCACGAGGTCAGGATATCAAGACCATCCTGGCTAACACGGTGAAACCCCGTCTCTACTAAAAATACAAAAAATTAGCCGGGCGTGGTGGCAGGTGCCTGTAGTCCCAGCTACTCGGGAGGCTGAGGCAGAAGAGTGGCGTGAACCCGGGAGGTGGAGCTTGCAGTGAGCCGAGATGGCGCCACTGCACTCCGGCCTGGGCCACAGAGCGAGACTCCGTCTCAAAAAAAAAAAGAGATGGAGGTCTAGGCAGGGCTTGGTAGCTCACGTCTGTAATCCCAGCACTTTGGGAGGCCGAGGCGGATGGATCACCTGAGGTCATGAGTTCAAGACCAGCCTGACCAACATGGAGAAACCCCGTCTCTACTAAAAACACAAAATCAGCCATGCACGGTGGTGCATGCCTGTAATCCCAGCTACTCGGGAGGCTGAGGCAGGAGAATTGCTTGAACCCAGGAGGCGGAGGTTACGGTGAGCTGAGATTGCGCCACTGCACTCCAGCCTGAGCAACAGAGAGAGACTATGTCTCAAAAAAAAAAAGTGCACACCTCTCTGGTTTTTAGTATGTTTATTACGTTACGCAGCCATCATCACTACTTCATTCCAAAATATTTAATATTTCCATCACCCCCAAAAGAAACTCGTTATATCTATTGCTGTAGTGCCAGCTCCTCAGCCCCTCACCATCCCCTGGCAACCACTACTTAGATGTCCTTTTTATGTCTATGGGTTTTTTACTGTAATTTTTAAATTCATTAATGTCAACTTTAATTTAGTTTCACTTCACACACAGTATATACGGCCAGGCCTGGTGGTTCACACCTGTAATCCCAGCACTTTGGGAGGCCAAGGCGGGTGGATCACTTGAGGTCAGGAGTTTGAGACCAGCCTGGCCAACATGGTGAAACCCTGTCTCCATAAAAATACAAAAATTAGCTGAGCGTGGTGGTGCACACCTGTAATCCCAGCTACTCGGGAGGCTGAGGCAGGAGAATCACTTGAACCCAAGAGGCAGAGGTTGGAGTGAACCGAGATTGAGCCACTGCACTCTAGCCTGGGAGATGGAAGTGAAACCCCGTCTCAAAAACAAAAAAACAAAAACCCTCATATACACAAAACATCTTTGGAGGCCTCATTTTTAAAAACTGTAGTGGGATCCCAAGGCAAAACGTTTCAGAAACACTGATCTAAGATTTGTGTTTTTTGTTTTGAGACGGAGTCTCACTCTGGCGCCGTGGCTGGAGTGCGGTGGCACCATCTCGGCTCATTGCAACCTACACCTCCCGGGTTCAAGCGATTCTCCTGCCTCAGCCTCCCGAGTAGCTAGGACTACAGGCGTGCCACCATCCCCGGCTAATTTTTGTGTTTTTAGTAGAGACGGGGTTTCGCCATGTTGGCCAGGCTGGTCTCGAGCTCCTCACCTCAGGTGAGCCTCCCGCCTCAGCCTCCCAAAGTGCTGGGATTACAGGACTGAGCCACCGCGCCCGGCCCGTGTTTTGTTTTGTTGTTCAACAGGGTGGAACATAATGTCTAAACCTGGGCCCTACCTACCTGGTGCTCAAAAGTGGAATGACCGTCCCTAGCCAACCCTTCAGAAAGGACAGAGAGCTACTCAACGGACTGCTGTACTCTTAAGGACTGGGAACCGGAACCGTGGGTGAGTGGGACTGAATCACAGACTAAGCGTTTTCCACGCTTCGCCGACGTGCTGAGTGCCAAGTTATAAAGACAGGAACATCCAAGCTGCTCTCCTGGGCTGACACGGACGCGAGGGGACCTACAGTGGCCTTGGGCCCAGCAGGCAGCGACTGCAACGTGACTGCCCAGAGTCCAGCCCCTGGGGCCCAGATCTACAGAACCGACCAGACGTGATAGCCCTTTGGCTGGGGCTGCAGTCCCACGATCCACACAACGACCCTGGCTCCGCAGACGCGCCAACCACCCACGGAGGCAAGAAACTGCAGAAAGTAAAGGGAAAGGGAGCCCAGTGCCGGGCGGCGCTGAGCAGCTCCCCCAGCGGCCACCGTCGCCAACATCCCTGCGTAGGGGTTTGTATCGCAGCGCGCTTCCAGACATCAACGGCTGCGCGGCCCACGCGCGCGCATGCGTCCTGACCAGGGGAACCTTTTCTTGGGGACCCGGAGGCGAGCGCTGGAAGGCGGGATAGTGGCGACCCACACGCAGCAGCTTCCGGCGGCGCGTAGTCTTGATTGGTGGAACCTGGGAGAGGGGGCGGGGCACCGGGGAATTCGAATGGGAGAGGCGGGCCCAAGGAGGGAGTGGAATGGCCGCGGGCGGCTCGACGCAGCAGAGGCGACGCGAGATGGCGGCAGCTTCAGCGGCGGCGATCTCAGGTACTTGAGCCCGGCCTGGGCAAGGCGGGTACCGACGTCTGGAGTTTAGTGGGAGTTATGTGTCGGAGTGTGGTCCAGGCTCTGCGGGTTGTCGCGGAGAGGCGGCCATGGCGCAGGGGCGGGGAGAGGGGGACGGTGAGAGTGTGGGGTCGCGAGCCGGTCGCCCCGCCTGGCTCCTGCCTTCTCCCTGTTTCCTGCTCTCCCCTTGGGTCAGTAGACTCGGGTCTCCGGTCCAGGCTCTTGGCTTGAACCCCGCGCACTTTTTCTTTGTGAGCTTCGGTTTCTTCGTCTGTGAAACGGGGGTCATGGCCTCATCCCTGGAGATCACCTGAATAAGCAAGAGAAGAGTGGCGGACGCTCTAGCCACGAGGACGAGAAGAAGGGAGCCGGAGGCGTGTATTGGGAAGGGTTCTGTGTGGGACATGGTGTTTGGGTGCAGAGACATCCCTGAGAGATGCAAGAGGACGGGCTGAGGAACAGACCCGGCTGCTGCTGGGTTTGAGTTGGCAGCGTAAGATGCTCTGCGATTACAGGAAAACGAAATAAAAGACTAAAATTTCCTTTCACTCTAGCATGGAAGTGAATGCTATTTTAGGGTTGGAAAGGCTGTTAGGACACCCAAAATCTTGTATGTGAGTATTTGTTTACATGTGCCTCTCTAACCCGGAGACTTAATCCTCGTTAGTGATGATGGTGAGCGCCATAGTAATTCACTGGAGCCCTCGTTAGCCTCGTGGGGAAACAGACATTTAGGAGAATGCCTAACACATGTAGAGCTCTTGCTATGTGCCAGGCACAGTTGTAGGCATTTTATGGTGGTGAACCATTTATTGTCCACACAATGCTATCAGGTTGTTACTATTACTGTCTTTGTTTTACACAGGAAACTGAGGTTAGTTTGTTCAGAGTTAACACAACTAGTAAATATTGGGGCTTGAATTCGCTCTCAAGGAGTCTGAGTGTAGAACCTCTGCTCTTAACCATTATGCCCAAGTACATGTTATCCCTGCTGGCTGAGCACAGTCTCCCCTTACCCTTCGAAGATGCACTGTGTCCGGTGCATGGTAGATATGAAAATGCCTGAATGAATAATGTCCCTTCCTCGAGGAATTTACAGTCTGTTTCAATAGAGTGTCACATACGTAGATGTAATACGAAACACAATGAGAGATGTGTATAAACTGAGGGTGTGGAATCTGAAGTAAGCCCTTGAGTATTCTGGGAGGACTTCATTAAGGGAGTGAATGATACTTGAGATGGGTTTCAAAGGTTGGATAGGAGTTTGCCAGGCCTTGACTAAGAAGACAAGAACAGCAAGTGTTTTCTTATTTATGATGTAAGATGCTCTCTTAGCTCAATTTCCTCATCAATAAAAGGGAGAAGAGTGAATGAAATTTAGGAATTGTGAAAGAAGGGAAAATTAATAATTGCTAGCCTGGTCCAAGCTCAAGGTTGCTTTTATCATGAAAGGGCTAGACTCTTGTGCAGTAAATAATTGTTTACATGTGGCCCTCCCCTCTTCCCTCCTACCCTGGACTGTGAGCCCTGGGGCAGGAATGGCCGTGAGCCATTTTCATGATGGAAATGAACAAGCCAGTGATTAGTAGTTTATTCACTAAATCTTAATTTTTTTCAGCAAATACTTCTTGAGGGCCTACTCTGCGCCAGGTGTTGGGGTTAGAAAGGTGAGCAGGATAAAACTTGTTCTCACAGTTGGCAGTCAGGTGGAGAAAGTGACAAACACGCAATAGTGGGGTGTGACAAATGCTTATGGAGGGGCTAACATGAGCTGTGGTTGCACCTGATAAAGCCTTAGTGTCTACCAGGAAAGGGTTTTTGGTTTTGTTTTTTAAGAGGAGTTAAAATGTGTTTACCTTAGTCACTCCAGGGTGGGGTGGGGAGCAATGCAGATATTCTAGGGAGAGAGATTAACGTGGACAAAAATCCAAAGGTGCAAGAGAACTTGGAGTTTTGTAGGAAGTGAAGGAAATTCATCATGACTGGTAACTTACACTGCAAGGAAGGAAACAGAGGGAATGACTAGAGGGCAGGGAGACACCTTGCTACCACCAGCAAGGAAGGCTGTAAAGACCATGACCTTGGGCAGAGGTAGTGCAGTGGGAGTGGAGAGAAGTGGACTTGTTCAAGAGAGATTTAAAGAGATAGACTTGACAGATGTTAATGATGAACTGATGTGGGAGGTAAGAGACGTTGGAGTTAAAGACTCCCACTTTTGGGGTTGGTGCCATTCATTTACATCAGAGATCAAAGGAGGAGGCTGCAGAGAGATGGGGAAGGAGGGTTCAGTTTAGGACAGGTGGAGTTTAAGAGGAGCCGTCGGCTGGGCTCACGCCTGTAATCCCAGCATTTTGGGAGACCAAGGTGGGTGGATCACGAGGTCAAGAGATCGAGACCATCTTGGCCAACATGGTGAAACCCTGTCTCTAAAATTAATCAAAAATTAGCTGGGCGTGGTGGCGTGCACCTGTAGTCCCAGCTATTCGGGAGGCTGAGGCAGGAGAATCGCTTGAACCGGGAGGCGGAGATTGCAGTGAGCCAAGAGCGCCACTGCACTCCAGCCTGGCGACAGTGAGATTCTGTCTCAAAAAAAAGGAGCCGTCAGGGCAGCCGTTCAGAACGTGGGCTGCAGTTGAGAGCTCTTGTGCAGAACGTGCAATAGGACTTATCAGCTGTAAGATGTTACTGAAGCCAAGAGGGCGGGTGACCTGCCTATGAAATGAATCTGAGTGGTCTCAGCTCGGGGCAACTTTGTCCCTCACAGGACATTTGGAGATGTCTGGAGAGATTTTTAGTTGTTACAACTTGAGGGTGAGGGTGGAGAATGCTACTGGCATCTAGTAAGCATATGCTAACAGTCTAAATGCACAGGACAGCCCCACAACGGAATTAGCCAGCCCGAAATGTCAGTAGTGCTGAAGTTGAGAAATGCTGGTCTAGAGAAAGGATAGACGGATCCTAGGATGAGGAGTGAACAGAAAACTAGGTAAGACAACCAGGAAGGTGGGGGGCATGGAAATGAAGGGAAAAGTGTGTTTCCCAAGAGTGTCGCATACTTCTGGGAGGTCCAACAGGATTGAGGCTGAGTATGCCTACTGGATCTAGCACTAGGGAAGTCATGGGTGACCCTGCTGAATAGTGAGGGCAGAAGCAAGTTGCAGGGATGGAGGAGTGGGTAGCAAGAGAAAGGGTGTAATAATAACAGCTAAGGACTGAGCAGTTGCTGCCAGGCACTGTGCTAAACATTGTATGTACATTATTACTTTGAATCCTCACATTCTTATGAGATGCAAAGATGAAGGGGCTAAGGAGGCTGAGGAGGGTTCATATAAAGCACTTTGGAGTTAGATCTTCATTTGAAGCTGTCAGTCACTAGCTGTTGACCCTGGGTCAGTCAGCTAACCCCTCTATACTGAGGTTTCCTCATCTGGAAAATGGGAGACGGACATTAAAAAGCACTTACTGGCCTTTCACCAAATACCAGATAATGTTCTAAGCACTTTTACATGAATCACCTTAATTACTCTCCTAACAACCTAACAAAGAGGTATTTTTATTCCCATTTTGCAGGTAAGGAAATTGAGGCACTGGGATGGAAAATAATTTCCCTAGGTTACTTAGCTAGCTGTAAATGGCAGAGCTGGGATTTCAACCCAGGCCATTTTACCTTGAATGATGAACCTACCTACTATGTGCTAGTCACTGTGCTGCCACTTTATCTGGCACTTATTTCAATTATCTTTTTTTTTTCTGAGACACAGTCTTGCTCTGTCACCCAGGCTGGAGTGCAGTGGCGCAATCTCTGCTCACTGCAACCTCCACTTCCCGCATTCAAGCAATTCTTGTGCCTCAGCCTCCCAAGTAGCTGGGATTACAGGCGTCCACCACCATACCTGACTAATTTTTGTATTTTTAGTAGAGGCAGGGTTTCACCACCACGCTGGTCTCGAACTCCTGACCTCAGGTGATCTGCCCACCTTGGCCTCCCAAAGCGCTGGGATTACAGGCATGAACCACTGCGCCCGGCCAAATTCTCAAAAAGCCCAAGGCCCACCCCCAACCTTATTTTACAGACAAGGAAACCAAGGTCCAAGGTCACAAGCTAATAAATGTCAGAGCTGGAATTGAAGTCCACTTCTGTCTGACCAGAGTCTACACTCTACCTCATTACTGACTTCCCCTTCCCCTTAGATTGATCACTGCGCTTCCTTAAGTGCTTCTACATCTGCCATCTTTCTGTTCTCCCAAAACATCCTGTGAAAGCAGGCAGAGGAAGGTCCTGCACATATTTTTGACAAGTCAGTGCACCTCAGTTTTCTATCTGCACACATGCATCTGCAGGTTTTTACCTGCTTGCTCCTGACTTTCAGGATTGCCATGAGGAACAAATGAGAACTAGATGTCCAAGCGCTTTGCTACCATAACGTGAGAAATGGTATTAGTAGCCCCATTTATCAGATGATGGAATGGAGGTTCAGTTTTTGAAACAGCCCGTCTGCTTATGGGCATGCCTTACTTAGGTGTAAGATTCTTTGTAGGGGTCATCTGTCTGCCTTTTCGTCTTGCTGTTTCTGTGTTGGCTACGTATACCAGCCAGCCTTTTGCCTTCTGCGAGGCCTATGGCTCCTAGCAACCAGCTGCTACCACCAGCAAGGAAGGGAAAGAGCTGCCAGGAGCTTTCCCAGTTGGTACATAATAAGGAAGCAATACAGCATCCTATTAAAAGCAGATTTTTAGAGGGGAAGAGATCTAGGTTTGAATTCCACTATGAGCTACAGTATGTTATCCTCCAACGTAAAATAGAGTAATACTCTCCTTAGATATTTTCAGCTCATTTAACCCCCACAAAAATAGAGGGCTTTTCTTTTTTTAAGTTTTATCTTCATTGTGTTTTCTGATGATAAAAATAATTCAGTTGCCAATTCTAAAACAAAACAAAACAAAAAAAACTTAATCATCTGAAGCAAATTCAGGGTTAAGTTTACATGAGAGAAGAATTGCATGTCGGTGGTTTTTGCAGAACCCACATAATTCCCCATCAAGAGAAGATCATCATTAACAGTTTGCAGGGGTGGGTGGGTCTGTGAGTATACATACGTCTCAATACATATTAGAAACCCCAGTTAAGAAATGGAGGTACAGGCTGGGCAGGGTGGCTCACACCTATAATCCTAGCACTTTGGGAGGCCAAGGCAGGCAGATCACTTGAGGTCAGGAATTTGAGACCAGCCTGGCCAACATGGTGAAACCCTGTTTCTACTGAAGATACAAAAACTAGCCAGGAGTGGTGTTGGGGACCTGTAATCCCAGCTACTCGAGAGGCTGAGGTGGGAGGATCGCTTGAACCTGGGAGGTGGAGGTTGCAGTGAGCTGAGATCATGCCACTGCACTCCAGCCTGGGTGACAGAGCAAGACTGTCTCAAAAAAAAAAAAAAAAACACACACACACACACACACAGAAAATTCTGGCAGTTCGCTCTCTGGTTTAGGTTTCGGTCAGATGTCAACCCTTTTAATCCTTAGAACAACCCTGTGAGGTGCTGGTCTACTTCACCCTTGGCAATTCAAAACATGTCCTGGGCCAGGCATGGTGGCTCCTGCCTATAATTCCAGCACTTTGGGAGGCTGAGGTAGGAGGATCGCTGGAGCCCAGGAGTTGAAGACAAGCCTGGGTAACCTAGTGAGACTCCATCCCTCTCTCTCTCTTTTTTTTTTTTAAGTGCCCAGCATCACCTGGGAGCTTGTTAGAAATGCAAAATCTCGGGCATCACCCCAGGGAGACGGAGACCAAATCCACATTTTCACAAGATCCTCCAGGTTATTTGTGTATACATTACAGTCTGAGAAGCCTGCTATACACCTGCTGCACTTGCTTGTAGAGCAGGGAAGGCACTGAGGCCAAGCTTAGGGGTGTCCACAACATGACCAGGGCAGAATGAGCTTCTCCAACATGAGCTGTGGCCCCCAGCCCGCCCAGCAAAGTTGGTCCCTGCTTCTTCTGCTACCACCATACTTCATGTCTAAAAGTGATCTTCTCTCCTCCAGGAGCTGGTCGCTGTCGGCTAAGCAAGATTGGAGCTACTCGTCGTCCACCTCCAGCTCGCGTAAGGGTGGCTGTGCGACTGCGGCCATTTGTGGATGGAACAGCGGGAGCAAGTGATCCCCCCTGTGTGCGGGGCATGGACAGCTGCTCTCTAGAGATTGCTAACTGGAGGAACCACCAGGAGACTCTCAAATACCAGTAAGGTTCAGGCCACTCCTCTTCCCTCATGCCATCACCTCCCTCTCCTAGGCCTGCCCACGTTCCCCTGCCTCCCCAGGATCCTTGCTCCCTCCTTAGCACCGCTTTGTTCCCTGAGCCTTCACTGTTCACTTAGGAAATGTTGACAGGTGCCCCCATGATGGGCCCTCTCTGGGATACTGTAGGGAGAGATGAGAGGTTGAATCAAACATACATTACTGTGCACAGAGAGGGAGGAGCAATGAGGGTGAGCAGGTGAGCCCCAAGTAGAGGCTGGGGGACATATCAGGAGGGTTGGCGGAACACAGACCTGCCAGCCAGCCTACCCAAGCTGCAGCTGGGTAGTGTCAGAGAAGACCACCCAGATTTGGGGACAGAACTCAGAAGGGCAGCTACTTTATAATCCTACTGGGGATTTAAAGTTCAAACTCCTTGGCCTGTTTTTCTAGGCGGGGGCTGGCAAACCATGGCCTGCAGGTCAAATCTGATCAGGAGTAAGATTTTCAGTAAATAAAATTTTATCGTTTATTTACATATTGTCTATAGCTGCTTTCTGACTACAGTGGCAGAGTTGAGTAGTTGTAAAAGGAACACATGGCCCACAAAGCCTAAAATATGTACAATCTGCCTTTTTACAGAAGTTTGCTAGCTCCCATACTAGGCCGTTAACAATTTGGGCTTCAGTTTCTTTCCAGCCTCATTCCCTCAATATATATTAAACTCCCTGCTGTGGCCTAAGCTGCACTTCTCCACCAGAACGCAGTGGATAGGTGATTGGTATGTAGAGTCTAGTTCAGTCATAAGCAGCATCCTCTATTTTCCCCATTATGGTGTAAAATACAATGTTCTACACATGTAGCCATTTGAAAAAGACTGGGAAGCCTTGCTTTTTTGCTATTCTTGATTCTCAGAATTTCTTTCTTTGGTCAAAATCTTCCTTCCTTGAGCAGAATCAGTTACTCCTTTGAGAGTGTGTTCTTATCTTCGTTTCCTAAATCACAGCAAAGTGTGGATATCTATCCTACCAGACTGAAAAACTCCAAGAGCAGGGATATCAGATCTATCTCTGTATTCCTAACACCAATAGAGAGATGAGGATGGAGTAGGTGTTAGGTGGATGCTTTTTAAGGTCTTTGTACAAGAAAGGGGATAGAGACGTTCTCTTAAATCCAAGGTCCAGATGAGAGTAGAATCCCTTACCCACCCCCACCCCACTCCACCCCTTACACACACACACACACACACACACACACACACACGCTAATTTCTTTCTTTCTTCCTGCAGGTTTGATGCCTTCTATGGGGAGAGGAGTACTCAGCAGGACATCTATGCAGGTTCAGTGCAGCCCATCCTAAGGCACTTGCTGGAAGGGCAGAATGCCAGTGTGCTTGCCTATGGACCCACAGGAGCTGGTGAGGGAGCCAGAAAAGAAACAGCTATGGGTCAGAAAGGGCTGGGGAAACGGAGAGGAAAACCTCACAGTTTTCTCCACTCTCTTCCCAGGGAAGACGCACACAATGCTGGGCAGCCCAGAGCAACCTGGGGTGATCCCGCGGGCTCTCATGGACCTCCTGCAGCTCACAAGGGAGGAGGGTGCCGAGGGCCGGCCATGGGCCCTTTCTGTCACCATGTCTTACCTAGAGATCTACCAGGAGAAGGTGAGGCCCCGTGCTGGTTGGGAGAGGAGCAACAAAGGGTCAAAGTAAGACCTGGTTCTAGAACATGAAGCTCTGCTGTAGCAGGGAGGTAAGGTGAGACCTAGAAAGACAGAGACTGGGGTAGCAGATGGTACAACTCCGAGAATAGAACAGAGAAAGGAAACTGATCCCCAGGAAGAAACAGCCTCTCTATGGAGAATTGCCCTTCCCCTTCACTGCTTACACAGGTATTAGACCTCCTGGACCCTGCTTCGGGAGACCTGGTAATCCGAGAAGACTGCCGGGGGAATATCCTGATTCCGGGTCTCTCCCAGAAGCCCATCAGTAGCTTTGCTGATTTTGAGCGGCACTTCCTGCCAGCCAGTCGAAATCGGACTGTAGGAGCCACCCGGCTCAACCAGCGCTCCTCCCGCAGTCATGCTGTGCTCCTGGTCAAGGTGAGGCCGCAGACAGGGGCGAGGACCTGGGAAGCCCAGGAGCCTGAGCTAAGCACGAGACCTTTGTTCTTACCCCCAGGTGGACCAGCGGGAACGTTTGGCCCCATTTCGCCAGCGAGAGGGAAAACTCTACCTGATTGACTTGGCTGGGTCAGAGGACAACCGGCGCACAGGCAACAAGGGCCTTCGGCTAAAAGAGAGTGGAGCCATCAACACCTCCCTGTTTGTCCTGGGCAAAGTGGTAGATGCGCTGAATCAGGGCCTCCCTCGTGTACCTTATCGGGACAGCAAGCTCACTCGCCTATTGCAGGTCAGGCCCACCTGTCTCAGGGAAGAAGGGGCTGCAGAAGGAGGTTCTCAGGCCTGCTGTGGGGTGGGGAATAGCAGTTGAGGCATAGGAAGGCTGGGCTTCTGACCCACCCACTGCCTGGTCTCACCCTCAGGACTCTCTGGGTGGCTCAGCCCACAGTATCCTTATTGCCAACATTGCCCCTGAGAGACGCTTCTACCTAGACACAGTCTCCGCACTCAACTTTGCTGCCAGGTCCAAGGAGGTGATCAATCGGCCTTTTACCAATGAGAGCCTGCAGCCTCATGGTGAGAACTGGGGGAGGCAGGAGTGGAAACGCTGGGTCTGGAAATTAGGGAGTTTGTTGAAACCACCAAGCATCAGCACAGAGGCTGACCACCCCCAATCCCTCTCTCCACCCCATCCTCCAATCATCTAGCCTTGGGACCTGTTAAGCTGTCTCAGAAAGAATTGCTTGGTCCACCAGAGGCAAAGAGAGCCCGAGGCCCTGAGGAAGAGGAGATCGGGAGCCCTGAGCCCATGGCAGCTCCAGCCTCTGCCTCCCAGAAACTCAGGTGAGCAGTGGGGCCTTGGGTGTATCCCCTTCCTGATGTATGGCTTAGCAGCAGAGCTGCAATGCCCGTCAGATCCTTGAGCAGAGAGCTGTGATCTTGTTCCTCTCCCATTAAATTCACCCTAGGCCGGATGCGGTGGCTCACTCCTGTAACCCCAGCACTTTGGGAGACTGAGGTTGGGTGGATCACCTGAGGTCAGGAGTTCGAGACCAGCCTGGCCAACATGGTGAAACCTCATCTCTACTAAAAAATACAAAAAGTAGCCGGATGTGGTGGCATGTGCCTGTAATCCCAGCTACTTGGGAGGCTGAGGCAGGAGAATCCCTTGAACCCAGGAAGCAGAGGTTGCAGTGAGCTGAGATTGTGGCCATTGCACTCCAGCCTGGGCGACACAGCAAGACTCCGTCTCAAAGTAAATAAGTGAATTCAACCCTGGCTAGGCACGGTGGCTCACGCCTGTAATCCCAGCACTTTGGGAGGCCAAGACGGGTGGATCACCTGAGGTCAGGAGTTCAAGACCAGCCTGGCCAACATGGTGAAACCCCATCTCTACTAAAAATACAAAAATTAGCCAGGCATGGTAGTGGGCACCTGTAATCCCAGCTACTCAGGAGGCTGAGGCAGGAAGAATTGCTTGAATCTGGGAGGTGAAAGTTGCAGTGAGCCAAGATCATGCCACTGCACTCCAGCCTAGGTGACAGAGCAAGACTGCATCTCAATAAATAAATAAGTAAATAAATAAATTCCCCCCAAATTCTACTCCATTGAATCACTAAAGTCTAAGATTAATCTCTCCTCAGTGCTGCTGCCTTGGGGACCTAAGGAGGCCTCCTCCTGGGGATCCTTTCCATTTTCCAACCCCTTTAGCCTTCAGCAAAACTTCTCACTTTGGGACAGCTGTTTCAAGGATGAGCATTTTTGCTTCTGGTTCAAGGAGTGATCTGGATCAGATCTTTCAGATCCATGAGAGCAAAGCAAAGGAGACTTGGAAGAGCTGTCCTGCTGAGACCATCTGGTCTGTGTGTCAGTGCCCAGCTTCTCCATGACTCTCCGGGGAGCCAGCTGCTGTCCTAACTGCGTCTACCCTCAATCCAGATAAAGCCTCTAAACTAAGTCCTTTGTGTCACCTCCTGCCCCAACTCCAATCACCCCACCTCATGGCCCAGTATGTACTAATCCTCAGGTCATCTCTGTTCAGGGGTCTTGCTTTCTGTGTCTGGCCACTTAGCCCTTGCGCTATTCCCTCCACCCCCCAGGAGCCAGTTGCAGTTTTAACTTTGCCCTGTTTCTACCCCTAGCCCAAATAAAGCCTGTGAACTACTAAACAGAGGTGACCTGAGGTGGCCAAGGGTTAGTGCCCACTCTGTCCCAGGGGGCTACTGTAGTTAAGGAAGATGCCACACACAAGAAGATGCTTGTGCACTCATGACCCCATCTCTCAGTCTTGTCTTTCCCAAACCATCTGTCAGCACTCCCCACTGCTGTGTGCACCCAGAAATGTGCACAGGTAAGCTGTCAGACAGGCACTCTGAGTAAGGGGAAGCTCAGAGTTGGGCACATCAAACCCAGCAGACCCAGAGCTTGGGGGCCTCACAGGAGAGCAAGTCAGATGGGAACATCAGTATATGATACCAGGTGGAGAATTCAGAATCAGGAAGGAGTAGCTGCTGCTGCTGTGAGAGTCAGGAAGGAAGAGATGACTTCTAGTGTTTGCCCACGTATGTTCTGATCCTGTTTTTCCAAGGCACTAGCATGGAAAGCACAGGAGTGTCCCTGTCCTCCAGGAGCCAGTTCACAGCATAGGAAGGGAGATGCATTGTTAAGCTTGGCGTCATGGGAAAGGTGGCATCAAACTGACCTGGAAAGATTATTGATACAGATGTGAGGAGGTGTGGGGCAAGATTCCAGGCAAAATAAATGAATGTTAGACGTTGCTGACTGGGCGCAGTGGCTCACACCTGTAATCCCAGCACTTTGGGAGGCCAAGGTGGGTGGATCACTTGAGCCCAGGAGTTCAAGACCAGCCTGGGCAACATAGTAAGACCCCATCTCTACAAAAAATAAAAAAATTAGCTGGGCATGGTGGCATGCACCTGTGGACCCAGCTACTCAGGAGGCTGAGACAGGGGGATTGCTTAAGCCTCAGGAGGCCAAGGCTATAGTGAGCTGTGATCTCAACACTGCACTCCAGCCTGGGTGACAGAGCAAGACCCTGTCTCAAAAAAAAAAAAAAAAAAAAAAAAAGAATGTTAAGCCTTACCGTGCTCAGAGTCAGTCAGGACTGCTTGAACAGGCCTTCCCAGCTGCCCACAGCAGGGAAGCTTGGCAGCTGAGGTCTTCGGTGGATTTCAAAGCCCTGCTAAAGATGGCATCCTCTGTGATGTTTTCCGCAACTGCTCCTCCAAATGGATAGGCACTGTCCTGGCTGTCACCTTATTATGGTCTCTTGATTTCCTCAGTAGACAGTGCCTCCAGGGCAGGGCAGTGTCTTAGGTCTCTCATACCTGGCACTCAAGTGTTCGCCTGATTTCCTGGCATCCCCGAGCAGTCACTTCACCTGATGAAGACACTGCACCCAGAGAAACTGGATGCCTAGCAAGTTAACATTAGGTTCTGGAGCTACAGGATATACCAAGTTAAGGTGTGGTGAGGGGAGTCCTGCTGCTGTAGGTGGTGATGAGGGAGGAGGTAGGTGGGGAGCAACTTCTTTTTCTGCTCAGCCCCCTACAGAAGCTAAGCAGCATGGACCCGGCCATGCTGGAGCGCCTCCTCAGCTTGGACCGTCTGCTTGCCTCCCAGGGGAGCCAGGGGGCCCCTCTGTTGAGTACCCCAAAGCGAGAGCGGATGGTGCTAATGAAGACAGTGGAAGAGAAGGACCTAGAGATTGAGGTACGTGTTTTAGGGATGTGGGAGCTGGATTCCTATTGGCCTTGAGAAGCAATCCTTGGATCTTCAGACAGGGAAGGACACTCAGGCTGGACTAGAGTCCAGTTTTCTCCCAATACCGGAAGTTCTCCAGCTTCTGCTTGAATGTCCTTAACATGGCTGAACTTTGACAGACAATTGAGACCAGATGTGAGGGTGAGAAGAAAAAGTTCAAAGTAAAAGCAACAAATGTTAAACATTACATTTCCTAAAGCCCAGCTCAATTAATTGAGGACTGTGCTTGAAAAGCCTTTCCCTTCAATATTTGCAGAGGCTTGTTCCACCTCTGGGTAGCCCCCTAATCACAGAAAGCCCTTAATTATGTTAGGCTCCACCTGTCTCCTGGTAACCTCCCACTGGTCCTAGCCCTGCCCTCTGGGGGCTCAGAGCCTTGCATACTCACCCTGGTAACCCACTCCCTTCAGGCTGCCCTGGAGTTGGGTCTGGATCACATCTCCCTGATCCTTTCCAACAGAGGCTTAAGACGAAGCAAAAAGAACTGGAGGCCAAGATGTTGGCCCAGAAGGCTGAGGAAAAGGAGAACCATTGTCCCACAATGCTCCGGCCCCTTTCACATCGCACAGTCACAGGGGCAAAGCCCCTGAAAAAGGCTGTGGTGATGCCCCTACAGCTAAGTAAGTTTGACTCCAGGGGCTGGGGGGCCAAGGCAGCTGAGATCCTATAAGGGAGGAAGTGTTAGGAGCAGCTGTCTCCATGTCATTCATATTCTCCCACCACATACCAGTCCCAGGGAGGGGTGAGGAGGCTCTGAGGCAGTGCTGGGGGTGCTCTGCCCTCGGGTGTTTAGGACAGTGGGATGGACAAACGAGTAGAGGATTGAAGATAATGCAAGACTGACTGAAATTCCTTTAAATGCGGGTATAAAAAAGGTCATGTGGAAACACAACAGGTTAACTCTGGATGGAGGGGAGCTGGGGAATCAGAAATGGAAGAATCGAAGGGCTACCAGGGAGGGTGAAAAGTACCCTTTGCCCTGACTCCAATTCTCGATTCCTACTTTCAGTTCAGGAGCAGGCAGCATCCCCAAATGCCGAGATCCACATCCTGAAGAATAAAGGCCGGAAGAGAAAGGTGAAAGTAGCTGGGGGCTTAGGCTACACCTGGAGCCCAGAAGTAAGGGGGAGTAGGCTCTAGGGGGAGGAGCGTTGGCCTTGGGGTTAAACGAACTGGATGATGGCCGCCAGCTACTAACAGACCTCAACTTGCTTACCCCTGGAATGTGGTGATGGATGGTTCCTTGCAGGGCATTTAGGGTGGAAGGCAGTGATGTGGATGTACCTCGCAGAGCGGATGTTCCACTGTGTAGCCTGGCTTCTACCCTCTACAAGCTTAAGAGGGAAAACTTAGGGAACTATGACCTAAGCAGTCAAGCAAGAAACCACACATATGCACATACCCAGAATCGAACACCACTAGAACTACCCAAAAACTGAGATGGTTGGGGGAGGTATCATTTATTCATATTACTTTCTCCCATGTACTTTTTGAAAGACAGCTTATTCTTTCCCTTTTAGAGATGAGGGACCAGATTTAAGAGCTTATTTTGTGCTTTACATTCATTAACTCACTTGATCTCCACAGCAACTCCATGAGAAGGGTGCTAATATTACCACTGGGTACTGAGTAGTACCTCTCTTTCACTAGTTGCATAATAAGAATTAACCCAGAGAGTGACCTGAGGGCGGGATTTTGGACACACTTGACAAGAGAGGAAGAGGCTGGAGCGCAGGAGGTAGCTGGTGCTGGGCTCCTAGTCTTGGCAGAGGAGCCCAAAGCACTTGGCTGCCCTGCGTGTCACTCATCTCCCTTTGCCTCCCAGCTGGAGTCCCTGGATGCCCTAGAGCCTGAGGAGAAGGCTGAGGACTGCTGGGAGCTACAGATCAGCCCGGAGCTACTGGCTCATGGGCGCCAAAAAATACTGGATCTGCTGAACGAAGGCTCAGCCCGAGATCTCCGCAGTCTTCAGCGCATTGGCCCGAAGAAGGCCCAGCTAATCGTGGGCTGGCGGGAGCTCCACGGCCCCTTCAGCCAGGTAGCAGCCCACTGGACTGGGGGAGGGCGGGGGCGGGGGAGACCGGGTACCCCCGAGACCCTGTCCCCTATCGATCCTGTCCCGCCAGGTGGAGGACCTGGAACGCGTGGAGGGCATAACGGGGAAACAGATGGAGTCCTTCCTGAAGGTGAAGTCACGGCCCTGCCCCTCCTCTGCCTGTCCTGCGCCCCGCGCCCCTCTCTAACGTCGCTGTCTCCCTCCCTCCTGTGTTGCAGGCAAACATCCTGGGTCTCGCCGCCGGCCAGCGCTGTGGCGCCTCCTGACCGTCGTCTCCTCACTCCGCCTTTTCAAATTTTTGTATAACCCCGTGTTGTGTAAATACAGTTTTTGCTCCGGTGCTTCCGCCTGATTTTTGGGGCTGCGGGGGCGGGACCGGGGTGTGACCGCCTCGGGGTGGGCCGCGAGCAAGGCAGGCGACTCCACTGGGCGCCATCTTCGGGGAACGACTCAGCGCAGGATTGTAAATACACCGCTGGGGTGGGGCGGGGAGGACGGTGGCCTGCAGGACGCAAAAAGCGGAAGCCGAAGCATGAGGCCTGCGACCGTTAGGCGGGCGCGCGCTCAGGGATTAGCCCCGCCCCGTCCGTGCCCCCGGCGCGCGCGCTCCCCCATTCTCCCGCTCGGCAACGACGGCGGCCTTGTGCGCGTGCGCGCGAAATAACGGCCGCTGGCGGAGGGAGGGGGAGTGGAATCGTTGGCGGGGGGAAGAGGAGAGAAGCCGCCCTGTCTCCCGCGCGCCCACCACCTGCGCCATCGTCAGCCAATCAGCAGCCGTCTCAGGGGTCTCGCGCTCGGGGCGACTCGGGCTGCTGGGTGGCTCCCCCGTCCCTCCTCCCGCCAGAGTCCCTCTCGCGCCTGCCCCTCCCGCTGGCCACGCGCGCGCTCGCGCTAGCGCTCGCGCCCGCTCCAGCCTCTTGTGTGTCCTCGCGCCCCCCGCCCGCCCTCCCCGCGCGTAGTGTGCTCCGCTTCCCCCACCCTCCACCTCCCCCCTCCTGCCCGCCCCGCGCGCCTCCTCCCGGGTTCCCCCTCCCCCACCGCCGCCGCCTCCTCCTCCCGCCCCAGGGTGAGCGCGAGCCACCTCCCTCCCTCCCTCCGCCATGGATCCCAGCAACTGGAGCAGCTTCATCTTCCAGGTAACAACTCCCTCCCCCCGCCCCCACCCCCCTGCCCACACCCCCTCCTGCCCGCCCTCCCTCCCGTCCCACCCCCCCTCCGCGCGCCCGGTGCGCGCGCAGCTGTCCCCCTCCCTCCCTCGCGCCCTCCCCCGCCCTCCCCGAGGCGCCGGCTGGGCGCGCGCGCGGCGGGGGCCGAGGCTGCTCCCTCGCTCCCCCCACCCCGCCCCGCCAGGCTCCAACCGCCGCCGCCGCCGCCGCCGCCGCCCGGGCCCCCGCCCCCGGCCCCGGCCCCGCGGGGCCTCCCGCCCCCACCCAGGGGGCGTCGCCGCCGCCGTCGCCGCGGCGCTCCGCGGCCCGCAAGGCGCCCTCTTTTCCTCCCTCCCGCCGGCCGGGGTGCGCGGGCGGCGGGGCGGCCCGCGGGCCATGCGTTCGGCGCGGCCCAGCCCGGCCGGCCGGGGGCGGCGCCCCGAGCCCGGGCCCCGCGCGGCCCGCGCCCCCGGCCCCCGCTGAGCCCCGGGGGCCCCGCTGCGGCCGAGGCCATGTTCCCGGTGTTTCCTTGCACGCTGCTGGCCCCCCCCTTCCCCGTGCTGGGCCTGGACTCCCGGGGGGTGGGCGGCCTCATGAACTCCTTCCCGCCACCTCAGGGTCACGCCCAGAACCCCCTGCAGGTCGGGGCTGAGCTCCAGTCCCGCTTCTTTGCCTCCCAGGGCTGCGCCCAGAGTCCATTCCAGGTGAGTAGGGCCGGCCGCGGCGGCCCGGGCTGGGGGGGGACGCCCGCCCGCACCCGCGGCCCACTCGGCGCCTTGTCTCCGCAGGCCGCGCCGGCGCCCCCGCCCACGCCCCAGGCCCCGGCGGCCGAGCCCCTCCAGGTGGACTTGCTCCCGGTGCTCGCCGCCGCCCAGGAGTCCGCCGCGGCTGCTGCGGCCGCTGCCGCCGCTGCTGCCGCCGTCGCTGCCGCGCCCCCGGCCCCTGCCGCCGCCTCTACGGTGGACACAGCGGCCCTGAAGCAGCCTCCGGCGCCCCCTCCGCCACCCCCGCCAGTGTCGGCGCCCGCGGCCGAGGCCGCGCCCCCCGCCTCCGCCGCCACTATCGCCGCGGCGGCGGCCACCGCCGTCGTAGCCCCAACCTCGACGGTCGCCGTGGCCCCGGTCGCGTCTGCCTTGGAGAAGAAGACAAAGAGCAAGGGGCCCTACATCTGCGCTCTGTGCGCCAAGGAGTTCAAGAACGGCTACAATCTCCGGAGGCACGAAGCCATCCACACGGGAGCCAAGGCCGGCCGGGTCCCCTCGGGTGCTATGAAGATGCCGACCATGGTGCCCCTGAGCCTCCTGAGCGTGCCCCAGCTGAGCGGAGCCGGCGGGGGAGGGGGAGAGGCGGGTGCCGGCGGCGGCGCTGCCGCAGTGGCCGCCGGTGGCGTGGTGACCACGACCGCCTCGGGGAAGCGCATCCGGAAGAACCATGCCTGCGAGATGTGTGGCAAGGCCTTCCGCGACGTCTACCACCTGAACCGACACAAGCTGTCGCACTCGGACGAGAAGCCCTACCAGTGCCCGGTGTGCCAGCAGCGCTTCAAGCGCAAGGACCGCATGAGCTACCACGTGCGCTCACATGACGGCGCTGTGCACAAGCCCTACAACTGCTCCCACTGTGGCAAGAGCTTCTCCCGGTGTGCACGGGGCCTCGGCCGCCCGCTAGGCCGTGGGGAGGGAGGGACGCGACGGAGGTGGCCTGGCCGTGGCTGGCGGGGAGGGAGGCGGCTGCTGAGGCTGGGGAAGGGGAGCCACTCCCAGGGCGGAGGGAGGAAGCCTCTCCCGGTTACCAGGGAGCAAGGGGTGGTCCTTTGTCGAGGAGGTGGGCCTTGGGGTTGACGGAAGCTTCGCGTGGGAGGAGGCGGCGGCGGCGGCAGCGGCTGCTGGGCTCCAGGGGAGGGATTTCCTGCTTAAGTGTCGCTGTGACGGCCTGGGCTCCGGGAGGAGGCGCAGGGATCCTCGGAAAGGCCTGTGGTGCGGTTTGGTGGATTTGGGGCGCACCACCTCCGCCCTAACCCCAACCCCAACGTGTCCCCAGGCCGGATCACCTCAACAGTCACGTCAGACAAGTGCACTCAACAGAACGGCCCTTCAAATGTGAGGTAGGAAGCCCGCCTCCTCCTGTCTTGGTTTTCATGATTTTGATCCTCATGGTAGCTGTCTGAGTCAGTCTCTCAGACCCCCTTTTTCTCTCTCTTCTTTTTGCCTTTTTGCTCCATTTTCTCATCCCTTCTTCAAGGCCTCATCATGTCACTCCCATTTCCTACAGATCAAAGATCCCCAAGGCTCTGATTCCTTTAATCTCTTGCTCCCCCCTCCCCAGCCCACCAAGCTTTAACTCTCCTGTGACACCCCCCACGCCCCTCCCCCCTCCTCAGAAATGTGAGGCAGCTTTCGCCACGAAGGATCGGCTGCGGGCGCACACAGTACGACACGAGGAGAAAGTGCCATGTCACGTGTGTGGCAAGATGCTGAGCTCGGCTTATATTTCGGACCACATGAAGGTGCACAGCCAGGGTCCTCACCATGTCTGTGAGCTCTGCAACAAAGGTACATGCCGAGGGCTGCCGGGAGGGCCAGGGGCAGAGGGTGGGCGCCTGGCCAGACGCCTTGCCACGGATACGGGTTAAGGGTGCTGTAGCCAAGAGCTCGTGGCGTCTAGATTCCTACAAGAGGTCAAGGGAGCAGCGGGGGGACACCTGAATGAACATCATTAGACTCTAAGAAGTCCTGGTTGGAAGAGATGATCTGCCAGAGAGGTTGAACCTCCTGGTAATGTGTGGGGAAAGCGGGAGTGGAACTTGGCTGCTCTGGGGAAGGAGTAGTCAAGAAAGCCAGTTCCAGGGGTCACAAGGCAAGGTTTCCGCTGCGCAGCCACAAGGTCTTGTCTCCAGCTCCTGGGGCAGGTGGAGTACACGGGCCGGGCTTTACCAGCACGCACCCTGCACGGGTAGCAGAGAAAGCTGCCTTCAGTCAGACTCACCGGTTAACTGGGTTGAGACCGCGGGGCACTGGAGGGAAGGGGACACAGCCGTCTCTGCTGAGGGTCAACCCTGCAAGTGGCTAGGAGTCAGTGTCTCGTCATCCTGGGAGAGGTCTCCCGGCCATGGAGAATGAGTTCTGTAGGTACCAAGGCTGAGAAGCGGGCACCACACAAGCCAGGCCCCAGGCTCAGGGAGGGGCTGTGTCTACCAGCCCCAACAGAGCAGTTGGCCCCAGGCTACCAAGGATACCGTGGGAGGAGGACAGGGCCATCTGAGGAGGGCATCCCCCGCCTAGGAGATCAGCCCCGTCTCTGGGGTCTCCGCCTGGCTGACCCCCGCCCCATCCCAATCCACCCCCCAATAGGCTTCACCACGGCAGCATACCTGCGCATCCACGCGGTGAAGGACCACGGGCTCCAGGCCCCGCGGGCTGACCGCATCCTGTGCAAGCTGTGCAGCGTGCACTGCAAGACCCCTGCCCAGCTGGCCGGCCACATGCAGACCCATCTGGGGGGGGCCGCCCCCCCTGTCCCGGGAGACGCCCCCCAGCCACAGCCCACCTGCTGAGGGGGACCCCCGCACCCACCAGGCAAGGCGTGGGGCATGGCTGGGGGGCGGGATGGGGGGTGTGGGGGACAACGGGGCTCAAAGGGCCCAATAGGGGATCTCAGGAAGGCGAGGGATGCCCATGTACCACTCAGGCTAGGGAGACTTCTGGGCACAGGGAGGATCCTTGAGAACTGCTCTGTCTGGGTGAGGATGCAGGCTGAGGCCTCTGGGGTCCAGATAGGAAGTGAGCAACGGCTGTGTCCCAGGGGAAGCAGGCTGGGAAGGTGTGGGGTGAGGGCAAGGCTCTTGCCATTCAGATCGCGCTGTGATCCGTGGTGTTTCTCCTGTGCAGGTACTGGTGAGGTTTGTCCAATGGCGGCGGCAGCGGCAGCGGCGGCAGCGGCAGCAGCGGCAGCAGTAGCAGCCCCTCCCACAGCTGTGGGCTCCCTCTCGGGGGCGGAGGGGGTGCCTGTGAGCTCTCAGCCACTTCCCTCCCAACCCTGGTGAGCTCCAAGTTGGTTGCGGGGGAGAGGGGAGAATGGAGTAGAGTCCCTTGGTACAAGCTCCTCTCCCCCCTCTTTTCCCACCAACTCCTATTTCCCTACCAACCAAGGAGCCTCCAGAAGGAAAGGAGGAAGAAATGTTTTCTTAGGGGAATTCGCTAGGTTTTAACGATTTGTTTCTCCTGCTCCTCTTCTGTCAGACCTGACCCCACACAAACCTGTCCCCTCGGTTGTGTTGAAGTCCCCTGGACAGTGGGCAGGGGTGGCAGAGGACACGAGCAGCCACTGCCCGTACCCCCTCTCCTCTCTGTAAGCCCATGCCCTGTCTTCCCAGGGACTTGTGAGCCTCTTCCCTCGACGGTCCTCTTCTCTCCTTCCAGTCCTCTCCCCCTGCTGTCTGCAGCCCCTCCCCGGGGAGTTGGTGCTTTCTTTTCCTTTTTTTTTTTTTTCCAGGGGGAGGGAGGAGAGGAAGGAGGGGGATCAGAGCTGTCCCAAAGAGGGAAAGCGGTGAGGTTTGAGGAGGGGCAGAAGCAGGGCCGGCAAAGGTTGTACCTTCATAAGGTGGTATGGGGGGTTGGGGTCAGGCCCTGAACATCGTCCTACTTGAGAATCTGTCAGGGGAAAAAGTCAAGGGGAGCAGGAGGAAGAGCCAGGAGGGCCAGAGGCAGAGAAGAGATGGAGTCTTAGGGGCCAGGGTGAGCGAGGGGTCCAGGGCCTAGAGGTGCTTCCTGGGGGCGGGGGAATGCAGCCAGTGTCCCCCTCCCCTCTTCCACCCCAGCTCCAGCCCTGGTCTTGTCTTTTCATCCCTCTTCCCCACGACAGAAGAAGTTGTGGCCCTGGCCATGTCATCGTGTTCCTGTGTCCCCTGCATGTACCCCACCCTCCACCCCTTCCTTTTGCGCGGACCCCATTACAATAAATTTTAAATAAAATCCTGTTTCTGGCTCTGGATTGAATGAATTGCCCTCACTAAGAACTGCCGCCAACCCCAAGGGTTTCTTCTCGGCCTGGTGTCCGTCAATCCAGCCTTGCTCTGCCCTGTGAGGCTGTGAGGTTCTGGCTCCGCCCTCCCCAGGGGCAGCCTTACTGGCGGCAGCACAGATACAGGGCGGGGCCAAGGCTGTGGCTGTGGAGAGCAAGTTCCAGGTCTCTGGGGAATTCCCAACTCGGACAGGCCCAGAATAGCCCCTGGAGGTTTGAAGAGGCCCCGTCAGAAACCCAAACAGAGCTGCCAGACGGGAATGCCGCCCTCCCCCGTCCACACTCATGGCCGCTGCTCAGCCCCCAGCCGCATCCCTCCCCACGCGCGTCACGGCCCTGAGGCCATGGTGGGTGGATGCGGCTGCGGAAAGGCTGGGGAGTCCGAGCCCTAGGACTGGGAGCAGCGAGGTAGAGAATGAAAGCTGCACCTGTCCCTCATCCTGGGCATGGGCCACTCTGTGTTTACACGGGCTCCTCTGCCCAGCTCCTCCTGCCCCTTGGAATTCCCTTTCCTGTCCCCGCTCCGTCCTTTCCAGGGCCCCTTTTTTGAGCCTTCCAGCGCCAGTTTCTGCCGCTCCTTTCTGCAGGCTCCATTCTCTCCAAACCCCACCCTGCTCCTCCTCTGCAGCCTCCCCGCGTCTTGCCCCATCTTCCTTGCCCTCCTGCTCGTAGAGACGCCTCCACCCGGTCCTGCCTGTCTCACTGGTCCCGTCTCCTCGCAGAACCCTCTCCGTTTCCCCCAAATCCCCGTCTCTTCCAGGAATCCCGGTGACCGTTGGCGGGAGGGGCCGGGGACTTAAGAAGGAGGCGTCTCTCCTGGAGGCGCGCGTGAGAAGGGGCAGGGAGGGGGCGCGAGTGGTCCCCGGGCCGGTTGCCTGGGTAACGCGTGGCTCCCTTGGGCTGGCGGGAGGGGCCGGAGGCTCGCGAGGGGCGGGGGCGGCGACGGCGGCGGAGCGTAGGGGAGGGGACCGGAGAGGAGGGGATGAGCACACGGGAGAGGAGAAGAGGGAGACCCGCCGCCTCCCTCCCTCCCTAGCTGACTTGCTCCCTCCCGGGCTGCGGCTGCTGCAAAAGCCAGCAGCGGCAGCGGGAGCTGTCCGGAGGCCGGCGTCGAGGTGAGACCCGGGCAGACTGAGGCTGCGGGTAGGAGTGGACCGACCGACGGCTGACGCCGGGCGGACTGCACGGGAATGCGGGTGTCTGGAGGGCTGGTGGTGGTGCTGGGCGGGCTGAACCATCGGGAGGAGGCGCCAGCCCACCGAAGGCGAGGGAAGCCCCGGGAGAGGGGCTGACAGGGGATCGAAGGAGATAACCAGGTCCCCCAGAAAGGGGCGGGAGCGTCCTCGCCCTAAACGCGCAGCAAGAAAACCCGCACCGCCTGGGAGCCCAGGGAGGAGGGGAGGATGCAGAGGGAGTGGAATGCGAATGTCGGGTCCTCTGCCCAGTCGGCCTGTCGGAGTGCTATTTGCACAGCTCGTTGATTTTGGGGTGCTGGGATCTGAGAGTCTGGATCTTGTTGGATGGACCCAGGGAGAGACCCTGGAGAAGGTCCTGTTTACAAAAGGGTTAATCTTCCCCAGGGCTCTCCAAGCAGAAGACTTTGAGTAGAGCACTCCTCCCGCAGGGATGTCCCACCCTAAGGCAAAGGAAACCCCAACTTTTCTTCCTCTCCCTAGAGGCAGTGCAAGGCTGGCCCTGAGACAGGAATGTGGCCCAATTGGGCCTGCAGTGCTGAGCGCCCTCTTCCCTCCTCACCCCAAGCCTATCTCCTCCTCTTCCAGGGTTTGCCGCTGTCTCTGCTATTCCATCCTCCCCATAGGGGCTCTCTCCCCTCTCCCATCTCAAGATGGCAGCCAGCAGCTCTGAGATCTCTGAGATGAAGGGGGTTGAGGAGAGTCCCAAGGTTCCAGGCGAAGGGCCTGGCCATTCTGAAGCTGAAACTGGCCCTCCCCAGGTCCTAGCAGGGGTACCAGACCAGCCAGAGGCCCCGCAGCCAGGTCCAAACACCACTGCGGCCCCTGTGGACTCAGGGCCCAAGGCTGGGCTGGCTCCAGAAACCACAGAGACCCCGGCTGGGGCCTCAGAAACAGCCCAGGCCACAGACCTCAGCTTAAGCCCAGGAGGGGAATCAAAGGCCAACTGCAGCCCCGAAGACCCATGCCAAGAAACAGTGTCCAAACCAGAAGTGAGCAAAGAGGCCACTGCAGACCAGGGGTCCAGGCTGGAGTCTGCAGCCCCACCTGAACCAGCCCCAGAGCCTGCTCCCCAACCAGACCCCCGGCCAGATTCCCAGCCTACCCCCAAGCCAGCCCTTCAACCAGAGCTCCCTACCCAGGAGGACCCCACCCCTGAGATTCTGTCTGAGAGTGTAGGGGAAAAGCAAGAGAATGGGGCAGTGGTGCCCCTGCAGGCTGGTGATGGGGAAGAGGGCCCAGCCCCTGAGCCTCACTCACCACCCTCAAAAAAATCCCCCCCAGCCAATGGGGCCCCCCCCCGAGTGCTGCAGCAGCTGGTTGAGGAGGATCGAATGAGAAGGGCACACAGTGGGCATCCAGGATCTCCCCGAGGTAGCCTGAGCCGCCACCCCAGCTCCCAGTTGGCAGGTCCTGGGGTGGAGGGGGGTGAAGGCACCCAGAAACCTCGGGACTACATCATCCTTGCCATCCTGTCCTGCTTCTGCCCCATGTGGCCTGTCAACATCGTGGCCTTCGCTTATGCTGTCATGGTGAGCCCCATGGGACCCTAGCCCAGGCCTGCTGTGGCTCCCAGCTTCCCGCCAGCGCTGCAATAGAGCCTCTGGAGTAATCATGCCTTCCTTCCCCTCTCCTCTCTGCATGGATCCCACCTCCCCAATTCCAGGGCCTTTGTTTGCCTCTCCCTAGGACCTAACCCTCTGAGCCACCACTGCCCTGCCCCTTTGGGTGGGAGGGATATGGAAACACGTGTCACACAGCCTCGCTGACCTGTGCCCTCCTCCCCCTGCCCCTTCACTCCTCCTTCCTCCCTTACCCGCCATCTATGGGGCTGGCCTCTCTCTCTTCTGGATGACTTTTCCACCTGATCCCTTCTGGGCTGGCTTCTCCTGACCCCGGCTATGTGCCTCCACCCCTCGCCCTAACCCCAGTCCCGGAACAGCCTGCAGCAGGGGGACGTGGACGGGGCCCAGCGTCTGGGCCGGGTAGCCAAGCTCTTAAGCATCGTGGCGCTGGTGGGGGGAGTCCTCATCATCATCGCCTCCTGCGTCATCAACTTAGGCGGTGAGTGGGGGCTTGGGACAGGCAGGGGAGGAATGGAAGGGTTGGCAAGGGCAGCTTTACTAACCCCTGCCCCTGCTCTCTCCTGTCTGTCCTCCTTACCTCTCCTTTGTCTCTCCTTGTCTCCCCCTCCCCCCGTCTGTCCTTCCCTCTCCTCTCCCACAGTGTATAAGTGAGGGGCTCTGCCCCGCATCCCAAGACTTTTCTTCCTGTTGGGAGCTGCCTTGGGCCCATCCCTCCCCTGGGGGGAGCCCAACTGATGGCCCTGGCCCCCACCCCTAAGGACCAAGGGAGCCTGAGCGGCCTTGTTTACAGCTTCTGTCCTGCTCCTGCATCTTGCCAGGCTCCTCTGCCAACTGTAGGCCTGCCTCATCCCTGCACTGGTTCCAACCTCCCTGCACTAATGCCTGCATCCCCTCCGGCCTCTTGGCCCCCTATCCCTGCACTTCTGGAAACCTCCCTGCACTCTGGAAACCTCCCTGAACACCTCCCCAACTCTGCGCTCTCAGCCTCCCTGCATCTCTCCTGGCCTCCCTGCACTTCTTCCAGCCCCCCAAATTCTCTGGACCTCCACCCTGGCCGCCTCCTCCCAACTTTCATTGTCTTGGCATCTCTCAACCCTCAGTCCTCTCTTCCTTCCCTTCTTTATCATCTCCCCTTTCCTCTCCACGTCCCGCCCCCTTCCTCTTCCTGCCTCCTCATCTCCCTTAAGCATCCTCTTCTCCAACCTCCCGTCACCGTTTACTCTGCAAAATTGACAGCACTTAGACGAGGCTTGGGGGCAGGGAGCAGTGTTGGGAGAGGGCTCCCCAACCCCAGGCTCGGACTGTTCTCTGCTGGGACCACCCAGGGTCGGACACCCAAGGGTGCCTGGCAGGTCGCAGAGTTGGCAAGCCGGGCCTCGTATGGGGACTCGGGTGAGGGTGGCGAGTACTGGTTCCGAACGCACGCAGGGGAGAAGGGAGGGACGCGGCGCTGACCCTTCCAGGTCAGCTGGAGTTGACCCGCCCACCTGGGCTTTTCAACCCCAGTCCGCGAGTTTCTTTCTTGAAGGTGTGGGGGCTAGATTCATTCACGTGCTTCGTAATGAAATAATCCAAAAAATAGGACCAAAGCGCCCACTGGCAGGAGCGAGGGCGGGGCGCCGCGCTCTATAATTATTTTCTAAGATGATGGGGGAGGTTTGTTGCACGCGACAGCCCGCTGAGGAGGCGGGGACCGAGCTACAACGCGGTTCGGATTTGGCGGGGGTTTTTTTCCTTAAAAAAAAAAAAAAAAAAAAAAAAAAAGTCTGGGGGAAGAAAAAAACTAAAATTCTTAAAAAAAAAAAAAAAAGGCTATTATCAAACTGATTTCTCCCTTTTTGTATGCCGGATGCTGCATGAGTCTGAAACACCAATAAACGGAGACTGCATGAGACTCGCCTCCAATCTCGGTTGGTTCCTGCGTTCGTCCCGCCGGCCCGGCGGTGCTGCCTTTCTGGCAGAACCTTACTGGGTGGTATACGCATGCGACTTCCCGGTGGCCATCTTTACTGTGGGCTGAAGCCTGTGCGCTTACTCGCGCATGTGCAAGCCTTCCCTCGCTTTCCTCTTCCAAGTAGCCTTGCCTAGAGCGGAGCCTCCCGCGCCATTTCTGTGCGCCTGCGTAGCGTGACCCTGCGCAGCCTGGGAGGCGGGTCTTAGCTCCAGGTGCGTACGGCATCTGACTTGACGTGGCCCACAACTGAAAGGTCTGGGGAGAAGGCGCCGTGTCCGGGTGTGGAGAGGGGCGTCGTGGAAGCGAGAAGAGTGGCCCGTCCCTCTCCTCCCCCTTTCCCTCTTTCGGAAAGTGGTTTCTGCGGGGCCCGGGAGCCTCGGAGTACCGAACCTCGATCTCCGGGGCGGGGTCCTTGGTGGGGACTGAGCGCCCCCTCCCGGGGACGGGCGGTCTGGCCGCGGAGTCCCCTGCGGGAGCGTGATTGGCTGGAAACGGTCCCGAACCCCCAGGGGAGCCCGATCCCTGGGGGACCCTGGCTTCGGACTCCAGTATCTGTCGTCGCAGGGTCCCTGCCCTAGTGGCCTATGTCCCTTGCTCGGGGCCATGGAGACACTGCGGCCAGTACGGCGGCGCCTCTGTCTGAAGAAGGGGAAGTGACCTCCGGCCTCCAGGCTCTGGCCGTGGAGGATACCGGAGGCCCCTCTGCCTCGGCCGGTAAGGCCGAGGACGAGGGGGAAGGAGGCCGAGAGGAGACCGAGCGTGAGGGGTCCGGGGGCGAGGAGGCGCAGGGAGAAGTCCCCAGCGCTGGGGGAGAAGAGCCTGCCGAGGAGGACTCCGAGGACTGGTGCGTGCCCTGCAGCGACGAGGAGGTGGAGCTGCCTGCGGATGGGCAGCCCTGGATGCCCCCGCCCTCCGAAATCCAGCGGCTCTATGAACTGCTGGCTGCCCACGGTACTCTGGAGCTGCAAGCCGAGATCCTGCCCCGCCGGCCTCCCACGCCGGAGGCCCAGAGCGAAGAGGAGAGATCCGATGAGGAGCCGGAGGCCAAAGAAGAGGAAGAGGAAAAGTAAAGGCACACCCTTACACCTTGTCCCGGGGCTGCTCCCCTGATGGCGGGAGGAAATAGGGAGGGGAAAATGTGGGACGCTGGAACCTTTGAAAGTGGAGGGAGGGAAGCCAGCGGGGGAGGAGGAACGGGCAGGGGAGAAGCACACGTGTGGGTGGGAGGGAGGACCGCCCTCACCCTTAACTATGTTCACCTGTCCCAGACCACACATGCCCACGGAATTTGATTTTGATGATGAGCCAGTGACACCAAAGGACTCCCTGATTGACCGGAGACGCACCCCAGGTACAAACGAAGAGGAAACAGTTGGGGGAGGTGAAGGGCCTCGGCTCAGTTACCCAAGATCGGCTCCCCTAGAGGCCTTTGCTTGCTGCCTCAGCTCCCACACAACTTACAGCTGCAGGAGAGAGTATTCACCCAGTAGCACCATCTTTATGACTTAGATTACTACCTTGTCTTCCTTTTTTTTTTTTTTTTTTTTTTGAGATGGAGTCTTGCCCTTGTCCCCCAGGCTGGAGTGCAATGGCACGATCTCAACTCACTGCAACCTCCGCCTCCTGGGTTCAAGCAATTCTCCTGCCTCAGCCTCCCAAGTAGCTGGGATTACAGACGCATGCCACCACTCTGGGCCAATTTTTGTATTTTTAGTAGAGACAGGCTTTCACCATGTTGGCCAGGCTGGTCTTGAATTCCTGACCTTGTGATCCGCCCACCTCAGCCTCCCAAAGTGCTAGGATTGCAGGCATGAGCCAATGCGCCTGGCCCCTTGTCTTCCTTTAAGAGACAATTATAATACAAAAAATTAGCCGGGCATAGTGGCGGGCACCTGTAGTCCCAGCTACTCAGGAGGCTGAGGCAGGAGAATCGCTTGAGCCTGGGAGGTGGAGGTTGCAGTGACCTGAGATCACACCACTGCACTCCAGCCTGGGCGAGAGAGTGAGACTCCGTCTCAAAAAACACAATTACAGATAATTCTTTTTTTAAAAAAACAACTAGTCATTGATTCTGGAAAATTACAGATAATTCTATCATGTTTCCCATTCCCAGAAGTCCAAGTCCTGGCCTTTCAATATTATCTAGATCTGCATCCCTCTACTACCATGTACATTCTTTAATCACACCGCTGGCCCCATTTCCCACCCCACATGCCTTCCTAGAATTTACCCTCAGAGTCATGCCTTTCCTTTTTTCTTTTTTTTGAGGGGTGGAGAGACAGAGTCTTGCTGTGTTGCCCAGACTGGTTGGTCTCGAACTCTTGAGCTCAAGTGATCCATCCGCCTCGGTTCTCAAAGTGCTGAGATTACAGGCATGAGTCACTGCACCCAGCCTAGAGCCATTCTTGATTTCTCTCTCTTTTACCTGAACATTCACACCAGCAGCAAGTCTTGGTAGCTATAAGATGTACATTTCCAAGTACCTCTGCTAGTCTCCACTTTCAATACCACATCCCCATCCAAGCCACTGTCTTTCTTGCCTGGATAGTTGTAGTAGCTCCTAACTGGGCTCTCTGCTTCCAGCTTCTGCAATTCAGATGAACCTTTTAAAACATAAATCATATCACTTTTTTTTTCTTTGAGACGAAGTCTTTCTCTTGCTCAGGCTGGAGTGCAGTGGCATGATCTTGGCTCACTGCAATCTCCACCTCCTGGGTTGAAGCGATTCTCCTACCTCAGTCTCCTGAGTAGCTGGGATTACAAGGACACGTCACCACGCCTAGCTAATTTTTGTATTTTCTAGTAGAGAGGGGGTTTCGCCATGTTGGCGAGGCTGGTCTTGAACTCCTGACCTAAAGCTTCCCAAAGTGCCTGCCTCAGCTTCCCAAAGTGCTGGAATTACAGGCGTGAGCTGCTGCACTCAGCCATAAATCGTGTCACTTTTCCACTTAAAATTTTCCAAGGGATTCCATCTTGCCAGGGAAGAGCATGTCAAAGGAGAATCCAAGCGCTTTTCCCGCCACCTCCAGTTCTCTGCACTCTTTTTTTTGTTTTTGTTTTTGGCGAGTAGGGGAGACGGAGTGTAGCTGTGTCACCGAGGCTGGAGTGCAGTAGTGCGATCTTGGCTCATTGCAACCTCCACCTCCCGGGTTCAAGCGATTCTTCTGCCTCAGCCTCCCAAGTAGCTGGGATTACAGGCGCCCACCACCACGCCCAGCTAATTTTTTGTGTTGGCCAGGCTGGTCTCAAACTCCTGACCTCGTGAGTTGCCCACCTCAGCCTCCCAAAGTGCTGGCATTACAAGCGTGAACCACCATGCCCGGCCTGCACTCTTCTTTGAACAGAACTCTGTTCTTGTCCTGGGGCCTCTACCCTTGCCATTCCCCTGCCCAGTATGTTCCTCCCTGTTCTTCACATTACCTGTGCCTTCCTGTCAATCAAGATCTTTGCTTCTCACCCTCTCTGAGGTCCAACCCTGAACCTCAGGTCCTCCAAGACAGAGGCCTGGGGACCTGCATGTTTAACCAGCTCCCCAAGTGATGAGTGAGGTCCAGGCAGGTATGGTGTACACCACCTCCATCCCTTCCATGTATCTTACCTTCCTCTTCTCCAGGAAGCTCAGCCCGGAGCCAGAAACGGGAGGCCCGCCTGGACAAGGTGCTGTCGGACATGAAGAGACACAAGAAGCTGGAGGAGCAGATCCTTCGTACCGGGAGGGACCTCTTCAGCCTGGACTCGGAGGACCCCAGCCCCGCCAGCCCCCCACTCCGATCCTCCGGGAGTAGTCTCTTCCCTCGGCAGCGGAAATACTGATTCCCACTGCTCCTGCCTCTAGGGTGCAGTGTCCGTACCTGCTGGAGCCTGGGCCCTCCTTCCCCAGCCCAGACATTGAGAAACTTGGGAAGAAGAGAGAAACCTCAAGCTCCCAAACAGCACGTTGCGGGAAAGAGGAAGAGAGAGTGTGAGTGTGTGTGTGTGTTTTTTCTATTGAACACCTGTAGAGTGTGTGTGTGTGTTTTCTATTGAACACCTATAGAGAGAGTGTGTGTGTTTTCTATTGAACATCTATATAGAGAGAGTGTGTGAGTGTGTGTTTTCTATTGAACACCTATTCAGAGACCTGGACTGAATTTTCTGAGTCTGAAATAAAAGATGCAGAGCTATCATCTCTTAAAAGGAGGGGCTGTAGCTGTAGCTCAACAGTTAGGCCCCACTTGAAGGGAGAGGCAGAATTGTACTCACCCAGATTGGAAAATGAAAGCCAGATGGGTAGAGGTGCCCTCAGTTAGCACCTGTCCCATCTCGGGCCCTCCAACTCCTCCCAGTCCCACTCCAGTGCAGCCAGCTGGCTCCAAGGTAGAAACCCATGAGCACTCAGGGAGCAGTGTGCCTTCAGCTGCAGCAGAAGCAGCCCGGAGGATAAAATGAGAACCAGCTGCACACGGGCCCTTTAACTCCCAAGCCCCACCCCTGGGCTTGGCCTGCCTTGCCCTGCCGGGAAGTGATCCCCAAGGCAGGGTGAGAGTTCCCCATCTGAGGCGTTTGTTGCAGCTACCTGCACTTCTAGATGTGAGTACATTGTACTAGCCCCCCAAACCCCAAATCAGGGGCAGATCTTTGTATCCCTTGAGGCTCTCTTTAGTCCTGTCTTGCTTTGAAGGGCCTTGCTTCTGCTGGGGCAGGGAAAACATGTCTGAATCAGAGTGGGGAAGGAGGATGGGTGGTGGCTTTGCTTTTGGAGGTTTCACTTTCCAATAGTTGGGAGTCTTCTGGGTTTTGAAGTAAAGGCAGATTAACACCAACACCGGTCCCCCACCCCCCTGCAACTCTCAGGCCTCTCTCTGACTTCAGGGTCCCACCTGGGAAATCAGGTGGGGAACCTTACAGGGTCATTCAGACCCCATCTTAGCCCTAGATCGGTGCTTGCTCTACTCACCTGCACTGTCCTGGGGACCTGGGCTCTGGCCTGTCACCTTGAGCTCCAAGAATGTGACCTGTACCCATTCAGGCCCCTTAACTCTGACAGATGAGGGTTTCTTACTCCTCCATGCAGGGCTGGGCCAGCTGTTGGTCTCAGTCGATCATTCAGGAAGTCATTAGCAGAGTGATTTCCAGAAGGCGTAGAATTTAGTGACCAAGGTTCTTTCCTTTTTGGGAGGAGAAAGTGAAAACTAGGATGCTCAGCTGGACCCACCAGCCTGAGATTCTGGGGATTTTAGAGCTGTCCCTTGGGGAGCCAAGCACTTGGGGGTGGAGGTGATAGCGAGGCTGATGGCCCCTGTGTTCTCAGCTCTCTGCCTGGGTAGCCCCTGGGTGATGGGGGAGAGGCCAGCTGTCACGTGGGGTATCAGGTGGCTCTGCCAGAAACTCCCTTGGCACACAGAGCACTGGGTCGGCCCTCGGGTGTGGCTGTTTGGGCAGGACAGCCCTCTGTATGTAGCCTTGAGCAGGTAGGGGGGCCACCTTGAGTGGGTGGCCCAGAGACAGCCTCAGGGCTCCAAGGTAACGGGGTGCTCAGGTTATCTTGGGTGCTGCCCTCCCAGGTTCTGGGGGAGCAGAGGCTGGGCGCTGGCCCAACTTACAGGAAACACTCACCTTTGAACTGCCATTAGCACCATCTGGGCAGTACACAGCCCCACCCAGGTCCTCTAGTTCTTGTTCTCGGCTTAGAATCTTTGTGTTTCTGCCTGAGAAGCCACTGCCTCCTAGTTTGTGGTCTCTACAGTTATAGCCAGGTTGGACTTCCGGCTCCGTCCTTTGATAACTGTGTGCTCTTGGGCAAATTTCTTAACTTGCAGGTTCTTGTGAGGATAACATGAGTTAATTGAGGGCACTTAACACTACCTGGCACAGATTAAGCTCATCTGAAGTGGGAGCTGTTACTTAGGGGCGTTTGCCTAGAACACAGGGTCCAGAGGCTCTCTCCCGGAAACTTAGACCCAGTGAGTCAGAAGTGAGGCCTGCAAAAAGCAGCAGGAGTGGGGTTAAGAATTCCAGCCTAGGGCTGGATGCGGTGGCTCAGGCCTGTAATCCCAGTACTTTGGGAGGCCCGAATGGGAGGATGGCTTGAGGCCAGGAGTTCCAGACCAGCCTGAGCAACATAGCGAGACCCTGTCTCTGTTTGTGTGTGTGTGGTTGGGGTTTTGTTTTTTTTTTTTTTTTAAAGAATTATAGCTCAGTCCTATGATTAGGCAAGTTGAGAAAATATTGATGAAGATCAGGGGTGCTGAAGCCTGGTTCCTGGGGTCGCTTCTGATCTAGGCGGTTCTTGCCTCTGGTGACTGGTGTTAATTGGCAGGAGTGGGAGGAGGGAGGACAAGTGGAAGTCTAGGCTGGCTGAGCTGTTCTGTCTCGAAAAGTTCCTAAAACTGTGCTGCTTTAAAAAAAAAAAAAGTAATTTATGAGACACATTCTCAATTTCCATTAATCATCTCCTAAAGGGGGTAAACCAGGAAGCCGCTGGGTGAAAACAGGCTGTTGGCAATTCCTGAGTCATGTGACCCATTCTCTAAAGACTAGAATATTTAACTTAAATCAGTGAGAAACTCTGTGAAGTTGTGTCCTTGTTTATACCAAACTTCATGTGCCTTTTCCTGAACCTGAAGCTGTGGGAAGGTCTGGGGGCAGGGCCGCATCACCGACCTTACGTCCAACCTCAGGACTGCCTGGAGCAAGAGCCCTGGGGTTGGGGACAAAGGAGGCTGCCTGGACCTGGGTAAGGGAAGGGGCTGGAGGAGAATGAGTGCAATTCCCTGCCCTTCACAGCCTGCAATCGGAGCTGTGTTTTTGTTTTTGAGACAGAGTCTCGCTCTGTCCCCCAGGCCAGAGTACAATGGCGCAATCTCGACTCACTGCAACCTCTGCATCCCTGGTTCAAGCAATTCTCCTGCCTCAGCCTCCCGAGTAGCTGAGACTACAGTTGCCTGCCACCATGTACGGCTAATTTTTGTATTTTTAGTAGAGACGAAGTTTCACCATGTTGGCCAGGCTGGTCTCGAACTCCTGAGCTCAGGCAATCCGCCTGCCTTGGCCTCCCAAAGTGCTGGGATTACAGCCACTGCGCCCGGCCTGAAACTGATCTTTATCCTCCTCCCAGTTCCTACTGTGCACCAGAGACCCTCCAGTCTCTAATACCTTTGACTTGAAGAGCAGTCATTTTTTTTTCCTTTTCTTTTCTTTTCTTTTTTTTTTTTTTTTTTTTGAGATGGCCTCACTCTTGCCCAGGCTAGAGCGCACTCGTGTGCTCCATTTACGGCTCACTGCAGCCTTGACCTCCCAGGCACAGGCGATCCTCCCACCTCAGCCTCCAAAGTAGCAGGGACCACAGGTGTGCACCACCACACCTAGCTAATATTTTTTATGGTTTTTATAGAGACAGGGTCTCCCTATGTTGCCCAGGCTGGTCTTGAACTCCTGGCCTCAAGTGATCCTCCCATCTTGGTCTCCCAAAGTGCTGGGATTACAGGTGGGAGCCACCAAGCCTAGTCAACAGTCACTTTTATTCTCACTTCACTGGAGAGGAAGGCTCAGAGGCTAGTAAGTGGCCCAGGAGCATGCTGGCAGTGATAAAACCTGCTGGAGTGACATTTTCCCACTGGCTCTCAATCCTGGATATATATTAAGAGTCAGAGGCCAGGCGCGGTGGCTCACGCCTGTAATCCCAGCACTTTGGGAGGCCAAGGCAGGCGGATCACGAGGTTAGGAGATCAAGACCATCCTGGCTAACACAGTGAAACCCCATCTCTACTAAAAATACAAAAAAAATTAGCTAGGCGTGGTGGTGGGTGCCTGTAATCCCAGCTGAGGCAGGAGAATGGCATGAACCCGGGAGGCGGAGCTGCAGTGATCCGAGATCGTGCCACTGCACTCCAGCCTGGGTGACAGAGCGAGACTCGTCTCAGAAAAAAAAAAAAAAAATGAGGGAGAACTTTTTACAATAGCAACGGGTGAACCTCACCCAGACCAATTAAATAGAATCACCGGAGATGGGTGGCTTTAAAAAAAGGTCTCCAGAAGGCCTGGCGCGGCAGATCACACCTGTTATCCTAGCCCTTTGGGAGGCCGAGGTGGGTGGATCACTTCCAGCCTGACCAACATGGCGAAACCCTGTCCACTAAAAACAAAATTATCTGGGTGTGGTGGCGGACATCTGTAATCCCAGCTACTTGGGAGGCTGAAGCAGGAGAATTGCTTGAACTCGGGAGGCAGAGGTTGCAGTGAGCCGAGATGGCTACACTCCAGTCTGGGCAACAAGCACGAAACTCCATCTCAAAAAAAAAAAAAAAAAAAAAAAAAAAAAACAGATTTCCAGATGACCAGTGTGCAGCCCGAGCCGAGAGTCTGCTTTAGACCAGAGCTGCTCAGACTGTAATGTGCATGCAAGTCATTGAGGGTCGAGTTAAAATGCCAGTAGATTCAGTGGCTCTGGGGTGGGGCCCCAGGCTGTGTTGCTATCAAGCCTCCAGGTGGTACCACTCTACTCACTGCAGACCCCGTAGGCAGTGTGGTCACTTGGTCAATTGCCATTTAAGACTCACTAGGGGCCAGGTGTGGTGGTTCACGCCTGTAATCCTAGCACTTTGGGAGGCTGAGGCAGGCAGATTGCCTGAGCTCAGGAGTTTGAGACCACCCTGGGGTGAAACCCCATCTCTACTAAAATACAAAAAATTAGCCAGGCTTGGTGGCATGTGCCTGTAATTCCAGCTACTCGGGAGGCTGAGGCACGAGAATTGCTTGAACCTGGGAGGTAGGTGGACGTTGCAGTGAGCCGAGATTGTGCCACTTCACTCCAGCCTGGGCTACAGTCTCCAAAAAAAACAAAAAAGAGATTCAGTATATCAGCTACTCACAGTTGACCCTGAAGATCTCTGGGAAGTAGTGACTCATGACTCGTTTATTTATTAAGTTTTGCTGTAGCAGAAGTTTACTTTTGAGCCAAGAGTCTGATCCGGTCTCCCTCTTTTTTTTTTTTTTCTTTCTTTAAAGAGATGGGGCCTTGCTATGTTGCCCAAGCTGGTCTTGAACTCCTGGCCTCAATCCATCCTCCCACCTTCGGCCTCCCAAAGTGTTGGGATTACAGGTGTGAGCCACCTCTCTCAGGCAAGAGCCCCTCTTTTAACTAGACAATGAACCTGGTTTCTGCTTTGGACAGGCTATTTAGTTCCTGCTTATTTACCCTCATGGTGGGAGAGACCCTGGTGGGATTTGGGGTGAAAGCTGGCTGTGGTTCTTGCAGGAGCCTCATGACACCTGAGGGAGGTGTGATCAGGCAAGACTGGGCCTCTACACTGAGAGCCGACTAGGGCAGGTCTCAGAAGCAGAGACTGAAGGAAGTTGGGTGGATGAGTGGATCTGGGGAGCAGGGGCCAAGCCTGAGGGCTGGGCAGAGCCTTCCAAAGGTCAACACAATCCTTGCTATTGTCTTTTGAGGGCCCTGATCTATTTTAAGTAAAATGCTCTAACTGCGCATGTCATCTGGAAGGAAACCACAAAAAACTCAATCTGAGACTTGTCACCAATGTGCTGCCTGAGTCAAAGGGTTTCCCTGGCTCACCTCCATAGATGGCGAGGGTAGAAGGCAAGACCTGTCCTGGGTGGTCTAGGCAGAAGGCCCAGGTTTAGGGCATGGCAGGTGGGTGGTCAGGGAGGTGAGGTGGGGTCCTGGTGCTGATGCAGGGGCAGTTGCCGAGGGCTTGGCCTCAGAACAAGGCAGGAGTCCAGCCATGAGGATGACTCTTGCTGAGTCACTGAGCTGGGCGAGGCATTCAGACCCCCTGACTGGGCCCAGCTGGGGCGGCAGATGGTGGAGAGGCCTCAGCTGTGGGGGGTGTTGGGGAGATTATCCACTGATGAACCAAATGGAGGCTGTTCCCAGAGCCTGCTTCCAACCTTGCACGGCCTTCTAGAGTTCAAATCTTTCCTGGGGGGGCCTCAGAGCCCTGTCCATACCTCCGCTCACAGCCCCAGCCCTTCCTCTTCTCCCATCTGGTTTCCTGGCCAGGTTTCGGCCCTGCGGAGAACCCTCCAAGGGAGCAGTGGAAAAAGCTTCACTTGGCAGTAAAGCCCCTACTTGCTGTTCCATCCCTGCAGCTGGGGTGAAATAAGCCACTGACCAGTAAACAACTGAGGCTTAAACCAGCATGCCAGCTCAGGTGGGGAGCCCCCAGCACTGGTTATATTCCCTAGATTCCTCACTGGATAGGAAAGTTGGGCCTCAGGCACTCTTCCCTCCTCTGCAGTCAAACAGTGCAGATGAAGAGCCAGGCTCTGTTCCCAGTGCTTTATGTGCTAACTTGGTTGATAATGTTATCCATTCTCATTTTGTAGATGAGGAAACAGGCACAGGGTGGTCAAGGGACTTGTTCAAATCACTGATCCCATAAGGGTGAGAGCCAAGATCCAGGCATCCTGGCTGGGTGCGGTGGCTCCACCTGTAGTCCCAGTGCTTTGGGAAGCTAAGGCTGGATGACTACTTAAGACCAGGATTTTGAGACCAGCCTGGACAACAAAGACCTTATGCCTACAAAAAATTAAAAATTAGCTAGGTGTGGCAGTACGTATCTACAGTCCCAGCTACTCGGGAGGCTGAGATGGGAGGATCCCTTGAGCTGAGGAGTTCAAGGCTACAGTGAGCTGTGATCACTGCACTCCAGCCTGGGCAACAAAGTAAGACCTTATCTCAAAAAAAAAAAAAAAAAAAGGCCGGGCGTGGTGGCTCACGCCTGTAATCCTAGCACTTTGGGAGGCCGAGGCGGGTGGATCACAAGGTCAAGAGATCAAGACCATCCTGGTCAACATGGTGAAACCCCGTCTCTACTAAAAAAAAAATACAAAAAGTTAGCTGGGCATGGTGGCAGGCGCTTGTAGTCCCAGCTACTTGGGAGGCTGAGGCAGGAGAATCATTTGAACTGGGGAGGCGGAGGTTGCGGTGAGCCGAGATTGCGCCACTGCACTCCAGCCTGGCGACAGAGTGAGAGTCCATCTCAAAAAAAAAAAAAAAAAAATCCAGATCTAGGCATTCCCAGCCCTCTGGACTCTAGGAAGTCGTCTTTCCAGAACAGAGCCCCGTATTGTGGAGCAACTGGGGGGTGGAATCAAAGGTGAGCAGGACAGGGCTATAGGAAGAAAAGACAAGGTCCCCATAAGAGTGGCGAGAGGAACAGAGCCAGGACATCGGAAAGCAAGCCCCTGTGTTCCCAAACCGCAGAAGAGGGAGCTCTGATGTTAGACAAGCCACCCTCCTACAAGCGAAGGGAAAGTAACTTTGAGCAAAAATGAGCAACAGAAAATGAGATCAAGGTCAGATCTCATACAAAGTTGCAAGATGAAAGAATGAGCAGCAGAATAACCTCCCTGTGATGTGGAAAGTGTGCCAGGAAAACAGACCCAAACTGTAACCTCTTTCAGAATGAGGCAAGGCAGTGAGGAAACTATGTGAAAACACGAAAGCAGCCGATCAGAGTTGTAAGCCCGGGCAGTCTGGGTTGGAATGGGTGCCCCGAGCCACGGGACCATGATGCCTCTCTAGAAAGACAGGACCAGGCATTCCACCAGGGTTCTAGTCCCAACAGCACCACTAACTTGCTTGTGGCCCTAAAGGATTCATTGTCCCTCTCTGGGTCTCAACTATTTAGAGCTCTACTGTCCAGTATGGGATCAACCAGCCATATTTGGCAATTTAAATTAAAATTAGCTGGGTACGGTAGCGTACCCCTGTAATCTCAGCACTTTAGGAGGCTGAAGCGGGAGGATTGCTTGAGCCCAGGAGTTCGAGACCAGCCTAGGCAACATAGCAGGACCTTGTCTCTGCAAAAAAAATGAAAAAATTAGCTAGGCGTGGTGGCACATGCCTGTAATCCCAGCTACTCGGGAGGCTGAGGTGGGAGGATCACTTGAGCCTGGAGGTTGAGGCTGCAGTGAGTCATGATTGTGCCACTGCATTCCTGCCTGGGCAACAGAACAAGACCTTGTCTCAAAAAATAATTTAAAAATTTAGTTCCTCAGATGCATTAGCCACATTTTATTTTATTTTTTTCCAAGACAGAGTCTTGCTCTGTCGCCCAGGGCTGTAGTGCAATGGCGAGATCTTGGCTCACTGCAACCTCTGCCTCCCAGGTTCAGGCAATTCTCCTGCCTCAGCCTCCCAAATAGCTGGGATTACAGGCACGTGCCACCATGCCCAGCTAATTTTTGTATTTTTAGTAGAGACAGGGTTTCTGCATGTTGGCCAGGCTGGTCTCAAACTCCTGACCTTGTGATCTGCCGACCTCAGCCTCCCAAAGTGCTGAGATTACAGGTGTGAGCCAGCATGACCGGCCATTAGCCACATTTTAAGTGTTCAGGAGCCACATGTGGATGTGGCTAGTCCAAAGACAGCACAGATTTAGAATATTCTCATCATTGTAGAAAGCTCTATTGGACGCTGCTGAGTAAAAGGGTTTTTTTGGTTTGGTTTTGAGATTGGAGTCTCGCTCTGTTGCCCAGGCTGGAGTGCAATGGCACGATCTCTGCTCACTGCAACCTCTGCCTCCCAGGTTCGAGCAATCCTCCTGTCTCAGCCCCCCTAGTAGCTGGGATTATAGGTACCCGCCACCACAACTGGCTAATTTTTGTATTTTTAGTAGAGACGGGGTTTCGCCATGTTGGCCAGGCTGGTCTCGAACTCCTGACCTCAGGTGATCCACCTGCCTTGGCCTCCCAAAGTGCTGGGATTACAGGCTTGAGCCACCACGCCCGGCCAAGTTAAAGGGTTTTTAAACAAGAGCTGGGCAGTGCAATGGCATAGCTGTAAGGCAGCAGGGGGTGGTGGGGACTGTGGTAGGTGGGAAAGCTTGTGTTCCATCTAAATGGGGCAGCTGCTGCTTGACTGTAGGCTGTATTGCTGGTCTTCTAATTCTTCAAGTGAATCAGGAATTGGGATTTTGTGAAGACTCACAATTTCTAAACAAAAAGTTGAAGTTTTACAGATCGTGGGGCTCAAGTATAACTCCTCTTGGGCTGTATCCAGCCTTGATTCTGTAATCTGTGGCTCCTGCCTGTTTTTCCTCGGCCAGGCCACTCCCTTCTTCCCCTCACTTATATTTTTCACCTGGGGTTGGAGGCTGGGTAGATGGTGGAATTGATGAGGAACCACTTTTTTTTTTTTTTTTTTGAGATGGAGTCTCACTCTGCCTCTCATAATGCTGGGATTACAGGCATGAGCCACTGCACCTGTCCTGGCCAGACATTTTTGAGGCCACCACCAGACAAAAGAGGCTCCTCATCGGCCAGGTGTGATGGCTCGCCTATAATCCCAGCACTTTGGGAGGCAGAGGCAAGAGGATTGCTTGAGGCCAGGAATTCGAGACCAGCCTAGGCAACATAATGAGACCTCATCTCTCCAAAAAAAAAAATTAGCTAGACATGGTGGCATGTACCTGTAGTCTCAGCTACCCAGGAGGCTGAGGCATGGCTTTTGTGAGCTATGATTGCACCACTGCACTCCAGCCTGGGTGACAGAGTAAGACTCCGTCTCAAAAAAAAAAAAAAAAAAAAAAAAGTCTGACCTGAGTCTCTTAAGGATGAGGCTCTGGAGCACCTAGTAAACTTGGTCCCATTTGTGTGACTCAAAGGGACATGTCCAAAGTCCAAAGTGCTGGGGGCAGGGGTGGGGCTTAGGTAGGGCATGTGACATTCCTGAACAGGCCAAGCACTGGGTGAAACTACTCAGGATTCAGAAGCAGGTGGGATGGGTGGGTGGAACATGATAATCATCCCCCTTCTCCTTCCTTTCCACCCTACCCTTGCTCACAACTGCAGGAGCTGAGGATGGGAGAGAACTGGGGACGAGGGGGCCAGAGTGATTTGCAGTGTTAGTAATGCAGCTGGTTCTATGGAAGGCTCAGTTCCATCTGGGATCCCTTTATGAGCAGTGGACTAGGTCTTCACATTCAGCCCAGGATTACTAAAGCATAGGAAAGAGGCAGGGAACATAGACACAGCTCATGTAAACATTCCTTTTGTTTATGGCCGAATCCTAGCCACTGGACTACCTGAGGCATACAGATATTCTTTGGCTATGGGCTGACATTTGAATACAGCTGGGGCCTCAGGATTCTCTGAAATAAAGGGCTGCCTCCCTCTGGAGGAGCCAGGCAGCTCCTCAGAGCAGCTGCCCATTGCGTGCTGGACAAGGCCATGTCACCACCTCCATGGCTCCCCAGTTTCCCAGCTTGCTGTATCTCTCCACCGTAAGAGACTGGGAGCACCTTGATCTGAAGCTCTTTGCAGTGCCGGTGGCAGTGTAGGGGGAAGTAGTTGATGGGAGTGAGGGAAAGGAATTGGCAAGGAACCCTGGGCCTCTGTGGCTCACTGCATCAAGCAGTTCTTGGCAAAGGTAAGGTCAGGATGGGCTGTGTCGTCTTGGGTGGGGTGAAGACAGGGAGCAGTGGGCATGCAGATGCGGACAGGGAAGGGTGCAGTGGCCTGGCTGGAGGAGGTAGGGCCGTATCCCACCCAGAGTCTGTCACCAGATTCATGCCTGCCCCACCCCAGGCTCCCCAGGTTCATCCTGTGTCGTCTCCCCCACCTACCAGTCATCTTCTTGTGAGCCCTGGGCTTAGGAGTCACCATGGCAACTGAAGAGTTCATCATCCGCATCCCCCCATACCACTATATCCATGTGCTGGACCAGAACAGCAACGTGTCCCGTGTGGAGGTCGGGCCAAAGACCTACATCCGGCAGGACAATGAGAGGTGGGTGTGGGGGCTGGGCTGTGGGGGATCCTTGGGGATGTGGGGGCCTGTTTGGCTGGCATGATGGTCCTTATCCTCCTCCCTCTTCCCAAGCAGGAGTGGCCCTCGCTTGGGCGATAGAGAGGTTTCTCTCTCATTTGGTGTCCTCTTTGGTAGTGGAGACCTGGTCCCAGGTCCTCACACCTCTTCTCATCTTCCTGCAGGGTACTGTTTGCCCCCATGCGCATGGTGACCGTCCCCCCACGTCACTACTGCACAGTGGCCAACCCTGTGTCTCGGGATGCCCAGGGCTTGGTGCTGTTTGATGTCACAGGGCAAGTTCGGCTTCGCCACGCTGACCTCGAGATCCGGCTGGCCCAGGACCCCTTCCCCCTGTACCCAGGGGAGGTGCTGGAAAAGGTACCTGGTTTCCTCACTCCCTATGCCCCACCCTACCTGTCCTCCACCTGCCTTGGGCTCTATACTGCTGCCTTCTTCTTCTTTTTTTCTTTTCTTTTTTGAGGCAGAGTTTCACTCTTGTCGCCCAGGCTGGAGTGCAGTGGCATAATCTCGGCTCACTGGAAGCTCCACCTGGGTTCAAGTGATTTTCCTGCCTCAGCTTCCTCAGTAGCTGGGATTACAGGCACCCGCCACCACGCCCGGCTAATTTTTGTATTTTTAGTAGAGACAGGGTTTCACCATGTTGGCCAGTCTGATCTCAAACTCCCGACCCCAGGTGATCCACCTGCCTCGGCCTCCCAAAGTGCTGGGATTACAGGCATGAGCCACTGTTCCCGGCCTGTACCGAGTTCTAAAGGGAAAACAAACCAGGGCAGTGGGAGGGGTGGGGAGAGACACTTGCTGGCTCTCACCAAGGGTGGAATTGACTCACTGTACCTCCACTCACCTCCAGCCACCCCCATCCTCCACACATGCCCCAAACACACCTGCCTCTTTTCTGAGAACTGTTGGCCCATCTCACCTTCCCAGGCTCCAGAGCCTACCAGAAGTGCCCAGCCAGTCTGGCATTAAATGACATGTGCCAAGGTTAAGCAGTTCATTCACCCGGTGCCAGACACTGGTGGGCAGTGCCAAAGCAGCAGTGACAAGCCCAGGCCCCAGGCTGTGCCTGTTCTAGGAGAAGCCATCACAGGCCTGAACCTACAGCCAGGCTCTTGTCCCCGTTGGCCTCAGGCCTGGGCCTGAGCAGGTGGGTGTCCCACCTTCATTCCTTTACCTGTTCTTCCACCTTTACCTTCTGGCCATTTAATGGTTTTGGGTTTTTTGTTTGTTTGTTTGTTTGTTTTTAATAGAGACGGGGTTTCACCGTGTTAGCCAGGATGGTCTTGATCTCCTGACCTCATGATCCGCCCGCCTCGGCCTCCCAAAGTGCTGGGATTACAGGCATGAGCCACCGTGTCCAGCCCCATTTAATGGTTTTCTTACTGACTTTACTAACCAGTGCTGCTTGATCCTGAAAGCATAATAGCAGAACATGGGGAACTTTTAGAGACATTCATGTCCACTTAGGTGCAGACAGTTTGGGGGAAGAAGTGTGTGTGTAGAGAGAAAATGAAGAATGATTAAGACAATAACCCTTAAGGAATCCAAGTGAAAAGTATATAGGGATTCTTGTACCTTTTTTTTTTTTTTTTTTTTTTTGAGATGGAGTCTCACTCTGTTGCCCAGGCTGGAGTACAGTGGCATAATCTCGGCTAACTGGAAGCTCTGCCTCCCAGGTTCACGCAATTCTCCTGCCTCAGCCTCCCGAGTAGCTGGGACTACAGGCGCCCACCACCACACCCGGCTAACTTTTTGTGTTTTTAGTAGAGATGGGGTTTCACCGTGTTAGCCAGGGTGGTCTCGATCTCCTGACGTCATGATCCACCTGCCTTGGCCTCCCAAAGTGCTGGGATTACAGGCGTGAGCCACCGCGCCTGGCCTTTTTTTTTTTTTTTTTTTCTGGATCTCCCCCTGTTGCCTAGACGAGAGTGCAGTGGGGTGATCATAGCTCACTGCAGCCTCAACCTCCTGGGCTCAAACGATCCTTCCACCTCATTCTCCCAAAATGCTGGGATTGCAGGTGTGAGCCACCAAGCCCTGCCTAAGCTTTCATTTTAAATATGTTCAGCCGGGCACAGTGGCTCACGCCTGTAATCCCAGCACTTTGGGAGGCCAAGGTAGGCAGATCACTTGAGGTCAGGAGTTTGAGACCAGGCTGGCCAACATGGCGAAAACCCATCTCTACTAAACATACAACAATTAGCCAGGCGTGGTGGCATGCGCCTGTAATCCCAGCTACTTGGGAGGCTGAGGCATGAGAATTACTTGAACCTGGGAGGCGGAGATTGCAGTGAGCTGAGATTGCGCCACTGCGCTCCAGCCTGGGTGACAGAGCAAGACTCTGTCTCAAAAAAAAAAAAAAAAATTAGCTGGGGGTGGTGACACACCTGTAATCCCAGCCACTCAGGAGGCTGAGACAGAAGGATCACATGAGCCTGGGAGATTGAGACTGTTGTGAGCCATGGTTGTACCACTGCAGTCCAGCCTGGATGACATAGGAAGACCCCATCTCCAAAAATAAAAAAAAGCCAGCTCTTCCTTTGAGCCCCAGTTTCAGTTCAAAGGGCCTTCTCTAACTTCTCCTTCATCTGAACTCCTGAGACAGGGTCTTGCTCTGCTGCCCAGGCTGAAGTGCAGTGGTGCAGTCATAGCTCACTGAAGCCTTAACCTCCTGGGCTCAAGTGATCCTCCCACCTCAGCCTCCCGAGTAGCTGGGACTACAGGTGTGCGCCGCCACCATGCCTGGCTACACTTTTTTTTTTTTTTTTTTTTTTTAGAGATGGGATCTTGCTATGTTGCCCAGGCTGGTTCTTGAATGTCTGAGGTCAAGCAATCCTCCTACCTCAGTCTCCCAAAGTTCTGGGATGACAGGTGTGAGCCACTGTGCCCGGCCTCCACCCCAGTCTTATTTCAGGACATACAGAGATGGATGTTGTGGACCCGCCTCCAGAGCATCAGGCTTGGCCCTGGGGTCACAGCACTGATGGTTCTGTGTCTCCACCTTCTTCCCCACTAGGACATCACACCCCTGCAGGTGGTTCTGCCCAACACTGCCCTCCATCTAAAGGCGCTGCTTGATTTTGAGGATAAAGATGGAGACAAGGTGGTGGCAGGAGATGAGTGGCTTTTCGAGGGACCTGGTAAGTTCTGTCTCCATAGGGCTCCCTGCCTTCCTGTCATAGCCCTGATACCTTCTGACCATCACCTTCCCTCCCCAGGCACGTACATCCCCCGGAAGGAAGTGGAGGTCGTGGAGATCATTCAGGCCACCATCATCAGGCAGAACCAGGCTCTGCGGCTCAGGGCCCGCAAGGAGTGCTGGGACCGGGACGGCAAGGAGAGGGTGACAGGTGGGGTCACCAAGGGGCGATGATGGTGGGTGGGCAGGAGGGGTCCCCACTGCAGGGGAAGCAGGGGAAGGTTGAGGAAAGCCTCCTGTAGCCCCAGAGAGGCGCTTTCCTGGTATCTTTTGAAAGCTGTTGAGGGCCACCCACTGCTCTTCCTTCCCCACCCCCGCTTCATGCTGTTTCCACTTGGGCTGGAAAATGTGACCATGACCATGCGGATGTGGCTTTTCCTTCCCTCACCTTCACCATGAGCTGTGGGCAGTGGCCATGACTTACCTGATTCTGGATCAACAAAGAAGATGTTCAAATACAATTGACAAATGTAGGCCAATAGGTACAGTGGCTCACACCTGTCATCCCAGCACTTTGCCAAGGTGGGTGAATCGTCTGAGCCCAGGAGCTTAAGACCAGCCTGAGCAACACAGTGAGACCCCATCTCTACAGAGAATTTAAAAATTAGCCTGGCCTTGGACACACACCTGTGGTCCCAGCTACTCAGAAGGCTGAAGGGGGAGAATTTCTTGAGCCCAGGATGTGGAGGCTGCAGTGAGCTGTGACTGCACCACTGCACTCCATCCTGGGCCACAGAGGTACTACCCCGAGGTGCTACCATTCCCACTTTTTTTTTTTTTTTGAGACGGAGTCTTGCTTTCTTGCTGTTGCCCAGGTTGGAGTGCAGTGGCGCGATCTCGGCTCACTGCAAGCTCCGCCTCCTGGGTTCACACCATTCTCCTGCCTCAGCCTCCTGAGTAGCTGGGACTACAGGCGCCCACCACCATGCCCAGCTAATTTTTTTTTTTTTTGTATTTTTTTTTTTTTTTTTTTTAGTAGAGACAGGGTTTCACCATGTTAGCCAGGGTGGTCTTGATCTCCTGACCTCGTGATCCACCAGGTTCGGCCTCCCAAAGTGCTGGGATTACAGGCGTGAACCACCGCACCCGGCCATTCCCACTTTCTATATATCAAAACTGGGATGCAGAATGCAGGTTGCTTGCCCTGGGGTGTGGCCAGGCAGGGCGAGGCTGGGACCTGCATCCAGGCACTCTGGCTTCTCCAGTAAACCAAAGGACATCCACAACTCTAACAGAGGCAGTTCTGCTGCCTGTTTTAGCAGAAGGACAAAAGTTGGTCTTTGGAGCTTAGAGAAGGCAGAACAGGCTGTTGGCATAGCAGCAACTTGGGCATCTTAGGAGGCCAAGGTGGGCGGATCACTTGAGGCCAGGAGTTCCAGACTAGCTTGGGCAACATGGTGAAACACCATCTCTACAAAAAATACAAATATTAGCCGGGCGTGGTGGCACGTGCCTGTAATCCCAGCTACTCAGGAGGCTGAGGCATGAGAATCACTTGAATCCAGGAGGCTGAGGTTGCAGTGAGCTGAGATCACAGCCTGGGCAACAGAGGGAGACTCCGTCTCAAAAAAAAAAAAAAAAAAAAAAAAACTTTTAAAATTCAACTGGGGTGGGGGTTTGGCCTCAAAAGAATGAATAAGAGGACCGCAGTCAGGAACTTGAGCCTGGGGTCAGTGCTATCTTTTTGCCTATGAAATCTGTCAATCCCCTGTGTCTAAGCTGTGGGGGAGGGGTAGGTGGGGAGCAGGCTGGGGGGCCCTTGTCCCTTACCCTCCACTCTTGGCCCAGGGGAAGAATGGCTGGTCACCACAGTAGGGGCGTACCTCCCAGCGGTGTTTGAGGAGGTTCTGGATTTGGTGGACGCCGTCATCCTTACGGAAAAGGTTGGTGCTCTGGGGGCTGTGGTTTAAGGGACCTGGGGCTAGGGAACCCTCCGAGTGGCAGAGAATGGTGGTAGAATGGCATGAGAGTAAAAGAGAAGCAATAATTTTAGGGTCACTTAAAAAAATTCAGAGATCAGATTGCCTGAGTATTCTGGATCATCTGAAGGGTTAAATAGTCTTTCTGGGGCTGGGCGCAATGACTCACATCTGTAATCTCAGCAATTTGGAAGGCTGAGGCAGGAGGATCACTTGAGGCCAGGAGTCTGAGACCAGCCTGGGCAACACAGTGAGAACTCATCGCTACAAAAAATTTAAAAATTAGCTGGGTGTAGTGGAGCATGCCTGTAATTCCAGTTACTCCAGAGGCGCTGAGGCAGGAGAATCGCTTGAACCCCAGAGGCAGAGGTTACAGTGAGCCATGATCATGCCACTGTGCTCCAGCCTGGGCAACAGAGCGAAACCCTGTCTCAAAAAAAAAAAAAAAAAACAAAGCCGGTCGGGTGCAGTGGCTCATGCCTGTAATCCTAGCATTTTGGGAGGCTGAGGTGGGAGGATCACCTGAGGTCAGGAGTTCAAGACAAACCTGGCCAACATGGCGAAACCCCATCTCTACTAAAAATACAAAAATTAGCTGGGCATGGTGTCACCCACCTGTAATCCCAGCTGTACTCAGGAGGCTGAGGCAGGAGAATCGCTTGAACCTAGGAGGCGGAAGTTGCAGTGAGCTGAGATCGCACCTTTGCACTCTAGCCTGGGCAACAAGAGAGAGACTCCGATTTAAAAAAAAAAAAAAACAATCCCTGGATTGGTAGAAATTGTCTCTGAGATCTGGGAGCATTGGGAGCATTTGGTGGCCAATGGGGCTCGCAGATCCCCTGAAGTTGGAGGCAGGTCACTCAAATACCCAACATGTTGCTCTGCAGACAGCCCTGCACCTCCGGGCTCGGCGGAACTTCCGGGACTTCAGGGGAGTGTCCCGCCGCACTGGGGAGGAGTGGCTGGTAACAGTGCAGGACACAGAGGCCCACGTGCCAGATGTCCACGAGGAGGTGCTGGGGGTTGTGCCCATCACCACCCTGGGCCCCCACAACTACTGCGTGATTCTCGACCCTGTCGGACCGGATGGCAAGAATCAGCTGGGGCAGAAGCGCGTGGTCAAGGTGAGGTCCCTACACCCCCACAGAGGACTGCCCTGGGAGATGTATGTCCTCTAGTGGCATGAGGCCCTCTGCCTTCTCTCCTCCAGACGCACGTTCTAGGAACACCTTCTGTGCCTTTGCATGCTTAGTTCTTACACACCTGAGACACTGGCCCATTTGATTCCTGGCAGCCTCTGACTTACCCCTCAGACCTGAAGTTAATTCCCCTTCTGGGAAGGCCTCCTGGCTACCCGCTGCCTGAGACTCTGAAACTCTGATACAGTCATGCGCCACTTAATGATGGGGATACATTCTGAGAAATAGTCCTTAGATGATTTTGTCTTTGTGCAAAAGAGTGCACTTATGCAAACCTAGATGGCACCTAGTCTAGATGGCGTAGCCTGCCCCTAGGCTGCCAACCTGTGCAGCATGTGACTGTCCTGAATACTGCAGGCAGCTGAACACAATGGCAAGTACTTGTGTATCTAGCCATAGAAAAGGTAAGGTAAAAATACAATATAAAAGCTTCGTTATAGGCCAGCACAGTGGCTCATACGTGTAATCCCAGCACTTTGGGAGGCCGAGGCAGGTGGATCACTTGAGGTCAGGAGTTCGAGACTAGCCTGGCCAACGTGGGGAAACCCTGTCTCTACTAAAAATACAAAAATTAGCCAGGTGTGGTGGCACACACCTGTAATTCCAGTTACTCGGGAGGCTGAGGCACGAGAATCACTTGAACCCTGGAGATCAAGCCTGTGGTGAGCCGAGATCGTGCCACTGCACTCTAGCCTGGGCGATAGAGTGAGACTCTCAGAAAAAAAAAAAATCTCCATTATAATCTTACGGGACCACCATGTGCAGTCTGTAATGGACTGAACTATCATGCAGTGACTATATTTCACATCTTTAATATCCTGGTGTTCACTTTGCTTTGTCATCTTTTGTAAAATAAACCTCTTGGTTTACCCTCTCCCACCCCCTACTTCATCCCCTCTCTGAACTATATGTGGGAATACCAGCAGTTGCCAAACTCATTCTGTAAAGGGGGCTGGATGGTAGATACTCCAGGCTCCGTGAGTCATTGTTTCTGTGGAAGTTCTTCAACTCTGCTGTTATGTCAGGAAAGCAGCTTGGGCACTACGTAAACAAGTGAGTACTGCCATGCTCCTGGAATAGTTTATCTGCAAAAACAGGAGGCAGAAAAAGTAGAAATAGGCCAGGCATGGTGGCTTACATGTGTAATCCCAGCACTTTACGAGTCCAAAGCGGGTGGATCGCTTGAGGTCAGGAGTTAGAAACCATCCTGGCCAACATGGCAAAACCCTTTCTCTACTAAAAATACAAAAAAATTAGCTGGGCATGGTGTCAGGCACCTGTAATCCCAGCTTCTCTGGAGGCTGAGGCAGGAGAATTGCTTGAACCCGGGAGGCGGAGGTTGCAGTGAGCCGAGATCACACCACTGCACTCCAGCCTGGGTGACAGAGCAAGACTGTCTCAAAAAAAAAAAAAAATTAGAAATAACCCAAATGTACATATATAATGAATGGATAAAAAATTGTAGCATATCCATACAATGGAATATCATTCAGCCATAAGAAAGAAATGGCAGGCCAGGCGCAACAGCTCATGACTATAATCCCAGTGCTTTGGGAGGCCGAGGCAGGAGGATTGCTTGAAGCCAGGAGTTTGAGACCAGCCTGGGTAACATAGTGAGACCCCATTTTTACAAAAACTTTTAAAAATTGACCAGGCATGGTGGCACACCTGTAGTCCCAGCTATTTGGGAGGCTAAAGTGGGAAAATCGCTTGACCCCAGGAAGTGGAGTGTATAGTGAGCTATGATTGTGCCACTGTACTCCAGCCTGAGGCAGTAGAGTGAGATCCTGTCTCTAGGAAAAACAAAAAATAATGACATACGTGCTACAACATGGATAAAATTGAAAATGTTATGCTAAGTGAAAGAAGCCAGCTGGACGCAGTGGCTCACGCCTGTAATCCTAACACTTTAGGAGGCTGAGGTGGGCACATCACCTGAGGTCAGGAGTTCAAGACCAGCCTGGCCAACATGGTGAAGCCCCGTCTCTGTTAAAATACAAAAATTAGCTAGCATGATGGCGGGTGCCTGTAATCCCAGCTACTGCTCGGGAGGCTGAGACAGGAGAATCTCTTGAACCTGGAAGACAGTAGTTGCAGTGAGCCGAGATCCCACCACTGCACTCCAGCCTGGGCTGCTGAGCCGAGACTCCATCTCAAAAAAAGAAAAAGAAAAAAGCCAGACATCAAAGACCACATATTGCATGATTCCATTTATGTGAAATGTCCAGAATAGGTAAACACATAAAGAAAATAGACTAGTGGTGGGTGGGGTAGGTGGGGAGTGGCAGTAACTTCTAGGTACAGGATTTCTTTTCAGGGTGATGACGAAAATACTCTAGACTTAACATAGCAGTGATGGTTGGACAACTTTGAGTATACTAAAACAACTGAATTGTGAATTGTATACTCTAGATGGGAAAATTTCATATGTGGATTATATCTCAAAATTTTTTTAAGAAACAGGCGGTGCTGGGCGTGGTGGCTCACATCTATAATCCCAGCACTTTGGAAAGCTGAGGTGGGTAGATCGCTTGAGTCTAGGACTTTGAGACCAGCTTAGGCAGCATGGCAACACCCCATCATCTACGAAGCACACAAAAATTAGCTGGGTGTGGTGATGCGCATCTGTAGTCCCAGCTCCTTGGGAGGCTGAGGTGGGAGGATTGCTTGAGCCTGGAAGGTTGAGGCTGCAGAGAGCTGAGATCATGCCACTGCACTATCCAGCCTGGGCAAGAGAGGAAGACTATCTCAAAAAAAAAAAAAAAAAAAAAAAAAGGCAGAATCCAGATTTGGCCTGAAAACCAGAGTTTGTCAAGCCCTAGGTTACACCATCTCTAGAAAACAAAGCCTGGGAGAAAGAAGAAAAAACAGGTTGATTTTTAATGGTTTAGCTTGCGTGGATCCAGGTCCTGACAGTTATGGAATCTTTCAAGGACACATTTGACCAGATGAGATTTGGCAGGCGTTTGTGTAGAGCCTCACAGTCCAGACAGTGCCTCACCGTATTATGATGTGGGGGTGGGGGCGGGCTTCTGGTGCTCTTGTCCTCCACACAGGCCTGAAACAGCACAGGACTGGGGAGGTACCATTGGAAGCACCCGCAACCCTAAAGGCACTGACCCTAACCTCACGTCTCCCCACTAGGGAGAGAAGTCTTTTTTCCTCCAGCCAGGAGAGCAGCTGGAACAAGGCATCCAGGATGTGTATGTGCTGTCGGAGCAGCAGGGGCTGCTGCTGAGGGCCCTGCAGCCCCTGGAGGAGGGGGAGGATGAGGAGAAGGTCTCACACCAGGCTGGGGACCACTGGCTCATCCGCGGACCCCTGGAGTATGTGCCATCTGCCAAAGTGGAGGTGGTGGAGGAGCGCCAGGCCATCCCTCTAGACGAGAACGAGGGCATCTATGTGCAGGATGTCAAGACCGGAAAGGTAATGGCTGGGAGTGAGCAGCAGTGCTGCCACGTGGCCTTGGCCTTGGTGGCGGCTTCCTCTGGGTGTGTGGAAGAGGTGGGCAGGGACTTCAGCAGCATGGAGAGCCATATCAGGTGGGCTGTCTGGTTGGGGGAGGGCACTACGTGGAGTGTTTGCCATCCTTCTGCCTTAAATGTCTCATTTGAAATGTTAGAACCAACCAGGTGCGGTAGCTCACATCTGTAATCTCAGCACTTTGGGAGGCCGAGGCGGGCGGATCACCTGAGGTCAGGAGTTCAAGACTAGCCTGGCCAACATGGGAAACCCTGTCTCTACTAAAAGTACAAACATTAGTCAGGCGTGGTGGTGGTCTGAGTAGTCCCAGATACTTGGGAGGCTGAGACAGGAGAATTGCTTGAACTGGGAAGCGGAGGTTGCAGTGAGCCGAGATCACACCACTGCACTTCAGCCAGGGTGACAGAGTGAGACTCTGTCAAAAAAAAATATTAGCATGTCCACTGAGAGGACAAGTGGGGGTTTAGGACAGGGACCCTTTCCCACAGCAGACCTGGTTTCCAGCATAAAGGTCTGATGGGGTGGCCAGGGAACAGGAAGGACCTCCTCCCTCATGCCCATATCCCGGTGGAATCTTTCATTTTTTTCTGCTTCACCTAAAACCTTGACCTTGATTTGACCTCGGGCCACATCTCCAACCTTCTCTAAGAATCCAAGCTGGAAGTCCAGCTTGGAATCCGAGGGAGCATCCGTGTACACAGCCTACTTCACCATCCCCGAGGTGCCCTCCAAACTGCCCCATGAAGGAAGATTCTAGAAATAACATTGAGCACCTTCTCTATGCCAAGAGCTGTTTGAGCTAGACATGTGAAGATGTCATTCACCCCTAGACCCTGCAAGGTAGCCACCGTCAAGTCCACTTGACACATGAGGAAACTGAAGCCCAAGGGGTGAGGTAGTTAGCCCACGATGACAGGGCCAGCAGATGGCAAACCCGGGGTGGAGCCTGGCCTCCCCGTAGAGAAGGTGTTTAACCTCGTGGCGCGCCTTCCCTGGATGGGCTCTGCTTTGGGACAGCTGGGCGGATCTTCCTCCCTTCCACCCTTACGGGCAGCTTCCCTCCCTGTCCTCGTCCCAAGGTGCGCGCTGTGATTGGAAGCACCTACATGCTGACCCAGGACGAAGTCCTGTGGGAGAAAGAGCTGCCTCCCGGGGTGGAGGAGCTGCTGAACAAGGGGCAGGACCCTCTGGCAGACAGGGGTGAGAAGGACACAGCTAAGAGCCTCCAGCCCTTGGCGCCCCGGAACAAGACCCGTGTGGTCAGCTACCGCGTGCCCCACAACGCTGCGGTGCAGGTGTACGACTACCGAGAGAAGCGAGCCCGGTGAGTGCTGGCAGCGCAGGGTGTAGGGGGTGGCTCTCCATGGGTCTGGCTCTGACCCTCGGCTGTCTCTGCAGCGTGGTCTTCGGGCCTGAGCTGGTGTCGCTGGGTCCTGAGGAGCAGTTCACAGTGTTGTCCCTCTCAGCTGGGCGGCCCAAGCGTCCCCATGCCCGCCGTGCGCTCTGCCTGCTGCTGGGGCCTGACTTCTTCACAGACGTCATCACCATCGAAACGGCGGATCATGCCAGGCTGCAACTGCAGCTGGCCTACAACTGGTAAAAATGGGGACAGGGCATGGGGGTGCATTCCTGGAATCCCAGCACTTTGGGAGGCTGAGGTGGGAGGATCACTTGAGCCTAGGAGGTCCAGGCTGCAGTGAGCCTTGATGGCCCCACTATACTCCAGCCTGGGTGACAGAGCAAGACCCTGTTTCTTTGTTTTTTGTTTTTTTAGTTTTTTGGTTTTTTGGTTTTTTGGTTTTTTTTGAGACCGAGTTTCACTCTTGTTGCCCAGGCTGGAGTGCAATGGCGCGATCTTGGCTCACTGCAACCCCCACCTCCCGGATTCAAGCGAGTCTCCTGCCTCAACCTCCCAAGTGGCTAGGATTACAGGCATGTGCCACCATGCCCAGCTAGTTTTGTATTTTTAGTAGAGATGGGGTTTCTCCATGTTGGTCAGGCTGGTCTCGAACTCCTGACCTCAGGTGATCCGCCTGCCTCGGCTTCCCAAAGTGCTGGGATTACAGGCATGAGCCACTGCACCCGGTCAACCCTGTTTCAAAACAAAAAAAACAAACCGGGTGGCAAGCAGTGGGTGAGGGTTCCTGCTGGGTGCAGCCTAGGAACCCCAAGAAAAGGAGGGTCCTGCTCAAGTGCTGGTGCTGGGCTCCTCATGAAGGCAGGACACCTCATTCAGTGCTGAGGTCAAGAGGGAACCTAGGAGTTCACGCAAATCCAGGGAAGGCGTGGGCTCACCTCCTGGGGTCAGGACTCAGGGATCCAGTAGCAGGACACTACCCCAACTAAGCTCCCAGTGAGCGTGCAGCCAAATGCGTAACTGTCGGGCTGTTAAAAGATGCATGGGACACAGCTGGCGGGAGTGGGCAGTGCAAGGGGGCGGTGAGAACTCAAGTTCAGAAACTGACTGCCCTGGCCTGCGCCCCCGCCCTGCTGTTTGCAGCCTGTGGACCTGGGGAAGGGACAGGGTGCTTTCCTCAGTTTCCCCATCTGTAACATGAGGAAGACAGCATTTTCTCCTTCACAAGGCCATTGAAAAGATGCAATGAGTGTTAGAACAGTGCCTCTATTGGTCAGAGCTCAATAGCAGCTATTAGGATTGGGTGAGATAAGTCATGTACAGAAACAGTGTTCATGACTGGGTACTGTGGCTCACACCTGTGATCCCAGCACTTTGGGAGGCTGTGGCAGGAGGATTGCTTGAGGCCAGGAGTTTGAGACCAGGCTGGGCAACATAACAAGACTCTGTTTCAAAAAAAAAAAATTTATAAACTAGCTGGGCATGGTGGTACATGTCTATAGACCCAACTACTTGGAAGGCTGAGGTGGGAAAATTGCCTGAGCCCAGGAATTTGAGGCTGCAGCAAGCTATGATTGTGCCACCACACTCCAGCCTGGACAACAGAGACCCACAGAGACCCTGTCTCGGAGGAAGGGAGGAAGGGAGGAAGGGAGGAAGGGAGGAAGGGAGGAAGGGAGGGAGGGAGGGAGGGAGGGAGGGAGGGAGGAAGGGAGGAAGGGAGGGAGGGAGGGTCAGGCGTGGTGGCTCATGCCTGTAATCACAGCACTTTGGGAGACTGAGGCAGGCAGATCACTTGAGGTCAGGAGTTTGAGACCAGCCTGGCCAACATGGTGAATCCCTGTCTCTACTAAAAATACAAAAATTAGCCAGGCCTGGTTGTGGGCACCTGTAGTCCCAGCTTGTAGTCCCAGCTACTCAAGAGGCTGAGGCAGGAGAATCTCTTGAATCCGGGAGGCGGAGGTTGCAGTGAACCCAGATCGAGCCACTGCACTCCAGCCTGGGCGACGGAGCAAGACTGTCTCCAAAAAGAATATTCAATACTCCCAAGCATGTCCCTCACCTCTTAGCTGAGAGCAGCCAGTGCCCTGATGGCGGCAGACAGCTGCCGACATATTCCCAGGGCTGCCGACATATTCCCAGGCACTACAACATCATAGTTAAGAGCACAGGCCCCAGAAGCAGCTGCCTGGTTCAGCTTTCTGGCTTGTCACATGTTATATGGCAAGTCTTGGGCCAGCCACTTGACTTCCCTGGACCTCTACTTCCTCATCTGTAAAATGGGGGTGGTGATCATTGCCATCTCATAGGGTGGCTGAGTGGGATTAAAGGAGAACGTGTGTTAAGTTTTTAGGACCTTACCAGGCATACATTAGCATTCTCTATTGCGAGAGACCCTGCCCGGCCACACAGGATGGGTGTTGAAGTTCTTCTCGGAGAGAGTTGCTGGCTGGGCGTGATCACACATGTAGTCCCAGCACTTTGGGAGGCTGAGGTTGGGGGGTTGCCTGAGCCCAGGAGTTCAAGACCAGCCTGGGCAACATGGCAAGACCTTGTCTCTTCTAAAGAGAGATTCCTGGGTGAAAGCAGCTTCCCCATTCTGGGCCTGTTTGTTCACAGGCACTTTGAGGTGAATGACCGGAAGGACCCCCAAGAGACGGCCAAGCTCTTTTCAGTGCCAGACTTTGTAGGTGATGCCTGCAAAGCCATCGCATCCCGGGTGCGGGGGGCCGTGGCCTCTGTCACTTTCGATGACTTCCATAAGAACTCAGCCCGCATCATTCGCACTGCTGTCTTTGGCTTTGAGACCTCGGAAGCGAAGGGCCCCGATGGCATGGCCCTGCCCAGGCCCCGGGACCAGGCTGTCTTCCCCCAAAACGGGCTGGTGGTCAGCAGTGTGGACGTGCAGTCAGTGGAGCCTGTGGATCAGAGGACCCGGGACGCCCTGCAACGCAGCGTCCAGCTGGCCATCGAGATCACCACCAACTCCCAGGAAGCGGCGGCCAAGTAAGTGAGGCTGGGAGCTCGGCTGCCTATAATGCCCATGGCAGGCCACTGCTGGGAACTGGATAACCTGGCATCCCTTGTGGACTGCCTGCTGCCATCCCTACCCTCAAAGATCTATTCCCTACCCAACAGATCAGGTGACCCACTTAAAATGTGAATCAGGCTGGGCGCGGTGGCTCATGCCCGTAATCCCAGCACTGTGAGAGGCTGAGGCAGGAAGATCACTTGAAGCCAGGAGTTTGAGGCTGCAGTGAGCCATGATTGCGCCACTGCACTCCAGCCTGGGCAACAGGCCTGGGAGACTGACCCTGTCTCAAAAGAAAAAAAAAAAAAAAAGCACGTATCAGATGTGGCTCCTGCAGCCTCCCATCTTGCATGTGATAAAACCTAAACTCCTTCCTGCAGCTCCAGCCGGCCTCCCCCGATTTGCCTTCTAGCCTCCCCCTTCCATGCTCCTCGTCCCTGGAACATGTTCCAGCTGACATGTTCCAGCCCCACTGGCTTCCTCTGCTCCTTCAATGCACAGCTTGGACCCACCTGAAGGCCTTTTGCAATGGCTATTCCTGCTGCCCAGAAAGCTTCCCCCCGCCCCTGAGCTCCCTTCCAGGCAGGCTTCTCCTTCTGGCTTCAGCCCAAAGATCCCCTCCTTGGGGAACACTTTTCTTTCTCTCACAGCTGAATAGCACCCTCTTTGCCTGGTCTCTCCCACACTTGTCACTGTCTGAAATCCTCCTTGTATACTTGTTCTTTTCCCACTCAAGTGGCGTGAAAGTAGGGGGCCGCAGTCACGCCTGCATTTGTCCGGCCTAGAATGACACTGGCTTGTGGCGCGTATACCATTCTGGGTTGAGTTGCGTATTGGGTGCCTTCTAGGGGCTGGGGTCTGTCCTGGGCACCGGTTTGGTTGGTGGCCGCTGCCCTTGGCGCTCCTGTTCCTGCTCTGGCCCCATGCCAGCCTCTCACCTGCGCTCCGTCTCCTCCAGGCATGAGGCTCAGAGACTGGAGCAGGAAGCCCGCGGCCGGCTTGAGCGGCAGAAGATCCTGGACCAGTCAGAAGCCGAGAAAGCTCGCAAGGAACTTTTGGAGCTGGAGGCTCTGAGGTGGGTTGAGAACTAGAGGAGGAGACTGGCAGGGGCCGAGGGTCTTAGGACAGCAGCTGGTGTGGGCAGCAGGCCTGGGTGGGGTGTCGATGAGACAGTGCACGGCTACAGCATAAGCCAAGGCCGTGGGGGGACTGGGCTGTCTCCCGGGTCTTACCTGACTCTGCCTTCTCCCCAGCATGGCCGTGGAGAGCACCGGGACTGCCAAGGCGGAGGCCGAGTCCCGTGCGGAGGCAGCCCGGATTGAGGGAGAAGGGTCCGTGCTGCAGGCCAAGCTAAAAGCACAGGCCTTGGCCATTGAAACGGTGAGTGGGGGGAGGCATTAAGAAGAGGGTGGCCTTGAGTCCTGGAAAAGGCCCATTCCCTACAGTCCCTGAGACTGTATAGGACACCAGGTCCCCCAACATAAAGCCCTATCCAAGTACTTTGCATTTGCAAAGTCCTTTGCCTTGTAGGATTCATTGACTCCATTGCTGGAAGGTAAGGATTAGAACACCCATTTTGCAGCTGGGCGCTCATGCACTGGCCACCTTGGCACAAGTGCTGTGTATGCTTCATAGGCATTATCTTATTTAATGCTTGAAATCCCATTAAGAGGCCGGGTGCAGTGGCTCACGCCTGTAATCCTAGCACTTTGGGAGGCCGAGGCGGGTGGATCACCTGAGGTCAGGAGTTCAAGACCAGCTTGGCCAACATGGTGAAACCCCATCTCTACTGAAAATACAAAAAATTAGCTGGGTATGGTGGCATGTGTCTGTAACCCCAACTACTTGGTAGGCTGAGGCAGGAGAATTGCTTGAACCCAGGAGGTGTGGAGGCTGCGGTGAGCTGAGGTTGTGCCACTACACTCCAGCCTGGGCAACAAGAGTGAAACTCCATCTCAAAAATAAAGTAAATAAAAATAAATGTAAAAAGAGGCCTAGTGTGGTGCCTCAGGTCTCTAACCCCAGCACTTTGGAAAGCTGAGATGGGAGGATCATTTGAGGTCAGTTCGAGACCAGTTCAAGACTAGCCTGGGCAACATAGCAAGACCTCATCTCTACAAAAACAAAATTTTTTAATTGACTGGGTGTGGTGGCACATGCCTGTAGTCCCAGCTACCCAGGAGGCTGAGGCAGGAGGATCCTTTGAGCCAGGAGTTCAAGGCTGCAGTGAGTCCTGATCTGCATTCCAGCCTGGGTCAAAAAATAAAGAATGATTGATTTTTCCTCTTCCAGGAGGCTGAGCTCCAGAGGGTCCAGAAGGTCCGAGAGCTGGAACTGGTCTATGCCCGGGCCCAGCTGGAGCTGGAGGTGAGCAAGGCTCAGCAGCTGGCTGAGGTGGAGGTGAAGAAGTTCAAGCAGATGACAGAGGCCATAGGCCCCAGCACCATCAGGGACCTTGCTGTGGCTGGGCCTGAGATGCAGGTGAGAGTTGGGGAAGGTGTGTTGGTTTCAGGACCAACCTTGAAACCAGGAAGGCAGAGCCAAGGCGGAAAACACAACATCTGGAAAGATTGTGGGGAAGGGAGGGGTGAGTGACCTGACCCACGATGCAGGGACATTCACACAGTGTCACGCTGCATCAACGTCAGGCACTGTACTAGACCCAGCAGTGAGCCAGAGCTCCGGAGGAGACAGGAAATGGATGGGACGCCAGTCTGACAGGCATTTCCAAGGCAGTCAAGCAGGGTGGTCAGATGCAGGGGAGGTGACCCTTCAAACCAGCTGACTTAAGGAGGGTCACTCTGAAGTGGCCAGGGTTTGACGCCCATCTCAACTTCCTCCTGTTCTCACCCTCCAGGTAAAACTGCTCCAGTCCCTGGGCCTGAAATCAACCCTCATCACCGATGGCTCCACTCCCATCAACCTCTTCAACACAGCCTTTGGGCTGCTGGGGATGGGGCCCGAGGGTCAGCCCCTGGGCAGAAGGGTGGCCAGTGGGCCCAGCCCTGGGGAGGGGATATCCCCCCAGTCTGCTCAGGCCCCTCAAGCTCCTGGAGACAACCACGTGGTGCCTGTACTGCGCTAACTCCTGATTAATACAATGGAAGTTTCTGGGCATTTACAATTTCAACACTTTTCTCTTGTCTGACATTGGTTGGGGTTACCAGGGAGCTTAATGGTGGGGAGGGGAGGTGCCCCTGGCATCTTTTTTTTTTTTTTCGAGCTGGAGTCTTGCTCTGTCACCCAGGCTGGAGTGCAGTGGTGTGATCTCTGCTCACTGTAACCTCCACCTCCCAGGTTCAAGTGATTCTCCTGCCTCAGCCTCCTGAGTAGCTGGGATTACAGGCACGTGCCACCACGCCCAGCTAATTTTTGTATTTTTTAGTAGAGATGGGGTTTCACCATGTTGGCCAGGCTGGTCTCGAACTCCCAACCTCAGGTGATCTACCTGCCTCGGCCTCCCAAAGTGCTGGGATTACAGGTGTGAGCCACTGTGCCCGGTCAACATCTTTAGATAGTTACAGGAGACTCTTCTCCTCCATAAAGGGGAGAGGACCCCGAGGCAGGGGAAGGATGAGCTGGAAGTCACCCAGTAGGAATGTGGCCCCAAAGCCTTGTGCACTGGGCTTCCTAGAGCCCAGATAGGGGTGATGATGCCACGGGTGGGGGCATGGGGCCCACAATGGCAACATCTCACCACTGGTTCTCCAGGAGCCCAGCTGCCTGGTAGCTCTCAGCTGTTGCAGATGCAACCCAGCTTCCCATTCGGGAGGCGCCCTCCAGCGCCACCTGCTGGAGCACCCACAGCACCAGCAGACGTGTCAGGCTTGCACCCGGTGCTGTGCGCTTGTCCCTTCCCAGGTGGGGGTGTCAGGTTGGGGAGGAGGACCCTGCCTAGGGCAGTAGGAATTGGGCATCTCCTTGAGCTTCCGGTCTGGGCTGTTTGGGAGCACTGAAGGAGGAGTGCCCTTATCCCACCTTCTCCCCCACAACCAGTATGGGGTCCTCATTTGAGAGAAGGATCCAGGTGCAGTCAGCCTGGGTGCACTAGCCCTTTGGGGCCAGGAACAGTTGTAGGTGCCAGGCCTGCCCCGTCTCTGCCGAGGAAGTAAAAAGATCCCAGGGGCCGAGTGCAAGAGCTTAGGCCTGTAACCCCAGCACCTTGGGAGGCCAAGGCACAAGGATCACTTGAGACTAGGAGTTCGAGACCAGCCTGGGCAACATAGCAAGACCCCCATCTCTACCAAAAAAAAAAAAAAAAAAGCAAAAGCCAGATGTTATGGCATGCATCCGTGTTCCCAGCTACTCGGGGGGCTAAGGTGAGAGGATTGCCTAAGCCCAGAAGTTGGAGGCAGCAGTGAGCTATGATCATACCACTGCAGTCCAGCCTGGGTGACAGAGGGAGACCCTGTCTCTATAAAAAAAAACAAAACAAACAAAACCCTTAAAGCCTCCCTAAAGCCCTCATTTTCACCTTCCTGTAATATTGAGTGGAAAAAGCCCGATCCCCCCTTAAACCACCTCCCTCCCTCTCTGCCCTGCCCCTGACCGTTGCTGCAGGAGGAACACCCCACGGAGCTGACTGATCTTATTTTAAACTCATGGGAACAAATTTTGAGGGAGGTGCAGCTTCTCTGGCTGTGCTGCTCTGTCTTGTGTGCGATCCGCTTTGAGACAACCATTCACACCACCTCTCCTCTCAGCCTCCTACACCCCTGCCCACTTTCTCTCACCTCTTTGAGAAAATAGAAGCAAATTGGGTAGGAAGGCCCTTCCCAGCAACAAACCTAACAAACTGCTGGCATCTAGACTGTCCTCCCTCCTCTTCCCACCCTGGGCTCCTCCCCTTGGGCTCTAGGAGAGAGGGCTGCATTCCTTCACTGATTGCCGTCCTCTCCTGTGCTGTCAATTTTTTTTTCTTTTTTTTTTTTTTCTTGAGACTGAGTCTCGCTCTGTCACCCAGGTTGGAGTGCAGTGGCGTGATCTCAGCTCACTGCAACCTCTGCCTCCTGGATTCAAGTGATTCTCCTGCCTCAGCCTCCCGAGTTGCTGGGACTACAGTCATGCACCACCATGCCCTGCTAATTTTTGTATTTTTGGTAGACATGGGGTTTTGCCATCTTGTCCAGACTGATCATGAACCCCTGACCTCATGATCTGCCTGCCTTGGCCCCCCAAAGGGCTGGGATAACAGGTGTGAGCCACTGTACCCAGCTGATATGCCATCAATTTCTTCTCTCCTGCATCATCATCATCAGGATATAGACATGTCTACTCTGTCCATATAAAACAACTCCCTTAACCCTATGAGCCCCTCTAACTTCCACCTCTCCTTTTTCCATCACAGCCAAATTTTTCCAGAGTTCTCTGTGGTCTCACTTTCCATTCCTCATCTCTCATTATCTCTTCAAACCACTCCAGATAGGGCCAAACGTGGTGGCTCACGCCTGTAATCCCAGCACTTTGGGAGGCCGAGGTGGGTAGATCACCTGAGGTCGGGAGTTCAAGACCAGCCTGGCCGACATGGTGAAACCCTGTCTCTACTAAAAATACAAAAGTGAGCCAGGTGTGGTGGTGGGTGCCTGTAATCCCAGCTACTCGGCAGGCTGACGGAGGAGAATCGCTTGAACCTGGGAGGCAGAGGTTGTAGTGAGCGAGATTGCGCCATTGTACTCCAGCCTGGGCAACAAAAGCAAAACTCCGACTCAAAAAAACACCCCAGTTTGCTTCTGTCTCTGCCCCTTACTTTATGGAAACTGCTTTATTCGGCATCACCAGTAATGTCCCGTTGCTAAATCCAGTAGTTGATCGGTCACTTGGCACAGTTGGCCATTCCTCCCATGCTGGGCTTTCCTGACATCACCTGTTCTAGTTTTCTTTCTCGCTTCTCTCAGTAGGTTCCCTAAGGCCCACTTCTCATGCTGACATTCTTGTCCAATCGCATGACCTCAGATGGTCTCTATACCACTGACCTCAGAATCCATTACTCCAGCTCCGACCTCACCCAAGAGCTCTGGACTCATTTCCAATCCATGCCTTGATGTCTCCACGTGGACCTCAATTGGTGATCAGGCTTTGGCTCTTGCCAATGAAATGCAAGGGGAAATGACATCACATGCCTGTTCTTCCCTTTTCCATATAAATGGGTGACCAGCAATGTTCCAAGTGGAAGCTGCTCCAACCACCTGGGTCCCAGGGAGAAAATGGCATGAGGTGCAGCCACAGCTGACCTGCAACAGACATGTGGCAGGAGTGAGAAATGTTTGCTGTATTAAGCAACGGAGATTTGGGGGGTTTTGTTACCACAGTATAACCTAGCCTATCCTGACTACTTTGTGTGCCTCACAGGATTGTAAGATCTCATAGGTCATAGGGGAAACTCCTCTAAATTGTATGCAAGGGGCCAGGTGCAGTGGCTCACGCCTGTTATCCCAGCACTTTGGGAGGCCGAGGTGGGTGGATCACCTGAGGTTGGGAGTTCAAGACCAGCCTGGCCAACATGGTGAAACCCCGTCTCTACTAAAAATACAAAAAAAAAAAAAAAAACACAAAAAAAACTAGGCGTGGTGGCACACGTCTGTAATTCCAGCTACTCAGGAGGCTGAGGCAGGAGAATCGTTTGAACCCCGGAGGTGGAGGCTGCAGTCTGCCGAGATCGTGCTACTGCACTCCAGCCTGGGAGAGGGCAAAACTCCATCTTAAAAAAAAAAAAAAAAAATTATATGCACGAAGAGGGGCCCAGCACAGGCCATAGAGTGGGGAAGACAGGACTTGCTGGAAATACAGTGAGCTTCTGTCTCCAAAAAAAAAAAAAAAAAAAAAAATTAGATTAATTTTTTTTTAACTTTACATTTTTAAAATTTTAATTATTAGGTTTAACCTCAAATTTTTTTTTTTTTTTTTTTTTGAGACAGGGTCTTGCTCTGGCTTGGTGGTTAAATATTTTGAATTTCATCCCTGGGGCTTAGGGTTGCCCCAAGCAACCTGTTTACTGAAAGAAGCCTGAAATATACATTGAATTTTTTTTTCTTTTTAGACAGAGTCTCGCTTTGTCGCCCAGGCTGGAGTGCAGTGGCATGATCTCGGCTCACTGCAACCTCTGCTTCCCAGGTTCGAGCAATTCTCCTACCTCAGCCTCCTGAGTAGCGAGAATTACAGGCGTGTGCCACCACGCCTGGCTAATTTTTGTATTTTTTGAGACAGAGTTTTGCTACTGTTGCCCAGGCTGGAGTGCAATGGCACAATCCCGGCTCACTGCAACCTCTGCTTCCTGGGTTCAAGCGATTCTCCTGCCTCAGCCTCCCAGGTAGCTGGGATTACAGGTGCCTGCCGCCACACCCAGGTAATTTTTGTATTTTTAGTAGAGATGAGGTTTCACCATGTTGGCCAGGCTGGTCTTGAACTCCTGACCTCAGGTGATCTGCCCGCCTTGGCCTCCCAAAGTGCTGGGGTTACAGGCATGAGCCACAGCGCCTGGCCCTAGTTTTTTATATCTTAAAAATTAGGCCTATGTCTAATCCAAAAAAAGTGTTTTTAGATTAAATTAGCTAGGTGTGGTGGCATGTGCCTGTAGTCCCAGCTACTCAGGAGGCTGAAGTAGGAGGATCACTTGAGCTCAGGAATTTGAGGCTGCAGTGAGCTATGACGGCATCACTGTACTCCAGCCTGGGCAACAGAGTGAGACCCTGTCTCAAAAACATACATAGAGAACAGTGTGATCTCTGAAGAAGTTCAACACAGCCTGTTTTTCTCTAGCACTAGAACAAATGGCTTTTCTTTGGTTGAATACCAAAGTAATTGATGTGTTGAAGGACCCCCTTTATAAGAAAAATCTGTGTCTTTCAACAGCGAACACATTCAGCATGGTAAGATGCTGTTTACCGAATCAGTTTCCTCTTCCACTTACGCCCACAACTAATCTGTGTCCCAGCTTCCCTTGTCCTCAGACACTGCCGTGTGACCGAGTTGTAGCCAATGGAATGGAAGTGGAAGTAATAAGTGCTAATTTCCTGTCTTTCCATAAAAACTTGGCTCCTGCAACCTCCATACACATCATCTGCCTACATGATGCAAACAAGCTGGGCAGTCCCAGGAGCCACGTGTTGAAAATGGCAGAATCACAGAACAGGAGATGCCCGAATTCCTGAATCGCCGCTTGCAGGAGAGCTGTCTCCCAGTCGGCAGCATCTGATTAAGATTTAATATGAGTTAGAAATAAAATAATGTTCTTTCTTTTTTTTTTTTTTTTTTGAGACAGAGTCTTGCTCTGCCTCCAGGCTGGAGTGCAGTGGCACGGTCTCGGCTCACTGCAACTTCCGCCTCCTGGTTCAAGTGATTCTCCTGCCTCAGCCTCCCGAGTAGCTGGGACTACAGGCGTGCACCACCACACCCAGTTAATTTTTGTATTTTTTGTAGAAATGAGGTTTCACCATGTTGGCCAGGCTGGTCTCGAACTCCTGACCTCAGGTGATCCCCCACCTCAGCCTCCCAAAATGCTGGGATTATAGGTGTGAGCCACCACGCCTGGCCAACTCTTTAACTCTTTTGTAGCAATGGGGACTTGCTATGTTACCCAGGCTAGTCTCAAGCTCCTGACCTCAAGTAATCCTCCTGTTTCAGCCTCCCAAAGTGCTGGGATTACAGGCATGTGCCACCACAACCAGTCTAGAAATAAACTATCATGTTTGAGGCACTACACATCTTGAAGTTTGTTACAGTAGTTAGGGTTATTTTTAATCACAGAAGGAGAGCCTTGAAGACTGAGACTGCCTAGAGGAACAGCAAATGTACAGGTACTGATCTCCTGCCCTCCGAGGCGCAGTCATTGAGTGGAACAAACAAATGAAACTTCTTACACAGTGGCGTGGTGATCATTCATTTATTCTGAAGGCATATAGCTGATTCCAGAAGGCTATTACTGCACATATAACGTGACTCCACTATGTTCCCTAGATCAAATATAGATACTCCAGGGCCCAGGTCAGCTCAGCCTTTCCCCACTCCCCACCTCCAGATCAAGGGCTCTGCAGGTTCTTCCTGAGCCCAGGCCAGCCACTGGACATGGAACGCCGGCACCAGTCTGACTGCGAGCCACGTCCCTGTAGGCCAAGGGGACTTAGAAGCCCTCCTGTGAGTCTTCAGTGCTACCCTACAAGCCTCAGGATGCTCGGGTGCAGATTCTTTTAGACTGCCCGTGCTCACACTCTCCTCCTCAACTCTCTTTTTTAAGATCACATATGGCCAGGTGCAATGGCTCACGCCTACAATCCCACCACTTTAGGAGGCCGAGGCGGGTGGATTACCTGAAGTCAGGAGTTCGAGACCAGCCTGGCCAACATGGAGAAACCCCATCTCTACTAAAAATACTAAATTAGCCGGGCGCGGTGGCGGGTGCCTGTAATCCCAGCTACTCAGGAGGCTGAGGAAGGAGAATTGCTTGAACCCCAGGGGCAGAGATTGTAGTGAGCCGAGATTGCACCACTTTACTCCAGCCTGGGCTAAAGAGTGAAACTTCTGTCTCAAAAAAAAAAAAAAAATCACATATGGCCAGGCATGGTGGTTCATGCCTGTAATTGCAGCACTTTGGGAGGTTGAGGTGGGAGGATCACTTGAGCCCAGGAATTCAAGACCAACCTGGGCAACATAAGGATACCCCATCTCTACAAAAAAATACAAAAATAGTGTGCTGGGGGTGGTGGTGCCGCCTGTAGTCCCAGCTACTCAAGAGGCTGAGGCTGGAGGATCACTTGAGCCCAGGAGGCAGATGTTGTGATGAGTCGAGATGGAGCTACTGCACTGCAACCTGGGTGACAGAGTGAGACCTTGTCTCAAAACAAAACAACTCAATGTAGCTGGATTTACACAGTCAGCCTTCTGATGTCACTGTAAATGGTTAGAGCCAAGGAGCCTAGGAGCCAGCCAGGGACATGGGAGTCAGGCAGGCCAAGGGCTCTGTCCTCTGGGGCTGGAGAGAGAGGACCCACCAGGCTGGAGGAAGAGCCAACAGGAAGGAGAAAGGGCTGCAGGGCAGGCACAGGGACAGCCCCTGACCCAGTCTCCTACCTTGACTGCAGCAGGCCAGGTAGTGGGGTGCCCACAGCTGGAAACGCACCTCAGTTTTTTGTTTTTTGTTCTTTTGAGACGGAGACTCATCTGTCGCCAGGCTGGAGTGCAGTAGCACAATCTTGGTTCACTGCAACCTCTGCCTCCCAGGTTCAGGCGATTTTCCTGTCTCAGCCTCCCGAGTAGCTGGAACTACAGTAGGCGCGTGCCACCACACCCAGGTAATTTTTAGTAGAGACAGGGTTTCACCGTGTTAGCCAGGGTGGTCTCTATCTCCTGACCTCGTGATCTGCCCACCTTGGCCTCCCAAAGTGCTGGGATTACAGGCGTGAGCCACCACACCCACCGCACCTCAGTTTTGTGCACCAATAGCTTCTTCAAGCACAGGTCTGTCCCTGCCACTGTCCTGCTTTAAGCCCCTCAACGTTCATCCTATACGTGTCCCCCAAAAAGCGCGAGATGATTTACCGCAGCACCATTCACAGTGGTAGGACCAGGTTAAACTGAATTTTTTTTTGAGACAGAGTCTCACTCTGTCACCTAGGCTGGAGTGCAGTGGTGCGATCTCAGCTCACTGCAACCTCTGCCTCCCGGGTTCAAGCGATCCTCCTGCCTCAGCCTCCCGAGTAGCTGGGATTACAGGCGCCTGCCACCACGCCTGGCGTTCTATGCAACCATTCAGAAGCCCGCTGGCGTGAAAGTACTGCGTACAATTAAGTGTTCAGGTACAGGCTCTGGAACCAGACTGGCCAGGCTGCCACCTCTCGGGGCCTGTTTCCTCTCTGGGGAATGAGAACAGTAACAGGGCTGTCGTATTGTGTGCAACTGTACAATTGTGAGATAAGATAATGCACGCAAATAGCACTTAGAGCAGGGTAGCTTGTGTTAGCAGAACAGCACATACATAAAATGAATGTTAAGATATGGAAATGGGCTAGACACAGTGGCTCACACCTGTAATTCTAGCGCTTTGAGAAGCCAAAGCAGGAGGATCACTTGAGGCCAGGAGTTTGAGACCAACCTGTGCAACACAGTGATACCCCCATCTCTACAGAAAAACATAAAAATTAGCCGGGCATGGTGGTGCATGCCTGTAGTCCCAGCTGTTCAGCAGGCTGAGGCAGGAGGACTGCTTGAGCCTGAGAGGTCGAGGCTGCAGTGAGCTATGATCATGCCACTGCACTCCAGCCCAGGTGACAGAGAGAGACCCTGTCTCCACAGTAAAATTTTAAAAAGTCCTCTGGGCTCCTAGGCCGCCCCAGCTGGCTTCTGCGTCGCCTCTCACCAGCTCTCCCAGCCCCCAACCCCCACTCCCCCAACCTCCCTGGAGCACTTGGTGCTCCAGGCCCTGTGACCTAGATCTGTTTCTTTTTTTTTTCCCCACCTTGACTGGAGCAGGCCAGGTTGGCAGGGATGGTAGGGGTGCCTGATGCGCTTGAAACACACCTGCTTTGTGCACAATTTTTTTTTTTTTTTTTTAGACGGAGTCTCGCTCTGTCACTGGGCTAGAGTACAGTGGCATGATCTTGGCTTACTGCAACCTCCACCTCCTGGGTTCAAGCAATTCTCCCACCTCAGCTTCCTGCGTAGCTGGGACTACAGGCGTGCACCACCACACCTGGCTAATTTTTGTATTTTTTGTAGAGATGGGGTTTCACCATGTTGGCCAGGCTAGTCTTTAACTCCTGACCTCAAATGATCCACCCCCTTGGGTGGATCCCAGAGTTCTGGGATTACAGGTGTGAGCCACTGTGCCCGGCCTAGATCTGTTCCAATTTCTGTTGTCACTGTAAATGGTTAGAACCAAGGAGCCCAGGAGCCAGTCAGGGATGTGGGACCCAGGCCGACCAAGGGCTCCGTGCTCTGGGGCTGGAGAGTGCTCAGAGGACCCACCATGCCGGAAGAAGAGCTGACAGGAAGGAGAAAGAGGTGCAGAGCCCAGGGGCCTCTCTGGCCTCCCTGCCTTCCCATGCCATTCCCTCAGCTAAGAACCAATCTCCTCTGCACTAACCCTTTCCTCTCCAATCCCTACCAGCCTTCTACATGGGATACCCAGCCCCTTCACCAAACCCTAAATCAGGTCCTAGGTGTCTTCTACTCCCACCCCCAACGAGCACTTTCCTATGTTATTGTAGAGGAAGCCAGCTGCCCAGTACCCAGTGAATCCCCTGGGCCTAGCACAGGAGTTGAGGCTCAGTACATGTCTGGTAAATTTCTGCTCTCCTGGACACGGGGGCCTCTTGGGCCACTTGGCTAAGCTATCATGCAGATAGAATGAGTAACATCTGCAAAGAACCCGCAGCACAGAGTCTGGCATGCGGTACAGTAGTTTAAAAACCACAGATGGCAGGGGATAGATGCCCAGAACAGTGCCTAGTATATGATAGGAGCCCATAAAAAGAGGGAACAGTGTTTCTCAACATTACTGGAAGAATTCCCCGGCATTCAAGTTGCAGGTTTCTGAGCCCATCCCTAGAGCTTCTAACTCTGAAGGTTGGCTGCAGGGTCCAAGAAGTTGCATTTATTTTATTTTTTGAGACATCTTGTTTTGTCGTCCAGGCCGGAGTACAGTAGCATGATCATGACTCACTGCAGCCTTGACTTCCCAGGCTCATTCAATCCTTTCACTGCAGCCTCCCCAGTAGCTGGGACTAAGGCACACACCACCACACTTGGCTAATTTTTGTATTTTTTTTTTTGTAGAGACGGGGTCCTGCCATGTGACCCAGGCTGGTCTTGAACTCCTGGACTCAAGTGATCTTCCCACCTCAGCCTCCCAAAGTGCTGGGATTACAGGCCAGGCGTGAGCCTCCAAGACGGGCCAAAGTTGCTTTTTTTTTTTTTTGAGACTGCCTGGCTCTGCCTCCCAGGCTGGAGTGGCACCATTACGGATCACTGCAACCTCTCCCTCCTGCCTCCCAGGCTCAAGCCATCCTCCCACCTCAGCCTCCTGAGTAGCTGGGACCACAGGCATGTGCCACCACATTTGGCTATTTTTGTTATTTTTTGTAGAGATGGGGTTTCACCATGTTGGTCAGGCTGGCCTCGAACTCCTGTACTAAATCCACCCAACCTTGGCCTTCCAAAATGCTGGGATTACAGGCATGAGCCACCACACCTGGCTTGAATTTGCATTTTAAAGAAATATCCAGCCAGGCTTTGTGGCTCATGCCTGTAATCCCAGCACTTTGAGAGGCTAAGGTGGGAGGATCACTTGAGGTCAGGAGTTTGGGGCTGCAGTGAGCTATGATTGCACCACTGCACTCCAGCTTGGACGACAGAGTAGGACTCTGTCTCTAAAAAAAAAAAAAAAAAAAAAGAAAGAAAAGCAAAAAAGAGAAATAGAAATATACCACAGGTGGTCTAAGGACCACACTCTGAGAAACCAACTCATTGACAGACGAGTATTTATTAAGCAGCTACTATATGCCAGGTTCAAGTTGGTCTTACTCTAGGGATAGAGAAGAGAACAAGAAAAGTCTGTGCCTTCATGGAGTTTACATTCTAGTGAGGGTAGAAAATATCAAGAATATAAATACATGTAGACAGTCAGTGACATCAAACAAGTGGGCGGTGGGGACACCACATGAGCATGGGTGGCAGGAGGGCCTCTCTGTGAGGTCACTGTGGGTAGACGGAGAAGCCAGCCAGCAAACTGGAGGAAAAGCACCCAGACGGACGTCCTTCCCTAAGCTCCCTCAACCCAGGCCCTGAGCCAAGAATATCTGAAAGGAAACCAAGTCAAATAGTGAAGTCCCGCCAGGACCAGGGTAGGCAGGACAGAGGAGCCGGTGACAGGGAAGGCTGTGGATGGCTTCTTCCCTCCTGGGCATGGTGCCCCAAGCTTGCTCTGGCTGGGGGCGGAGGTCTGACTCCCGCCTTTCAGGAAACCTGGCCCTCACACCACCTCCCTCACTCAAGCGTCCCTAGCATCTCGGACCCCAGGACTGAGCAGGCAGGGTGTGACACTGCCCGGTCCCGGCACCCCAGGAGCACCGCCTGGATGGAGGGGGCCTCCCGCGTATCCTCCCTGATTTGAGGCCCGGGTCCTCAGGATCCCAGAGAACGTGACGTCACCAAAGAGAGGCTGACCCCCATCCCAGCAGGTAGAACAACACATGAGGAAGGCGTGAGACTGGGACCTCCTAGCAGGGGGTGGGGAGCTGTGTGGCACAGCAAGACTCCCAGGGCAGGTGGGCAGCCAGGACCCGGGGCTCCAGCGTCACTTCTTCTTGGCGCGGTCTGCTGCGTCCAGGGCAGCCATGTTGCGGGCGGCCGTGATCAGGTGGATGACGCTGATGAGCGACTTCAGCAAGGCGATGGGGGCAGTGACCCAGAGGCCCATCCGGAACAGTCCCACAGAGCCAACTGCAGGAAGGCAGCAGGGGAGTTTGGGGCCCGAAGGAGGGGGCCTCCATCTCCCTGGGCAGGCCAGATCCCCCTCCCATCCTCCTGCCCAGCCCCTCATCTCCTACCTAAAGGTCCCTCAGAGAAATGGAACAGGTAGAGGAGGCAGTAGAAGAGCTCATTCCCAGCACACAAGGTGAACAGAGCAGGCTGCACACACAGCAAACAGGCCACGTTAGCAAGAGGCAGGCGTGTGCCACCCCCTGCCCCCCCAGCACTAATGAAGGCACAATCTCGGCATATTACTTCTCTTATTTTTTTTTCTTTTTTACAGACAGGGTCTCGCTCTCTCATCCAGGTTGGAATGCAGTAGTATGATCATAGCACTGCAGCCTCAAAACTCCTGGTCTCAGCCAGGCGTGTGGCTCATGCCTGGAGTCCCAGCACTTTGGGAGGCTGAGACAGGCGGATCACCTGAGGTCAGGAGTTTGGGACCAGCCTGGCCAACGTGGCGAAACCCCTCTCTACTAACAATACAAAAATTAGCCGAGTGTGGTGGCACGTGCCGGTAGTCCCAGCCACTCAGGAGGCTGAGGCACAAGAATCGCTTGAACCCAGCAGGCAGAGGTTGCAGTGAGCCGATAACCCGCCACTGAACTCCAGCCTGGGTGACAGAGCAGGACTCTGTCTCAAAAAAATAAATAAATAAATAAATAAACCCTTGGTCTCACGCAATCCTTCCACCTTAGCCTCCTAAGTAGAGACTACAGGCGTGTACCACTGTGCCTGGCTAAGCTAATTCAAGATTTTGTGTGTGTGTGGAAACAGAGTCTCACTTTGTTGCCCAGGCTGGTCTCAAACTCCTGGCCTCAAGCAATCCTCCCACCTCAGCCTCCCAAAGCGCTGGGATTACAGGCATGAGCCACCATGCCCAGCCATTATCTTTTTAAAAATCCTTCCAGAGGCTGCCTGTGTTCCTGGAATCAAGTCCACACTCCAGCCCTGCAGACCTCTCTGGCTTATCTCCCTTCCCGCTTTCAGTCCCTTCTCTTTGCAGGCCTCATTCCCACTTGTTCCCTGGAGTAATTCACACAGGCCTTCCCCACCAATCCTCCTCCTCCACGCCTCAGCTTACGGGCCCTCCTCCTGGAGTGACTGGGCAGGCCCTGCTCTGCGCCCTCGCCTTCTCCTAGGCTAGGACCAGGATTCAGCCCAGGGCTTCCCACAGCCAAGAGCCTGAGGGGTGGGGTGTGCAGGAAATGCTTACCCTCGAGGTGTAGTAGATCCGAAGCACCGGATTCCCGGACAAGTCGATCATCTTGTGACTCTCACTGCCTCGGACCACAGAACTTGGGGAGAAAACAGGGGAACCCACAAGGTTTCATGACCACTACCATGCATCCAATCCTCATGTTAACACCTATTGTACAGATGGAAAACTGGGCACGGCTAAGGACCAGTATCCTGCCGAAAGCCACAGTTACCTATTTGGGGGCAGAGTCAGGATTCAAATGCCACATTTGAAAGCTCCCATGCCCCTTCCTATAAGCTGTCACCTATATGGAATCCTAGAATACCCAGCCAGAAGAGTCCTAAGAATTGCTTAATGCAACTGTAAACATGACTGAAGCTTTAAAGAGAGGCAGGTTTGCCTGGGGTCTTTCTACAAAGCAGAGCTAAAAAGGAGCCCTTCCAGGATGCCTAGTGCCATCCCAGACACCCTTCCGTCTAGGCTCAGCCCACCCCACTGTAATGTCTCCAAGTGGCCCAGGCCCCCAGAATCGCAGCAGACCTGTGGAGGTGCAGCCAGTGACTGGCCACATCCAAACTCATGCTGATTTGGAAGAACAGCGTGGCTCCAGGGTACAGCAGGGCCAGGTTGACCAACAGGCACATGGTGGAGCAGCGGTCCGTCAGCATGTCCAGCATGGCCCCAAACCGGGTTCCTGGAAGATTAGGTGGGCAAGGGCTGTTATGGCACAGTGGATGCAGGACAGGTGCCCATATTTGGTTTATCACTCTGACGCAGGGTGTAAACGAAGACTGGAAGTGTCCGCCTGCCTGGGGAGGAACGCAGGCTAGAAAACAGGCTGTGTGTGAGGTCAGTGGGCAAAGGTCACCATGGCATGAACTGAGAAAGGCATGAGAGTGGAGGGAACAGGGTAGGAGGAGAGGAAAGCTATGTCTGCAACTCATCAACCCCAGAACCAAGACTCCAGGGCTAGATAGAGACTTGATGCCTCAGGGGAAGCCTTACAGTTGGGTCTGGAGAACAGATTAAAAAATTAGTCAACCCTCCAGAAGCCATCACCCTTCCCTCTCCATCCTCCCTCTAAGCATGCCTTCTGGAACCCCAACTGCTTATGCAGGGCACACAGTAGGCCTCCAGTAAACACCTGTTGAATACACTGTTTTTTGTTTTTTGTTTTTTTTTTTCCGAGACAGAGTCTTGCTCTGTCGCCCAGGCTGGAGTGCAATGGCGCAATCTTGGCTCACTGCAACCTCCGCCTCCCGGGTTCAAGCAATTCTCCTGCCTTAGCCTCCCGAGTAGCTGGGATTACAGGCACGCGTCACCAAGCCCGCTAATTTTTGTATTTTTAGTAGAGACAGGGTTTCACCATGTTGGCCAGGCTGGTCTCGAACTCCTGAACTCGTGATCCACCCACCTCGGCCTCCCAAAGTGCTGGGATTACAGGCGTGAGCCACCGCCCCTGGCCTGAATGGACTTGTATTCAGAGAGACCTCCAGCAGCGCCACCGCCATGTCATGTCTTGCTAATCCACACCTCTCACAAGCAGTGAGTTCTCAAGAGCTAGCTTAAATTCCTTTTGCTACAAAATCAGTCCATTCTTGCTGGGCGCGGCACTTTGGGAGCAAGGCAGGAGGATCGCTTGAGGCTAGGAGCTGGGGACCAATCTGGGCGACACTGCAAGACCCAGTCTCTACAAAAATTTAAAAATTAGCCGGGTGTGGTGGCACGCTCCTGTAGTCCCAGCTAGTCAGGAGGCTGAGGTGGGAGGATTACTTGAGCCCAGAAGATGGGGGCTGCAGTGAGCCATGATCGCGCCACTGCACTCCAGCCTAAGTGACAGAGCGAGACCCTGTCTCAAAAACAAAAAAACAAAACACAAAACAAAAAGCCCCAGGCCATCCTGTTCTGCTTTTTCCAGAGATGGGAATGACAGCCCTCTGACTCTGAGGTCCCGAGGAGGCAGGGGAAGGGAGGAGGGGATTGTTGAACCCCAAGGCTGGCTGAGAGGGGTGTCTGTCACCTTGATTAAGAGCGCGAGCAGCGTGTCCATCGAAAGCGTCCAGCAGGCCGCTGAGCAGGTAGAAGGAGGAGGCCGTGAGGGGGCAGCAGGGCATGAAGTAGAAAGAAATGATGGCGAAGACAATCCGGGCATAACCTTGGAACGGGACGCGGGGAGACAGGGCAGGATCAGGGAGCCCGCCAAGGCCCCTCGCCCTCTCGTTCGGCCCGGGGCCGTGGGCAGCACTCACCGATGAGGTTGGGCACGAACAGGAAGATATTTTCGTCTGGCATCGCGGCGCCTCCCTTGCTGCCCCGGGCCTGCTCTGGAGATGCCAGTGCTGTCCCAGCCCCGCAGCGCGGCCTCAGCCTCCGGCCCGGCGCATCGGCCGCACCACCTGCGCCCTGGACCCCGCCGCCCCAACCTGGCCCCAGATGCTGAAGCCCGCAGCCGTCGGGAGCATGGACCGGCCCCGAGGTGCGCGGGACGCAGGGGGCGCGCGCAGTCCGCCCTTCCTACCCGCAACCTCCCTCGCCTCTGCCAGCCCCGCAGGCGCTCCGGGCCTCCAGCTGCGGTCGCCGCTGCTCCAGCTGCGCGTGGCTTCCGGGAACCTCCTCCTCCGCGCCCGTCGTTGCAAAATTGGAGAGAGGAAAAAGTGGCTTAAAAAAATAGTTGCGGCCCCTTTAAGGCCTGTCGGCTTCCTTTCCCTTTTCCTCCCTCCGCCCCTCTCCCTTGGCTCGTACCAAAGCGCAGAGGAGGAGAGGGAGGAAGGAACCATTAACGTCAAGCAAAGTTAGAAACGGAAAAGGAAAGGGTAAAAGAGAAGACCGAATAAAAATCTCTGCTTTCCTTTTGTGGAGGGTATGACTTCCTGGAGGCAAAGATAAGGCGATAAAATTCCTCCTCCTGAGTCTTTGCGTCCCCAAGAGGCCAGGAGATTTGGTGCAGTCCTCACTTTACTCCCCGCCCCCTAAGTCTCCAGCCGCCTTTGCTCTCGCAGGCTCTAGGCGGCTAGAGAGGCTCCAGAGCGCCCTGCAGATGGGTTGCTTTTCGCGTGCCCCTTGTGATGGGAGGATTAGGTCGCAGGCTCCACCCTACGTCATCCTCCCAAGCTTCTCAAGCGTCTGGCGCTTGGGGTCACTGCCCTCAAGGAGGCACCTGGAGGGGTACGGAGGGGAGGCTGGAGGAGCAAACGGGGCGCGCTAGGAAATTCCTCTGTCTTTAGTTCTAGAACCCCTGATCTCCTAGCAACGAGGCTGCGGAACCTCTGCAGACTCCAAGGGTTTTATAGCGTCCGGTAGCGACACGGAGCCGGCTCCCCCTTTTCCAGCCTTCCTCCCCATCTCCCATTCTCCATCCCCCACGACCTATACCAGAGGTCCTTAGGCCTCCACGTCTCTCCTTTTGCCGAGTAGCCCAAGGTTTCCACCCATCTGCCAGGTCTGGGGCGTCAAGTCGGCTGCCTCGGCTTGGGAAGGTGCTTGGGAGGGAAGAAGGAAGGAGAGGCCCACCAGGCGAAGGGGTGAGGGGTAGGGGGTTGCGGGAGTTCCCTCTCACTCCCGAAGATATAAAGCAACCTTTATTATTATTATTATTTTTTCTTGTGAGAGGGAATGAGGCAGCGGGATGTTTCCTCTAAAGGCCTTGTTTAAACCTGGGCCCGGGGAATGGTGGTGGACTGGGTTCTGGGGGAAAGCGGGCTGGTTTCTCAGGTCAACTCAGGCTTCGACTGTTCCCAGGGGGATGGCGTCCACTCCGATGGGGAATGAGGGGGAGAAGAAGAGCAGCTGGCCATCTCAAGCTGCACCCTCCTTGAGAGGAGGTCCGGTGAGCACTGCAGGGAACCCTAGAGGTGGGAATGTAATGAAGTGAAAGCCTCCCAGGCAGAGGCACCCCGTGCCAGGTCTGAGCCACGGGCCCTGAGACTCTAGCCTCAACCCTGAGTCCTGAAGCCCCGACTCATAGCTCTCAGCACTAGGCCCTGACTCTAAACCCCCACCAAACCCCCCTCCCCCAGGTCCAGAGCTTTCTAGCTAAATCTCAAGGCCCAGTCCTTCAGGAGCAAGCTCCTTGGACCCACAGGCCCCAGCCTGGGAACTCCCACAGCCAGCACTCCCATGTGGGAGCTCCCAGGCTGAACCCCTCCGGCTTTTCCTTTCCCAGGCTTCGTTATCTCGTTCTGAGGAATACCTGTCCCAGATCAGTGCAGAACTCATGGAGGAGGCTTTGTGCACTGCTTGCTGCCACTTGAACCCTGTGCCCATCAAAAAAAAGCAGTCACAAGACCAAGCGACTCAGATATCCAAACGCGGTAACCCCCTGCCTCAGGACCACCGTGTCTAGAGAACCGCTGCCCCCACTATGCCTGGTTACAGTCCCTGACCCCTCCCACCCCTAGCTGAACTCTCCAGGAGTCTGTGCCCATCTCATCCATCTCACAGCCAGCCCTAGGACCTGTGAAATGCCCCTCTCACCCGCTAACCCAGTACCCACTCCTCACTGCTGGCCGAGAATCCCCTTAGCCCCGTCTGCCCTGGCCGCATCTCTTCTGGCCACGGGGATAGTCCTTTCTCTGACTAGGTCCTCTACTTCCAGCATTCTTCACCAAGACCTGAGGCACAGACACCTGGTGAGTGAGGCTTCAAGGGAGATGCTCTTTGTCCTGGGAGAGAGGTGAGGAACCTGGAGGGGAGAGAGTGAGGGTTTCACAATATCCCAGCAGGGTGGGGGAATTTTTGAACCGTGCACTTCCATTCTATTCTGCCCTGATCCTCAAATTCTGAATTCTCAGCCCTCTCCCCTCTCTTCCACCATCTCCTGCTCGGACAGAAACCGTACCTGCAGCAAGGCATACCTCCTGCCAACTCCTGGTGAAAAGGTACATGCAGGGTCCATGGCTGCCAAGGCTATTCGATATTAACCAAACCTTTTGAGTTTGCACTATATGTTGGTCCCTGTCTTAGGAGCTTGGGACACTGAAATGAATGGTACAGTCTCAGCCCTTGAAGAGTTCACAGTTCAGTGTGGGGACAGACAAGGAAATGGCCAATTATAATACAGTCTGGATAAGTTTCCATAATAGAAATGGACACAGTGGGATAGTACTCTTATCCCAGCTTCAATTGGACAGGAAGGACAGGAGCCATGGAGCTTCTTCTTTTTTTTTTTGAGACGGAGTCTTGCTCTGTTGCCCAGGCTGGAGTGCAGTGGTGTGATCTCAGCTCACTGCAAGCTCCACCTCCTGGGTTCACGCCATTCTCCTGCCTCAGCCTCCCAAGTAGCTGGGACTACAGGCACCCGCCACCACACCCGACTAATTTTTTTGTATTTTTAGTAGAGACGGGGTTTCACCGTGTTAGCCAGGATGGTCTTGATCTCCTGACCTCATGATCCGCCCTCCTTGGCCTCCCATAGTGTTGGGATTACAGGCTTTGGAGCTTCTTGAAGGAGGTAGCACCTAAAGAAATAATTTTCCACCAGGTGCAGTGGCTCACACCTGTAATCCCAGCATTTTTGGGAGGCTGAGGTGGGCTGATCACTTCAGGGCAGGAGTTTGAGACCAGCCTGGTCAACATGGTGACAGAGGTTGCAGTGAGCTGAGATCATACCACTGCACTCCAGCCTGGGCGACAGTGAGACCATCTCAAAAAAAAAAAGAAATAATTTTCCAGGTTAAAAAAAAAAGAGGTTAGTAGGAGTCTTTCAAGCAGTTGGGGTTGCATGAACAAAGGCAAAGAGCAGTCTTCGCAGAGCCAGTGTGAGCATCTGTGTGTATTTAGGGCAGGGAGAAGCAGTTTAGCAGCTGGAGTCTACAGGCAAGGTAAGAGGGGACTCAAGAGACTTTATGTGCCTTGTTTAGAGCCTTACACACTTTCCTGGCTGGGTGTGGTCGCTTATGCCTGTAATCCCAGCACTTTGGGAAGCTGAAGCAGGAGGATCGCTTGCGTCCAGGAGTTTGAGACCAGCCTGGGCAACATGGTGATACCCCAGGCATGATGGCATGTGCCTGTGATCCCAGTTACTTGGGAGGTGGGAGGATCGCTTGAGCCCAGGAGTTCAAGAATAGCCTGGGCAACATAGAGAGACCCCATCTCTATAAAAAGTTAAAAAAATTAGCCAGGTGTGGTGGCACGAACCTGTGGTCTCAGCTACTTGAGAGGCGGAGGCCAGAGGATCACTTGAGCCTAGGAGGTTGAGGCTGCAGTGAACCATGTTCATGCCACCGCATTCCAGCCTGAGTGACAGTGCAAGACCCTGTCTCAAAAAGAAAAATTTAAAAAAAAGAAAAGAAAGAAAGAAATAGTAGGAGGAGCTGGGTGCGGTGGCTCATACCTGTAATCCCAGCACTTTGGGAGGCCAAGGCGGGTGGATCATGAGGTCAGGAGTTCAAGATCAGCCTGGCCAACATAGTGAAACCTTGTCTTAACTAAAAATACAAACGTTAGGTCAGGCGCGGTGGCTCACACCTGTAATCTCAGCACTTTGGGAGGCCCAGGCGGGCAGATCACCTGAGGTCAGGAGTTTGAGACCAGCCTGGCCAACATGGGGAAACCCTGTCTCTACTAAAAATACAAAAATTAGCTGGGTTGGTGGTATGCACCTCTAATCCCAGCTACTCAGGAGGCTGAGGCAGGAGAATCGCTTGAACCCAGGAGTTGGAGGTTGCAGTGAGCCGAGATCACACCACTGCACTCCAGCCTGGGCTGCAGAGCAAGACTCTTTCTCAAAAAAAAAAAAAAAAAAAAAAGCCAGGCATTGTGTCACGCACCTGTAATCCCAGCTACTTGAGAAGCTGAGGCAGAGACTTGATTGAACCCGGGAGGTGGAGGTTGCAGTGAGCTGAGATTGCACCACTGCACTCCAGCCTGGGCCACAGATCGAGACTCTGTCTCCAAAAAATTAAATAAATAAAAATTAAGCACTTACTATGTGCCAGCACTGCTCGAGGGGCTGGGGTGTTGCAGTGAACGAAACAGAGTTCCTGCTATCAAGAGGTTTAAAAAATTAGCCGGGTATGGTGGTGCACAGCTGTGGTCCCAGCTACTCGGGAGGCTGAGGTGGGAGGATCATTGGAGCCCAGGTTGAGGCTGCAGGAAGATATGATTACACCACTGCACTCTAGCCTGGCTGACAGAGGGAGACCTGTCTCGAGAAAAATAAAAAAGACATGAGCCTTGGGTCTAAAGAGTGAAAAGGCTCTGTCTCTTTTATGGAGCTCTTCCTAACAGTCAGTTTGGAAGATGAGCCCACCCCTCTTTGATGCTCTTGGCTTCTCATGCCTCCCCCTTTTTGTCCCTAGAACATGCCTCAAAACTACTCTTTTGCCACTCGTTAACCACTTCCGTTTGTGGGGACCTCCTGGTCATGAGCAGCATCATCCCGAAGCCTTCAAAGTGTTCTGGATTCATCACAGGACCCTCCAGCCTCAGCCAGCAAGGATACCACCAGGAATGAAAGTGCTTTAATAAAGAGACAGGGTGTGCATTGCTCATGTGTGGTTTCTCTGGGGTAGAGAAGCAGGACGGGGGGGCTTTTATTTTTTTTTCTAGATGTGGGTGCTGGATGTGGGCATACGATTGGAGTGTTTAGTCTTTAAAAAAATTTTTTTGTGGCCAGGCACGGTGGCTTACGCCTGTAATCCCAGCACAGATCATGAGCTGAGGATATCAAGACCATCCTGGCCAACACGGTGAAACCCTGTCTGTACTAAAAATACAAAAAATTAGCCGGGCATGGTGGCACGTGCCTGTAGTCCGAGCTACTCGGGAGGGAGGCTGTGGCAGGAGAATCACTTGAACCTGGGAGGCGGAGGTTGCAGTGAGCTGAGATCGCACCACTGCACTCCAGCCTGGGCGACAGAACGAGACTCCGTCTCAAAATTTTTTTGTGTGTGTGGAGACGGTGTCTCACTGTGTTGCCCAGACTAGTCTTGAACTCCTGGCCTCAAATGATCCTCCTGCCTCGGCTTCCCAAAGTGCTGGGATTACTGGTGTGAACCACCACACCCGGCCTGTTGACACAGATGAGCTCATGGGTCCAAATCCAGCCTCCTGGCCACACGCCAGCACCTTAAGGTCTAGGTCTGTGGCATCTGGCAGGACTCCTCTTGCTTCTGAGGAGCCACCTCTGCCACCACCATTGGGGATGGGGACACTGAGCTATGGCCTTGCCCCTCTGAGCTTTGGGCTTCATGCCTGTGAGAACATATCACACTCATTACTAGCCAGAAAGCAGTGCAGTAGGCTTTGCAGTAGGCTAAATTCATTTTAGCATTTAGCATTTGCATTGCTAAATGCAAACTGCACAAAGTTTGGCCATTTATTGGAGCCTCCTGTGGAAGTCAATTCTCATCTCTGAGCCTTAGTTTCCTTATCTGAAAAAATGGATTAATAAATGATCCCTGTCCCGTAGGGTCCTTTAGAGAGTTAAAAGACATAATTGAGTCAGGCATGGTGGCTCATGCCTGTAATCCCAGAGACACACCGGACAGTATGGCGGGAGGATCGCTTGAGGACAGGAGTTCAAGACCAGTTTGGGTAACAGAGTGAACCCCCACCCCTAAAAAGGTAAACAAGTTAGCCAGGTGTGGTGGAGCACATCTGTAGTCCCAGCTGCTCAGGAGGCTAAGGCTGGAGGATCACTTGAGCCCAGGAGGTTGAGGCTGCAGTGAACTATGATGGTGCCACTGTACTCCAGCCTACACTACAGAGACACCGTCTCTAAAGAAAAAAACATAGGCCGGGCGTGGTGACTCATGCCTGTAATCCCAGCACTTGGGAGGCTGAGGCGGGTGGATCACTTGAGGTCAGGAGTTCGAGACCAGCCTAGCCAACATAGTGAAACCCCGTCTCTAATAAAATAAAAAAATTAACCGGGTGTGGTGGCAGGCTCCTGTAATCCCAGTTACTGGGGAGGCTGAGGCAGGAGAATCACTTGAACCCAGTAGGCAGAGGTTGCAATGAGCTGAGATTGCACCACTACACTCCAGCCTGGGTGACAGAGTAAGACTCAGTCGCAAAAAAAAAAAAAAAAAAAAAAGACAAAAAAACAACATAATGCATACAAAGTGCTTGCTATTATTGAGATCAGTTTGCCTCACATTCTCCTAAAAGTCCACCCCTTTCTGAATATTTCAGCATCCTTTCAAGTATCCTAAAAATGTTTAATTGCATTTAAATATAAAATTTTATTTTATTTGGGACGGAGTCTGGCTCTGTCGCCCAGGCTGGAGTGCAGTGGCGCAATCTCGGCTCACTGCCAGCTCCGCCTCCTGGGTTCACGCCATTCTCCTGCCTCAGCCTCCCAAGTAGCTGGGATTACAGGCGCCCGCCACTACGCCCAGCTAATTTTTTGTATTTTTAGTAGAGAAGGGATTTCACCATGTTAGCCAGGATGGTCTCGATCTCCTGACCTCGTAATCCGCCCGCCTCGGCCTCCCAAAGTGCTGGGATTACAGGCGTGAGCCACCATGCCCGGCTTAAATATAAAATTTTAATTAGGCCAGGCAAGGTGGCTCACACCTGTAATCCCAGCACTTTGGGAGGCCCAGGCAGGCAGATCACCTGAGGTCAGGAGTTCGAGACCAGCCTGGCCAACATGGCAAAACCCGGTCTCTACTAAAAATACAAAAATTAACCAGGCATGGGTGCCTGTAATCCTAGCTACTCGAAAGGCTGAGGCAGGAGAATGGCTTGAACCCAGGAGGTGGAGGTTGCAGTGAGCCAAGATCACGCCATTGTACTGCAGCCTGAGTGACAAGAGTGAAAAAAAAAAAAAAAAAAGATAAAGTGGAAAAGGACACCCCCAAGGATATAAAACAAGTTCAAATTGGTAGATGGGTCACAGCAGATACGCCTAAAATACTAAAAAGATTGGGGGGGGGGGAAGAAATGGTGTACTTGAATGGATACAAAAATTCTCCAAAGGGGGTGAATTTTAGGCAAACTGGTCATAAGACAAATTGAAAAGCCAGGCTTGGTGGCTCACGCCTGTAATCCCAGAACTTTGGGAAGTTGAGGAAGGAGGATTGCTTGAGGCCAGGTGTTCGAGACCAGCCCGGGCAGCGTAACAAGATCTCATTTCTACAAAAAATTTAAAAATTAGGCAGGCACCATGGCTTGCACCTGTAGTCCCAGCTACTCAGGATGCTGAGGCGGGAGGATCCCTTGAACCTAGGAGTTTGAGGTTGCAGTGAGCTGTGATGGCACCACTGCATTCCAGCCTGGCCGGCAGAGCCAGGCCCTGTCTCTAAAAAGAAAGAAATTGAAAGCTGTTTGCCTCCTGCCCAGCAGCGAGAGAAGACGGGTGGCTCCTGTCAGTTCTCTCCCATCTGGAAGAGGCCCACAATGTCAAGGAAGGCCTGGTGGAGAGGTCACTGCGTCCTGGAGTGAGGCTGGTCGCAGGGAGGCCTTCACAGAGGCTGAGCCTAAAGCCAGGCTTTTTTACCTCAGGCCAGGCCCCCGGACACTGCCCTCTGCCCACTTTCGCATTTCCTTTTTTTTTTTTTTTTTCAAATTGTTCCCCTTTCCCCAGCCCTCTCTCCAGAGAAGTGGTCCAGTGCTCGGTGACCACCTCCCCACACTCCACCGGCCCAATTACAAGTGGCGATTTTCTGTTTATTGCTCAAAAACAAGAATTCAGAAGCAAAGGTGGAGAGACTGTGGGTTGGGGAGATGGCAGGAAGGGGGCAAGGCCTTGTCCCAGCTCTCCCCTTTGTCCTTCTTCTGACCCTCCTGGCCGGAGTCAGGCCTAGGGCCAGGGCATCTGGGAGGGGGGCACCTTCGTGGCCAAGGGAACAGTAGAGCTATCGGGGGCAGTCCTTGAGGGGTGCCCTGGGCAGGAGGGGCTGCAAGATTTGCAGGGAGGCAGAGTTCCCCTCCCAGAATCCAAAAGCCGGTAGGGCGGGGGGCAGGCCCCTCGTTTGGCAACTGAGAAGAGGCGGCTTTGGGCGGCAGGATGCTGGTTTATTTACTGTAGGATCTCCAGGGCCATCAAAGCCCCCTCGTGGGATAGGGAGACTATTTACACAGCCAGGGAGGAGGGCAGCCAGGAGGCAGAGACCGGGTCCCGTATTTCCCTCTGCCCGAATGAGGAGGGGAGGGGCGTCCTGGGTCCTGCAGCTGTAGTCTTGGGGTTCAGATGGAAACTTCATACTCCCGCGTATCCTGAAGACAGAGAGATCAGGTCAGTTGTTGGAGTCTGATAGGGGTGGAAGAGGCAGCCGAATGGGAGGAGGGGCAACGATCCTGGGTTTTAAAGTAACATTGACCTCTAGGGGCTGGGGGGCCAGTGAATGTGTTTGGTTCATCCTACGGTGTCGTAAAATGACACAAAAATCTGAATTTCTGGCTTGTCTTGAATAATTGGAAGATCTGCCAATTGTGCCTCAGTTTCGACTATGGGGTAGAGCCGTATTCTTGAGATGGGGCACAAGTCCTCCACTTAGCCACAGTCCTCACCACTCCCTATTGTATACACATGGCTTGCTATGCTCATTGACATGGCCTCTGGGGGCAGCTGAGTTTGAAATTCCCAAGACAGAGATTCCAGAGACCTTGCGAGAAGGTTATGGAGTCCTGGGAGAGCCAAGTGGTGGCTCTTCAGGGGCAGGCAAGGTGCTTACCCCAGCTTCATACAGCGGGTTGCTGAAGTCCGACTCCACGGTGATGGGGCTGTAGGAGTGGGAGCCCGAGAAGCCGAAAAGGGACTTTCCCTGAAGCCTGGGAAAGGGAGAGGACAGAGGAGCTTATCAACAGGTAAGCCCCTGAGCTCCCCTGACCCAGGCTCCAGTGCCAGGCTCGCAAGACGTCTGCCCTGGCCGGCAGTCCCCAAGCAGGCTACTTACTTGGTGTAGTAGATGTAAACGCCACTGCCGAGGACAATGACCAAGCCTAGAGGCAGCAGGATGGCCAGGGCCAGGTTCCCCCCTTCCAGCTGCCGTGATGGATCTGTGGTCTGGGTCACTACAGGAGGAGGAGAGGCCGGTGAGCTGTGGCTGGGCCCGGTCCTGGGCTCTCCCAGCCTCCTGCCCTGGGCCTCAAACCCTGGGCTTCATCCCTCCAAGGCCTGGCCTCCTGCCCCAGCCTCTGCCTTGCCCTCCCAACCTGGCCAGCCTGGGTCTCCACCTGTGCTCTCACTGACCTTCCAGTTTTCGGTTGTCCAGGAGCTCCTCATAGGCAACTGCAGGGAGAGGAGGGGGAGGGGATGGGGTCTGAGCCAGGGAGGGGAGGAGGCTGGGAGGGGCCGGGAGCCCGGTGGGGCTGGGCTGGACAGCCTGGTTCTCTCTGCCCTCTGCTCAACCTCAACTTTCTCCCTTTGTGGGGAAGAGAGAGGAGTGACCAGCACAGGGCCTTTGTCCTCTTTCTCCAGACCCCTAAAAAGTCAGGGTTCCTGGACAGTCTGAGCCAAACTAGAACTTGTCAGCGATAGGGAAACTGAGGCCTATTCAGAGCAAGGGACTTCCAAGCCAAGGCCCCCTCTACTACACCCCTGAGCCAATCCCATGACCTCACACGACCCAGGGCTTCTGGACACACCCGTGAGGACACGAGGCCACAGGAGGAGAACCGGGAGCTCTGTGGGGTCGCCCATTGGTCTCAAATGTGCTACCTGACTCTCCCAGCCCTGTCACTTCCCGGACACTGGTGTGCCCCTCCTGCCCTGTCTGGCCAGGCACCTTTGCAGAGTGGGGGCTGGCTGGTCCACTGGGAGGGGTGGCCGGGCACACAGGTGATGGTGACCTCGCCGATAAGCTCAAAGCCCTCATAGCAGAAGAAGCGCAGAGACTCGCCCGCCTGGTAGTGGTGCTTGTACAGCGTCTGGTAGCCATTCTCGGGAACCCCCGGGTTCAGGCACGGCTCGTACTTCACTGCGGGGAGCATGCCAGTCACGTGCCAGCTGCACTACTGTGCACGGGGCAGACGGGCTCTCCCAGGGCTACCCAGCCACCCTCCCAGGGTGTGCCCCAGACTCACAGGCGCATTTGGGGACCCTATCGCTCCACTTGGGTGTGCCTGTGTCCCGGCTGTAGCAGGTGAGCATGGCTGCCCCCTCGAGGCTGTACCCTGGCAGGCAGCGGTACTGGACGTGGGAGCCAACGGGGAAGCCGGCGTCCGAGGCGGTGCGGTGCCCGTTGGCAATCTCGCCAGGGTCAGCACAAGTCATGACTGGTGGCAGAAGAACAAGGTCAGGGGGAGCGAGGGCCTTCAAAGATCAGCCTGGGCAACACAGAGAGACCCCATCTCTACAAAAAATTGAAAAATTAGCCAGGAGTGGTGGCGCACTCCTGTGGTTCCAGCTACTCAGGAGTTGGAGGCGGGATGATCGCTCGAACCCAGCAGGTCGAGGCTGCAGTGAATGGTGACCACGCTACTGCACTCCAGCCTGGGTGACAGAGTGAGACCCAGTCTAAAAAAAATAAAAGAAAATCTCCCAGAAGCTTAGGGCTGGGAGAGGCCTGAGCCTCAGGCTGTTTCCTCTGAACACCTCTGCACACACACGCACTTCCCACCAATTCCTCAGAAGGAAGAGAGCATGAATTGGAAAAACTTAAAATGCAGTGCATCTATTTTCAGGCCAGAATGACAGGCTTAATTTTTTTCAAAATTCAACGTATGTTATATTTCAGGCTTCGTTTAGTAAACAGTTTGCTTGGGGAAACCCCAAGCCCCTATCCTGGGGTGAAATTCAAAATATTTAACCACCATACCAGAGCATACTAGCCAAATCCCAGCAGGGTGAGCCCAACATGGCTTGTAGTCTGTGGAACAGCAGCTGCCCTCTTTAGAGGGGGCCCAGCTCTCCTGTCCCCAGTATTCTCATTATGCCCAGCCCAGTTCACTCACATACACTCCCTGCCTTCAGGCGTTTGAGTTTACAACCCTGTTGTGAAGGAATCATAATCATAGCCATTTCTTGTATATAAGCCTGAGCTACGTACCCTGCTAAATGTTTTACAAACAAATATAATTCTTTGTGTGTGTGCTTGTTTTTTTTTTTTTTTTTTTTTTTTTTTTTTTTTTTTTTGAGATGGGAGTCTCGCTCTGTCGCCCAGGCTGGAGTGCAGTGGCGCATCTCGGCTCACTGCAACCTCTGCCTTCTGGACTCAAGAGATTCTCCTGCCTCAGCCTCCCGAGTAGCTGCGATTACAGGCATTCGCTACCATGCCCAGCTAATTTTTGTATTTTTAGTATAGACAGGGTTTCGCCATGTTGGCCAGGCTGGTCTCGAACTCCTGACCTCAGGTGATCCACCCACCTCAGCCTCCACCAGTGCTGGGATTACAGGTGTGAGCCACCACGGCTGGCCCCAAATATAATTCTTTGTTTTGGAGACGAGAACTTGCTCTGTCACTCAAGCTGGAATGCAGTGGTGAGATCACGGCTCACTGCAGCCTCAAACTCCTGGGCTTAAGCAATTCTCGCACCACAGCCTTCTGAGTAGCTGGGACTACAGGCATATACCACCATGCCTGGCTATATTTTTTATTATTTGTAGAGACAGGGTCTCACTATGTTGCCCAGGCTGTTCTCAATCTCCTGGGCTCAAGTGATCCTCCCACCTTGGCCTTCCAAAGCACTGCAATTTCAGATGTGAGCCACCACACCTGGCACAAACATAATATTTAATCCTGATTATCCTGAGAGGCCAATGTCACTGTCATCTCCCTTGGAGCCCAGGGCTCAGGGCGGTCAAAGGACTTGGCCCATGGTCATTCAGCCAGGGAGTGGCAGAGCCGGAATCTGCCCAGGGTCACAGCCATGGAGCACTGGACAGGGACTCAGATATGTGGGTCCTGGCACACCTTCAGGCTCAATCTGCTGCCTTGGGCAGGTTCCCTCCTGAGCCCGAGGCAGCGGGGCCAGCCGAACTCTCAGCCCCATCCAGGCCTGATATCCTGTGAATCCTTCCAGGGGCGGGAAGCTTTGTCCAGCCCAAATCTGGCTACCTGAAGCTTCTCCCCTTGGTCCCACCATTGCTTCCAGATGCCACATGGAACTACAGCCCCATGTCCTTGGGGCTGGCTTCCTAAAATTTGGAGAAAGTAACCAGCTGCCATTCCTTTCTGCTCTTCAATTTTCTTTTTCTTTCTTTCTTTCTTTCTTTTTTTTTTTTTTGAGATGGAGTATCACTCCCGTGGCGCAGGATGGAATGCAATGGCACAATCTCAGCTTACTGCAACCTCCACCTCCCAGGTTCAAGCGATTCTCCTTCCTCAGCCTCCTGAGTATCTGGGATTACAGGCGTATGCCACCATGCCCAGATAGTTTTTTATTTTTAGTAGAGACGGGGTTTCACCATGTTGGCCAGGCTGGTCTCGAACTCCAGACCTCAGGTGATCCACCGCACCTGGCCCTTTCTGCTCTTCTAAAAGATACACACTCCCAGCTCCTTTAAATGTCACCTCCTCTGTGAAATCTCCTGCCCCAGCCCTGAGAAAATTAGCCCACTGCTCTCCCCACAGCACTTCGCCACGCCCAGGGCAGCATGCGCCCTGTGAACTTTCCATCTGCTCTTCACAACCTCAGTCCTACTTCGCCGATGGGGAAACCAAGCCTCAGAAATGCTAAGTGCCTCGCCCAAAGTCACCCAGTGATCACCACCCTGCGTATCCCTCCCAGACTGCGAGCTCCATAAGAGTATGGAGGGGCTTGAACCCCCTTCGCCTAACCCCAACCCAGCACGGGGCTTCAATGATGGCATTCAAATAAACCAAGTGCTCTGACAAGCCTTGGTCCTAGCAAAGTGGCTCCCTACAATTTCAACTGATAGGACTGCGGGATTGGGGCGGGGCGTAGGACAGGAAGGTGGAGCCAAGTGTGGACCCGGGGAGCCCAGTGGGAACCTGGTCGGAGCCCTTTTAGGGGCCAAACTCAGATGCCGCAGAGGAGGGGTCAGGAGGGGACGGGGCGGGGCCGTGAGACGAGGAAACAGGGACCGAGCCCAGGTCGGTGCAAGAAAGAGGGATGCAGCCCGGAGAAGATGAGAGGGAGACCCAGAGGGGACAGTTTCGGGGAACCGGGCGGAGGAGTGAGAACTAAAGGGCATGGGGGCAGGCCTTGAAGAAGATCCAGGAAGGACCCCGAGCGAAGGGATGGAACCCAGAAAGCACGGGGGTCGGGACAGGACAGGCCGACGACGGGGCCCACAGGGAAGGGGCGGGGCCGAGGGGACGCGGGCGGGGCCGGCTCACTCTTTTGGCAGGCGGGCGGCGCGGCGCTCCAAGACAGGTCCCACTGGCAAGTGAGAATGTCGGAGCCTAGCAGCTCGTAGCCAGGCTCGCACTGGTAGGTGAGCACCGTGCCCCGGATCAGGTCCCCGTGGGATGCCGTTCTCCAGCCCCACTCCGGAGGTGGCAGCTCGGGGCACGTGTCGTTCCTCGGGACCTCTGCAGGGGAGGGAAGGCGAGTTTGGAGGCTGCGTTTTAACTGCGGGCTCCCTTCCAGCCTCGGAGGCTTTGCTCTGTGCCCCCTCCCGGGATCTGTCTCTCTCTCTCTCTCTTAGAGACAGGGTTTCCTGTCGCCCAGGCTGGAGTACAGTGGTACAAGCATAGCTCACTGCAGCCTCAACCTCCTGGCTTCAAACGATCCTCCCGCCTCGGCCTCCCAAGGCCCCGGGATAACAGGCGTGAGCCACCACGACCGGCCACCTCCCGGGATCTCTGGCCTGCCCGACCCCTGCCCATCCCGGGACTCTATCCCTCAGTACCTTTGAAGTGCAATACGAAGCCCTGGCCCAGGCCTGGATTTGGGGGCCCGGGCGGTGCCTGAAACTGCAGTGTGAGGTCGGGCCCAGAGGAGAGAAGGCGGCGGCGCGGCTGAGGTCCCCGCAGCTGGGCCAAGACTCGGGCGCTGGGACCGTCCCCGTCGAACAGCGTCAGCATGTCCCCTTCCCGCACATTCAATCTGCAGGGGGTGAGACCAGGCAATGGGGCGGGGCTGCGACTGGCCCCTCCCATCCAGCTCTGCCCCATCCTCAACTCTGCTCATTGGTAGCCCCTCCTACTCTCCAGCCCCGCCCATATTCTCCTATCCCAGGTCTGGCGCCGCCTCCGTTTTGACCAACCATGGTTTCTCCTATGCTAGTGCCTCAGGGTTCCCCTATTCTATGGCTCCTCCCATGTCCTACTACCCAATCCCTAAGCTTGCACATTACTAACTCCGCCCACTGTCCACTCCCTCCTCCATCACCATGAGATCCACAGCCTAGCCCAACTCCAGCTCTGGCCAATCACAGACCAAATTCGCTAACGCCCTACACAACTCTAGGCCCCGCCTGAGTACCTGCTTTGAAGCCACGCCCACTTCAGCTTCTGTGCCATCTCATGACACTCTCATACCAATTCAGCTCACTGGATTCTCCCCAGACCTCCCCAACTTGCTGGTGTTAACGCAACAGTTTGGGTCTGTGTCCGTGGAAATAGCTCCAGGGGAAGCCTCAGAAACCTCCAAAGAGTGAGAGGCACCAGGCCAGAGCCCCTTGTTCACAGTGGCCCCTAAGGAAGGCTGCATTGCCCTATTTATTTGTCCGAGGTTGCCTGGCTAATATGTGATTTGAGCCCAGCTCTCTCACGTCTATCCTGTACCCTTAGTGCACCAGCCTATCCACCGAATTCTGGATAGATACGCAAGAGCCAGACAGGCTCAGAATGCAGGCTACTGCATTGGCATACCACACTTTGCTGAGCCTACACCCGTCGCACCCTCTGCAGGACCCAAACATACATCTCAACTTGGAGCAAGATGCGCTTCTCTTCCTGGACGTGCACGCCCCACACGCAGTCTTGGCCCGGGCTATAGCTCTGGGGCCAGTCGGGAGAGAGGACCACGCCAGCTGGTTCCGACAGCTCCCCTCCACACATGGCTAGGGAAAAAGGGGTGTCAGGTTCAGGACCCAGGTGGGCATGCTGTCTTCATTTCTCCACAGTCCTCACCACTCGTGATGCGTGCACCACATCACCTCGCTTGTTTCCTATTACCTATGATCCACCTGTTTCTTTTATTCTTTTATTTTATTTATTTATTTATTTTTAAATTTTTTTTGAGACGGAGTCTCTCTGTCGCCCAGGCTGGAGTGCAGTGGTGCGATCTTGGTTCACTGCAAGCTCTGCCTCCCTGGTTCACGCCATTCTCCTGCCTCAGCCTCCCGAGTAGCTGGGACTACAGGCGCCGCCACCACACCCTATTTTTTTTTCTTTTTTCTTTTTTTTTTTTTTTGTATTTTTAGTAGAGACGGGGTTTTACGGTGTTAGCCAGAATGGTCTCGATCTCCTGACCTCGTGATCTGCCCGCCTTGGCCTCCCAAAGTGCTGGGATTACAGGCGTGAGCCACCAGGTCCAGCCCCTATTTTTATTTTTTTAGACAGAGTCTCACTCTGTCGCCCAGGCTGGAGTGCAGTGGCGCAATCCCGGCTCACTGCAATCTCCACCTCGCAGACTCAAGCGATTCTCGTGCCTCAGCCTCCCAAGTAGCTGGGATTACAGGCACGCACTACCATGCCCGGCTAATTTTTGTATTTTTAGTAGAGACGGGGTTTCACTCTATTGACCAGGCTGGTCTCCAACTCCTGACCTCAGGTGATCCGCCTGCCTGAGCCTCCCAGAGTGTTGGGATTACAGGCGTGAGACACTGCTCCCGGCTTTATCCACCTGTTTCTTTTTTCTTTCTTTCTTTCTTTTTTGAGACGGAGTTTCACACTTCTTGCCCAGGCTGGAGTGCAGTGCTGCGATCTCGGCTCACCGCAACCTCCGCCTCCCGGGTTCAAGCGATTCTCCTGCCTCAGCCTCCTGAGTAGCTGGGATTACAGGCATGCATCACCATGCCCAGCTAATTTTGTATTTTAAGTAGAGACAGGGTTTCTCCATGTTGATCAGGCTGGTCTCGAACTCCCGACCTCAGGTGATCCGCCCGCCTCAGCCTCCCATAGTGCTGGTATTACAGGCGTGAGCCACCGTGCCCAGCCATGATCTACCTGTTTCTTGCCGCATCTAGGTCCTGTTGTGTTCAATATCCAGTCCTGCTCTTAACAAACCCTGCCCACTCTCCAGCCTGCCCAATCTGTGACTTAACCCAACAGCAGTTCTCGCTCTTGAAGACATTTGGGTTTGTGACCCCTGCATTCAGTAACAAGCCCAGCAGTTATTCAGCTAAGAAAACAGCCTCTGAAGGGACAGGGATTTACCCAAGGCTTGGGTGGATGAAGTCTGGATGTGCAGCCTTCCTTTCTGAACGGCCTTGCTGGGATCCCCAGTTCAGGGGGCAACGTGGACTGAAGGACATGCCTGCGACAAGGAAGGCTCACCTTTGCAGGCCGGCTCTGTGTCGTTCCAGTGGGGTTCTGTGGGATCCACACATTCGATGGCATTGGGGGGCCCAGGGGGCTCCAGGGCATATCCTGGGAGGCACGAGAAGGTTGCCAGTGCCCCTGGGCGATACTCAGGGTCCGTGGTAGTGACATTTCCATGTGCCAGGAAGGGGGCGAAGCAGCGATCCTCCTCAAAGGCTGGGAAGGAGTCAGTCATAACAATTAAGCATTAGGACAGGCCTCAAGGGATCTTAAATTGGGGATGTGGGCTGAATTGGGGTGTTCTTTGGCCACTCACTGGGCTTTTTTTTTTTTTTAAACAGTCTTGTGCTGTCGCCCAGGCTGGAGTGCAGTGGTACAACCTTGGCTCACTGCAGCCTCTGACTTCCAGGTTCAAGCAATTCTCATGCCTCAGCCTCCCAGGTAGCTGGGATTGCAGGCGTGCACCACCATGCCCAGCTATTTTTTTTTTTTTTGAGATGGAATTTCACACTTGTTGCCCAGGCTGGAGTGCAATGGCACAATCTTGGCTCACCGCAACCTCCGCCTCCTGGGTTCAAGCGATTCTCCTGCCTCCTGAGTAGCTGGGATTATAGGCATGTGCTACTACGCCTGGCTAATTTTTTGTATTTTTAGTAGAGACGGGGTTTCTCCAGGTTGATCAGGCTGGTCTCAAACTCCCGACCTCAGGTGATCTGCCTGCCTCGGCCTCCCAAAGTGCTGGGATTACAGGCATGAGCCACCGTGCCTGGCCAATTTTTGTATTCTTAGTAGAGACAGGGGTTTCACCATGTCGGCTAGGCTGGTCTTGAACTCCTGGCCTCGAGTGATCTGCCTGCCTCAGCCTCCCAAAATGCTGGGATTACAGACATGAGTCACTGCGCCCAGCCTGGGTTTTTTTTTAATTTTTTTAGAGACAGGGTCTCACTCTGTTGCCCAGGCTGGAGTGCAGTGGTGTGATCACAGCTCATTGCAGCCTAGATCTTCTAGGCTCAAGTGATCCTCCCACCTCAGCCTCTCTGGTAGCTGGGACTACAAGCATGCACACCCCACCCAGCAGCTCATTTTCTGATTTTTTTTTTTTTTCTGTAGAGATGGAGTTTCACCATGTTACTTAGGCTGGTCTCGAACTCCTGACCTCAGGTGATCCGCTGGCCTCGGCCTCCCAAAGTGCTGGGATTACAGGTATGAGCCATTGCCCTGGCGTTGGTGGGTTTTTAAAAACTGAATGCCACTGGGTTTAGCATTCACTCTCCAGACTGTCAAAAAAAGTTCTAACACTCCTCATTCACATATTTATATTGCCTCCCTGGCCTCTGGAGGGAAGCCACTGAGCTAGCCAAATCCCAGCCACCATTCTACAGAGCGGAGGTCCATAGACCAAAAAGCCACTTGCTCAAGGTCACACAAAAGACAATGGCAAAAGCAGGTCTCAAACCCAGATGGTTTGATTCCCAGCCACAGATACTTGGCTCTGGAAACAGCAGAGATAGCGGGTAAGGGGAGGGGTGCCTTCAGAGAACTGGCTGGTGTAGGTGTATTGTCTCCTCAGAAATAACAGTTGGATTCTGATCATCCATGCTGTTGCTGAAACCCAAAATTTCAGCTAATGCAAAAACTACTCAGTTTTTACTTCAAGTCAGCAAAAGTGAACATTTGTAGAGCATTTGAGTTTCTGCCCACCTGATCGGATCTTAGCTGCAAAACTCCCTGTAAGTTAAGATTTAGGTGCCTATGATACCAATGAGGAATTCTTTTTTTTTTTTTTTTTTTTTTTTGGGATGGAGTTTCGCTCTTGTTGCCCAGGCTGGAGTGCAATGGTGTGATCTCGGCTCACTGCAACCTCTGCCTCCCAGGTTCAAGTGATTCTCCTGCCTCAGCCTCCCGAGTAGCTGGGATTACAGGCACCCACAACCACCCCCGGCTAATTTTTGTATTTTTTTAGTAGAGATGGGGTTTTACCATGTTGGCCAGGCTGGTCTCGAACACCTGACCTCAGGTGATCCACCCGCCTCAGCCTCCCAAAGTGCTGGGATTATAGGCGTGAGCCACCATACCCGGCCTTTTTTTTTTTTTTTTGAGATTTTTAATTTTATTTTAATATTTTATTTTTTTATTTTTTGAGACTGAGTCTCGCTCTGTCGCCCAGGCTGGAGTGCAGTGGCATGATCTCACTTCACTGCAAACTCGGCTTCCCAGGTTCAAGCCATTCTCATGTCTCAGCCTCCTGAGTAGCTGGGATTACAGGCACGTACTACCACACCTGGCTAATTTCTGTGTTTTTAGTAGAAATGGGGCTTTGCCATGTTGCCTAGGCTGGTTTCAAACTCCTGGGCTCAAGTGATCCACCTGCCTCAGCCTCCCAAAATGCGGAGATTACAGGCATGAGCCACTGTGCCCGGGTTATTTTATTTATTTTTAAAAATGAGGCCAGATGCAGTGGCTCACACCTGTAATCCCCCCACTTTGGGAGGCTGAGGCAGGTGAATCACCTGAGGTCAGGAGTTTGAGACCAGCCTGACCACCATGGTGAAACTCCGTCTCTACTAAAAACACAAAAATTAGCTGGGCGTGGTGGTACATGCCTGTAATCCCAGCTACTCAGAAGGCTGAGGCAGGAGAACCACTTGAACCCGGAAGGCGGAGGTTGCAGTGAGCCGAGATTGCGCCATTGCACTCCAGCCTGGGTGACAAGAGCGAAACTCCATCTCAAAAAAAAAAAAAAAAGGAAAAAAATGAGACAGGGCCTTGCTCTGTCACCTAGGCTGGAGCGTGCAATGGTGGGATCACAACTCACAGCAGCCTTGACCTCCTGAGCTCAAGCGATCCTCCTGCCTCAGCCTCCCAAGCAGCTGGGACCACAAGTGTGCACCACCACACCTGGCTAATTTTTTGTTTTGTTTTGTTTTGTAGAGACAAAGGTCTTGCTATGTTGCCCAGGCTGGTCTCCAACTCCCAGGCTCAAGTGATCCTCCCATCTTAACCTCCCAAAGTGCTGGGATTACAGGCGTTAGCCATTGTGCCTGGCCACAGTGAAGAATCTTAAACTCATAGAATAGCAGTGGCCTACAACTCTGGAGTCAGGACTCACAACTTGCTATTTTCGGTAAAAGATCTGTGCTGTTTGCACTTTAACACTCCCAGAATCTATCCCGCAATTCATTTTTGCAGATCCACTGTTCTATTTCACTGTTACTTAACCTGCAAGGTATCATGTCCAAATCCTACCCATCCATCACAGCCGAGTGCCAATTCCATTTCTCCCATGATTCATATCAAACACTAGACCCTCCTATCTCTAAGCATTTCATCTTTTTGGTCTCTCTCTTGCTACTGTTTATACAACTCCTCTGTTTCAGCCACAATGAAATTCTGTTTCCCAGACATACCAGGCATTTCCCTACTTGCTGTTTCTCAAAGTTCCTCTCTTTCCTTTTCTTTTCTTTTCTTCTTTTTTTTTGACAGGGTCTTGCTCTGTTGCCCAGGCTGGAGCACAGTGGTGCAATCATAGCTCACTGCAACCTCTGGGGTTCAAGTGGGGTTCAAGTGATCCTCCCACCTCAACCTTCCATGTAGCTGGGACTAGAGGTGTGTGCCACCACACCTGGATAATTATTACTTTTTTTTAATTTGTAGACACAGGATCTCACTATGTTGCTCAGACTGGTTCTCAAACTCCTGGCCTCAAACAATCATCCCACCTTGGCCTCCCAAAGTACTGGGATTAGAGACACGAGTCACCACAACTGGCCTCAATCTTCCTCTTTTAAAATATCCTCTGTTGGCTGGGCAGGGTGGCTCACGCCTGTAATCCTAGCACTTTGAGAGGCCGAGGTGGGAGGATCACTTCAGCTCAGTAGTTGGAGACCAGCCTGGGCAACATAGTGAGATGCTGTCTCTACAAAAAATGTAAAAATTACCCAGGCATGGTGCCGAACGCTTGTGGTCCCAGCTACTAGGGAGGCTGAGGCAGGAGGATCACTTGAGCCCAGGAGGTTGAGGTTGCAGTGAACCATGATCGGGCCACCGCACTACGGCCTGGGCGACAAAGCAAGACCTATTTCAATAATAATAATAATAATAATAAAATACCCTCTATCCTTTAAGGCCAAGGTGAAATGCCTCTTCCTCCATGATCACTTCCTTGTTTCTACCCCTTCACATTCATTCCTCTTCTTCTGGTAACGGCATCCCAATTTTAATTTTGGGACGCAGGCCTTCCCCACTCCCAGTCCACTAGGTTAAGTTGGAGCCCACCAGGGAAGGCCACGTGAGGCAGATTAGCCAATCCCAATACTCCCTTCTCCTAGCTCAGTGATTGGCTCAGGCTAAGGCCAACCAGGATCTTAGTCAGGTCAATGAACGCCTCTCCTGGCATTTTTGCTGAGCTCTCAGGAAATATATGAGTGTTCTCTCTGATGAGGTTACTCGGTTGGTGGTATGGGCTGGAGGAGGTGGCTTACACCTGTAATCCTGGCACTTTGGGAGTCCCACATGGGCGAATCACTTGAGCCCAGGAGTTCAAGACCAGCCTGGGCAACATGGTGAAACCCCGTCTCTACTAAAAACCCAAAAATTAGCTGGGCGTGGTGATGCATGCCTGTAATCCCAGCTACTCGGGAGGCTAAGGAATGAGAATCGCTTGAACCTGGAGGAGGGGGGCTGCAGTGAGCTGAGATCGCGCCACTGCACTCCAGCCTGGGCGACAGAGAGGAACTCTGTCTCAAAATAAATAAATAAATAAAAATAAATAAAAACTAAAAACTGTCAGGCGCAGTGGCTCACGCCTGTAATCCCAACACTTTGGGAGGCGGAGGCGGGCAGATCACCTGAGTTCGGGAGTTCCAGACCAGCCTGACCAACGTGGAGAAACCCCATTTTTACTAAAAATACAAAATTAGCTGGGCATGGTGGCGCATGCCTGTAATCCCAGCTACTCGGGAGGCTGAGGCAGGAAAATCGCTTGAACCCGGGAGGCAGAGGTTGCGGTGAGCCGAGATCATGACATTGCACCCCAGCCTGGGCAACAAGAGCAAAACTCCGTCTCAAAATAAATAAAGGCCGGGCGCGGTGGCTCACTCCTGTAATCCCAGCACTTTGGGCGGCCGAGGCAGGCGGATCACAAGGTCAGGAGATCGAGTCCATCTTGGCTAACACGGTGAAACCCCGTCTCTACTAAAAATACAAAAAAATTAGTCGGGCGCGGTGGCGGGTGCCTGTAGCCCCAGCTACTCGGGAGGCTGAGGCAGGAGAATGGCGTGAACCCGGAAGGCGGAGCTTGCAGTGAGCCAAGATGGCGCCACTGCATTCCAGCCTGGGTGACAGAGCGAGACTCGTCTCAAAAAATAAATAAATAAATAAATAAAATAAAAATTAAGTTGGTGGTATGTAAGTCGGCAGCTATGTCCATCACACAGGGAAAGTGCCTAAGGATGAAGCCAGCACAGAGGAAAGAACCGAGATACTGAGATAACTGGTCTCTGGGCTATGTACCTGGATCCAGACATTCATGAAGCTTAAACAGAGAAGGCTGCCTGGGGGAAGGAGAAGGGGTCCCTAGAAGAGATCCTTGCAGTTTTGGGGCAGGGAAGCGAGTCACGTTTCAAGGAACCCAGCACGGAGATGAACAGGCATAGAGTTTGTGCTTCCGACTATGCTTGGTGTCAGGAAGAGGGGAAGGTGTGGCGGTTGGGGTCCTGTGGGGGAGTGGGTCACTTACCTTCAAATCGAAGGCTTAACAGCAGGGGATTGGCAGGTGTCTCTGACAGCAGCTCCACGTAGAGGGACTGGGCGTCACTGATGAGACCCCGCTCGGGGACATCGTCCATGTCCGAATCATAGATCACGGGGGATAGGGGGCTGCCCCCTGAGCGCACCATCAGCCTGGGATGGACAGAAACGTGACCAGGAGCTCAATCTCCCTCACAAGCTGCCTCACCCCTTGCCTGCTTTCCTAACTTATTTTTATAGCTGTTATCATCACACATAACTATATGCCACGCACTCTTCTAAGCCCTTACACATTCTATCTCATTTAATTTTCACAAGAACTCTTGAGTCAGACACTATTATTATCCTTTATTTTATAGATGAGGATATTAGGGCATAGAAAGATCAAGTAACCTGTCCAAGGTCACAGAGCAAGTAGTGGCAGGGCTGAGATACCAAGTTGCTAGGTAAAGGATGATAATGATGATGAAGATAGCAGATGCTTGACCAGGCATGGTGGCTCAGCTCACACCTGTCATCCCAGCACTTTGGGAAGCCAAGACGGGTGGATCACCTGAAGTCAAGGAGTTCAAGACCAGGCTGGCCAACATGGTAAAACCCCATGTTTACTAAAAATACAAAAATTAGCCAGGCATGGTGGTGCATGCCTATAATCCCAGCTACTCAGGAGGCTGAGGCAGGAGAATTGCTTGCATCTGGGAGGTGGAGGTTGCAGTGAGCTGAATCCGTGCCACTGCACTCCAGCCTGGGTGACAGAGCGAAAGTCTGTCTCCAAAAATAAATAAATAGATAAATAAGGCCAGGTGCAGTGGTTCATGCCTGTAATCCTAGCACTTTGGGAGGCTGAGGTGGGTGGATCACGAGGTCAGGAGATCGAGACCATCCTGGCTAACACGGTGAAACCCCAACTCTACTAAAAAAAAAAGTACAAAAAATTAGCCGGACGTGGTGGCACACGCTTGTAGTCCCAGCTACTCGGGAGGCTAAGGCAGGAGAATAGCTTGAGCCTGGGAGACAGAGGTTGTAGTGAGCCGAGATCGCACCACTGCACTCCAGCCTGGGCGACAGGGTGAGACTCCATCTTAAAAAAAAAAAAAAAAGAGGATAGCAGACACTTTTATAGTGCTTATTGTCCCAGGTGCCATTCTAAGGACTTTATATAATTTCAGCACTTATCCTCACAGAAACCTGAAGAGGGAAGTATTGTTATCTCCATTCTACAGATGAGGAAACTGAGGCACAAAGAAGTTAAGTGATTTGTCTAAGGTTTCACAGCTACACTTCCTAAGAAAGTCTTAGGACTGGCTGGGTGTGGTGGCTCACGCCTATAATTCCAGCACTTTGGGAGGCCAAGGTGGGCAGATCACCTGAGGTTGGGAGTTTGAGACCAGCCTGACCAACATGGAGAAACTCCATCTCTACTAAAAATGCAAAATTAGCTGGGCATGGTGGTGCATGCCTGTAATCCCAACTAATCAGGAGGCTGAGGCAGGAGAATCACTTGAACCCGGGAGGCAGAGGTTGCGGTAAGCCAAGACTGCGGCACTGCACTCCAGCCTGGGCAACAAGAGTGAAACTCTGTCTCAAAAAAAGAAAAAAAAAAAAAAAAAGGCTTAGGACTAAGCTGTGATGCATATCTCAACCAGGATCCACCCCAGCTGTGTCCAAGTCCCCACTTAGCCTCCCTACTTCCCTGAGGTGGGGACTTCTTTTTTTTTTTTTGAGACGGAGTCTCATTCTGTCTCCCAGGATGGAGTGCAGTGGTGCGATCTTGGCTCACTGCAAGCTCTGCCTCCCGGGTTCACGCCATTCTCCTGCCTCAGCCTCCCGAGTAGCTGGGACTACAGGTGCCCACCACCATGCCCGGCTAATTTTTTTTTTTTTTTTTTGTATTTTTAGTAGAGATGGGGTTTCACCGTGTTAGCCAGGATGGACTCGATCTCCTGACCTTGTGATCCGCCTGCTTCGGCCTCCCAAAGTACTGGGATTACAGGCATGAGCCACCATGCCCGGCCAAGGTGGGGACTTCTGACCCAAGACCCAGACCCTTACCGGTCATTGTCCTCATCCAGCGAGACCCTTTCAAAGTGCAGGTGCAGCCGGCGCCCCTCAGCTGCTTCAATGACCCAACGGCAGGTGAGGTTGGGCCCTACGGCTCCCCCAGGCTCTGGGGACACGATGCGGCCCAGGGTGGCATTGTGGATGGTGCCACCACAGGATGCTGTGGGCAGAGGAGGGGTACGTTAAGGCCAGCCTGAGGTGAACTGTCCTTCTCCTCGGGGCCTCGGCCCGTTTTCAGAACTGTTGCATTCACACATTTGGCTGGGACCCGGCCCAGGGCTGGCCTCTGTCCCATGGAGTCACTCCAGAGGATGGGACCTTCTCCAGGCATGAGCCAGGAAAGAAACCAGCCCCGGTACGGGAGAACCCCAGGATTGACACCTCCTAGGATGGAGACACCACTAAAATGAAGACTCTCCAACTGCGGATACTCTAGGATGGGGAGTTACAAGGATCCCTAAAATTCAAAGCCTCAGCTGGGAAATCTTCAGGACAGGACTTTCAGAGTGAAGACACCACGGGATGGGAATCCCAGTAAGAGGCTCTCTAGGATAGAAGCCCTCTGGACATGAACCCTAAAAATGGCTTCCTCTAGGATGAGGACGCTACCCCAGAAGGGACCTCCAGAATGGTGACTCCCAAAATAAAATCTCCAGTGGGACACCCCGAGATGGAGACCACCCAAGGATGGAGAAACCCCAAGGAGAGAGACCCTCCGCACAAAGAGCTCTGGCTGCAGACCCCAGGATGGGGACTCCTCAGGGTAAACACCCCTTCAGAATGGGTTTTCCCCAAAGGTGGACACCTGGACACCCCCGAGATAGGACCCTCCCAATGGGGTTCCCAGAACAGATGCCCCACCCACTGTGGCAGGAGACTCACCCATGCAGCTGGGGGTTTCACCGTTCCAGGATGGCCGGGTGCCATTGAGGCAGATGAGGGTCTCCTCTCCCTGCAGCTGGTAGCCCGAATCACAGTGAAAGGTGGCAGTGCCCCCAGGGTGCAGGTCCGTCACACTCACGTCCCCATGGGCCGGCCGGGGAGGGAAGCCACAGCTCAGGAGGTAGGCTGCACCAGACAGACAGCGGGTAGCAGGGCTCACTTTCCCATGCCACCCTCTCATACTGATCCCCCAGCACTTCCCCCCTCTCCTTTCAGGCCAACCTTCCAGGGGCACACACTGGCTCCATACTGGCGTACATACCGAGAAATAAGAGCTCCTCACACAGGCACCTTGCCTCGCGAACAGGAAACTCCAACACCCCTTATCTCCCCCACTCATTGTAATTCACCCTCGTTGGCCCCCATTTTATAGATGAGGTATCTGAGGTTCAAACAAGTTATTCTGGACCCCGCTACTCATTTGTTGTGTGACTTCAGGCAAATCAATGAACTACTCTGAACTTCATCCAGCTGTAATAACAGTATTTGCAGAGCTTGTTCAGCTCCCAAAGTGAGTCCACACAGAGATTTTGAGGTCAGCAGACAAAGATTATGTGACCTGGCTAGGCATGCTGGCTCACGCCTGTAATCCCAGCACTTTTGGAGGCCGAGGCAGGTGGATCACGAAGTCAGGAGTTCGAGACCAGCCTGGCCAACATGGTAAAACCCCGTCTCTAAAAAATACGAAAATTAGCCAGGCGTGGTGGTGGGTGCCTGTAATCCCAGCTACTTGGTAGGCTGAGGCAGGAGAATCACTTGAACCCAGGAGGCAGAGGTTGCAGTGAGCCGAGATCGTCCCATTGCACTCCAGCCTGGGCGACAAGAGCAAAACTCTGTCTCAAAAAAAAAAAGATTATGTGACCTGTTTTGCAGGTGTGAACACTGAGGCTCCAAGTTATTAAATGTCTCTTTTGATTTTTCTTCCCTCCACACACACAGCCTTTCTTCCACCAAGGTGCCCTGTGGTATACCCTCAGCTCCTCAGCTTCCATCCAGAAGAACCACTTGAAACTTCTTTTTTTTTTTTTTTTTTTTTTTTTTTTTTTGAGATAGGGTCTCACTGTGTTGCCCAGGCTGGAGTGCAGTGGTGTGATCATAGCTCACTGGAACCTTGAACTCCTGGCCTCAAGCAATCCTCCTGACCCAGCCTCCCAAGTAGCTGGGACTACAGGTTTGTGCCACCATGCCCCGCTAATTTTTAAATTTTTTGTAGAGATGACATCTCAGTATGTTGCCCAGGCTGGTCTTGAACTCCTGGCCTCAAGCAAACATGAAACTTGTTGAGGAAATTTGACTATTTTGTCTTTTTGTTTTTGTTTTTGTTTTTGAGGAGAAGTCTCACTCTGTTGCCCAGGCTGGAGTGCATTGGCGCAATCTCGGCTCACTGCAACCTCCGTCTCCCGGGTTCAAGCGGTTCTCCTGCCTCAGCCTCCCAAGTAGCTGGGATTACAGGTGTGTGCGACCATGCCTAGCTAATTTTTGTATTTTTAGTAGAGATGGGATTTTACCATGTTGGCCAGGGTGGTCTCGAACTCCTGATCTCTTCAGACCTCCTGACTTCACTTTCACTGGGGGATTCATTTACAGGCCACTGAGTATTAAGATCTTTAAAGACAAAATAGTCTTTAAAGGCACAGTGGCTCACGCCTGTAATCCTGGCACTTTGGGAGGCTGAGGCGGGCGGATCACCTGAGGTCAGGAAAAAGACCCAGGCCTTGTCCTCAGGAGTCCATTGTCTACTGAGATGAACATAAGAACAACCTTCTAGAACAAAGTGGTTTCAATAAATGGTAGCTTTGGGAATGGCTGCCCATGCCCAACAGAATCAAGTCTGAATGCTTTAGTTTGACATTCAAGCCCCTTCCATAGTTAAATGCAGCCCAGCACATTCCAGGTTCAGGGTTGATCTCCCAAGACCGATATAGCCTACACAACACAGTTTTGTGACTCCTTAATTTTCCACCTCCATATTTTCGCTTGTGCTCTCCCCCTACTTTCTCATCTTTTAAGAGATCAGACTGGGGGGCTTATGTACCACCTCTTCCAGGAAGCCTTCCTGACTCTACATCTCTCCAACAGTTACTTGTTCTCTTACCTGTACACAGTCCTGCATGCATGATTTTGTCATCACATTAACCATTGTCTTTTTTTTTTTTTTTTTTTTTTTTTGAGAGGGTCTCACTCTGTCACCCAGTCTGGAGTGCAGTGGCTTGATCTCAGCTCATTGCAACTTTTACCTCCCGGGTTCAAGTAATTCTCCTCCCTCAGCCTCCCAAGTAGCTGGGATTATAGGCGTGTGCCACGACTCCTGGCTAATTTTGGTATTTTTATTATTATTTATTTTATTATTATTATTTTTTGAGACGGAGTATTGCTCTGTCACCCAGGCTGGAGTGCAGTGACACGATCTTGGCTCACTGCAACCTCCGTCTCCCAGGTTCAAGCAATTCTCCGGCCTCAGCCTCCTGAGTAGCTGGGATTACAGGCATGTGCCACCATGCCCAGCTAATTTCTGTATTTTTAGTAGAGACGGTGTTTCACCATGTTGGTCAGGCTGGTCTCGAACTCCTGACCTCGTGATCTGCCCGCCTCGGCCTCCCAAAGTGCTGTGATTACAGGCGTGAACCACTGTGCTGGTATTTTCAGTACAGACAGTGTTTCACTATGTTGGCCAGGCTGGTCTTGAACTCCTGACCTCAGGTGATCCACCTACCTTGGCCTCCCAAAGTGCTGGGATTACAGGCGTGAGCCACCATACCTGGCCTAACCACTGTCTACACTGGCCCAAGCCTTATTTATTTTGTGTCCTAAAAGGCTAGTCTATGAGGTCAGGAGTTCCAGACCAGCCTGGCCAATATGGTGAAACCCTGTCTCTAATAAAAATACAAAAAATTAGCTGGGCATGGTGGCACACGCCTATAATCCCAGCTACTCAGGAGGCTGAGACAGGAGAATCGCTTGAACCAAGGGGGCGGAGGTTGCAGGGAGCTGAGATTGTGCCATTGCACTCCAGCCTGGGCAGCAGAGTGAGACTCCGTCTCAAAAAAAAAAAAGGGCTAGCCTGGCTGATCAATGGGTGCAGCCAAGAGGCAGCATGGATCGGTGCAAAGACCACTGGATTTGTCATCAGGCAGACCTGAGTTCCAGTTCTAGCTCCAGAACTTACTAACTACATGCCTTTGAGCAGGTGACTTCATCTCTAGGGGCCTCTCACCTATTAACGGCAATAATAATTCCTATCAGGGAAGATTGGCCTGAAAATTAAATAAAAGAAACACGCAAAGCACCTGGCACATAGAAGCTGCTGAGAAAACGTTAATCACCCACCCCTCAGCCTCAATTAATGAATGACTGGGAGCCAGGGACTCGGGGATCTGTTGTCTGGCTGCAATAAACGTGCAGATGGTTGAGCAATCTACATAACCTTTGAGTCTTTTCCTTCCTTTGAGAGATAGAACTGACAATGGCCACTCTCAGGGTTTCTGTGAGAAGCAAATGAAACTAAGGTTGGTGAAAGGGCTTTGTAATGGGAAAGTTTGCTGAACTTGGGGTGAGGGGTGAAGGAGACTTTGGCTTTTCAGAGAAACTAATGAGGCCACTCTGGACCAGAGGCCCCAGCTAGTGCAGGTTGGGAAGGGCTGAAACAGGGCCTTGGTCCCAAAGGTACCCAGTGCAGCTGCGAAGCAGGGAAGACTGAGCAATGAAGGCCAATTTGTGCAATAGTCCTGCTTCCCCAAATGTTCCACTTAGCCTAAGGAGTCCTATTTTCAGTGCCCTGGGGAAGTGGCTGCTTAAAGGAGCCAGTGGGGAGCCATATCTTCAGATTTCACAATATCTGAAATCCAGCACTTGGCCCAGGCCCTCCAGGAATGCTCTTGCTCCCCAATAACCAGGTCCCTACTGCCAAATACACGTCCCCCAGCTTGCTGGCCCCCGATGAATAGGCACCTTTGCTATGCACACATGAGCCCCTAAGGCAGGTCCTGAGCAGAGGCCTCAAAAGAGGCTGGAGAGGACATGAGAATAGGATTCAGGGTGTACCCTGCATGAGGCACACAAGGCATCTGCGGTCAGCAGAGCTTTCAAGGAGGGCAGAGTGCGTGACACCAGCCAAGGCCATGCGGTGATGTGAAGGGGGCATTGGCCCGACACACAGTTCTCTCTGTCTCCATGAAGCATAGGAAGACAGTGGGGTCTGGAACAGGGCACTGGCTGGGCCCCTTTCCTCATGCACACATGTCTGCTAGAACACACCCTTGTACTGTGGGAAGGTTCCCGCACACACAGGTAAGCATGGATGTACACACATGTGCAGGTCATCTGTCATAGGTCCTAACAAATGCAGTCGTGCGTGAATACAGCCCCCCTTTCCTGCCCCCAGAAGTCAGAAGGATCTTTAAATTGCAAATCTGAGGCTTTCACTTTCCTGCTTAAAACATTTCAGGCCAGGCACCATGGCTCACGCCTGTAATCTCAGCACTTTGGGAGGTCAAGGCAGGAGGATTTCCTGAGGTCGGGAGTTCGAGACCAGCCTGACCAACATGGAGAAACCCCGTCTCTACTAAAAATACAAAGTTAGCCGGGAGTGGTGGGGCATGCTTGTAATCCCAGCTACTCAGGAGGCTGAGGCAGGAGAATCGCTTGAACCCGGGAGGCAGAGGCTGCGGTGAGCCAAGATTGCGCCATTGCATTCCAGCCTGGCCAACAAGAGCAAAACTCCATCTCAAATAAATAAATAAATAAATAAATAAAATTCAAATTAGGAGGCCTGGCGTGGTGGCTCATGCCTGTAATCCCAGCACTTTGGGAGGCCAAGGCGGGTGGATCACTTGAGGTCAGGAGTTCGAGACCAGCCTGGCCAACATGGTGAAACCCCATCTCTACTAAAAATACAAAAATTAGCCAGGCGTAGTGGCAGGTGCCTGTAATCCCAGATACTGGGGAGGCTGAGACAGGAGAATCATCTGAAGCTAGGAGGCAGAGGTTGCAGTGAGCTGAGGTCATCACCACTGCACTCCAGCCTGGGCAACAAAGTGAGACTCTGTCTCAAAAAAAAAAAAAAAAAAATTCAAATATCTGCCTGTCACACCTGCAGGTTGAAGTAGTCTGGACTGCTTACTGAAGCAGATAAGGCTCTTTATGGTCTGAATCTGACCTGCCTCCCAGCCTGGTCTCTGGCCCATTTCCCCTTCACCCGCTTCTGTGCTTTGAAAGTAATAGCAGTGACTGACAGTTTTGAGCTCTCACTGTGTACCACACGCTGTTTGTGTTTTTGTTTGTTTGTTTTTGAGACAGAGTTTCACTTTTGTCACCTAGCCTGGAGTACAATGGCGCAATCTCAGCTCAATGCAACCTCCGCCTCCTGGGTTCAAACAATTCTCTTGCCTCAGCCTCCCAAGTAACTGGGATTACAGGTGCTTGCCACCATGCCTGGCTAATTTTTGTAATTTTAGTAGAGATGGGGTTTCACCATGTTGGCCAGGCAGGTCTTGAACTCCTGACCTCAGGTGATCCACCAGCCTTGGCCTCCCAAAGTGCTGAGATTATAGGCGTGAGCCACCACGCCAGGCCACACACTGTTTTAAACACTTGACATGTATTAATTCATTTGATCTTCCCCATAATACTAAGTATTGTGATCCCTATTTTTCAGATGAGATCATGAGGCACAGAAAAGTTAAGTAACTTGTCCCAGGTCACACAGCTAGGACAATTCTATCTTCCATGCTGAATTCCTTCACCTCATCTGGGGGTCACGTCTTCTCTCTCTGGGTCTTGGAGTGTGCTTTTTCATCCACTTAGCCATCTGCCTCCCTCCTTCTCTCCCTCCCTCCCACCCTTTCCCTGGCGAATTTATCCTTCAGGTCTCAGCTTAGTCATCATCTCCTCCAAGAAGATGTCCCCATATTCCTTGGGAGAAATTTAGGTCCCTTGGCTATGTGCTGCCCCCGCTGGTGTTTCTGCCATCATATTCCTTATCTCCTTGAATTATAACCATCCTGATTACTCATCTGTCTTCCTACCTAGATTCTGAGCTCGTTGAAGCCAGATTTACACCTGGTTTGTTCATTCCTCCTTCAAGGCTAACACAGGGCCTGGTATGAAGCAAGCACTTGATAAACATTTGTTGGATTCAATGGATGAATTGTCCCTCGGATGTGTGCACAGATCTGTGAGTGTGTGAGATAAGTATGCATGGGTCTCCTCTGAGGGCCCTGCCCCCCAGGGTCGCAGTCAGGAGGAAAAGCCCCCTTCGGCACCCTGTGCTTCGATGGTTCTTAAAGATGTCCCCTCTATAGGCCGGGCACAGTGGCTCTTGCCTGTAATCCCAGCACTTTGGGAGGCTGAGGCAGGTGGATCACAAAGTCAGGAGATCGAGACCATCCTGGCTAACGCGGTGAAATCCCATCTCTACTAAAAATACAAAAAATTAGCTGGGCATGGTGGCGGGCGTCTGTAGTCCCAGCTACTTGAGAGGCTGAGGCAGGAGAATGGCGTGAACCTGGGAGGCAGAGCTTGCAGTGAGCTGAGATCACGCCACTGACCTCCAGTCTGGGCGACAGAGCAAGACTCTGTCTCAAAAAAAAAAAAAAAAAAAAAGATGTCCAGTGTATGCAGTATGGCCCCTGCCCTTCCAGCAGCACCCTCAAACTCCTCACCCTGATAGTGGATCCTGAAGCCACCGCCCCTTGGGACCCGTGGGCTCTGGAAGTGCAGAAGCAGCCGGTTGGTTGGGCTCCGAAGGACTTGTCCTTCTCCAAGCATGGATGAGTTGGCCAGGAGTCGGGGGGCCAGGCCTGGGGATCCCCCACCAGCCAGCACCAGGAGCTCCTCTTCCTGTGACAGGTTCAGCGTCTGCACCTAGAGAAGCCAGACACAGACCCGCCAGGGCAAGTCAGCCAGGTGTTTGACTTCCAAAGCCCCTGTCCTGTGCCTTTGCCCTGTGTGTAGCAGCCCAAAAGGCACCACGCTGCTGCCCAAGTTGTAGAAATCTAGAAGAGTTTTTGAGGTCACCTGAGTCATCAGACAGGTTCTTTGGCTCCCAGGCCAAACCCGTGCACACCCACAGCCCAGAGGAAAAGGCTTGGAAGCTGCACAGTCACATGCTTTGGTCCAGTTACCTGGATCTCAATGCCGTAGCCAGGGTAGACATGGATGCTGTAAGTGCAGTCCAGGAGCCCCAGGGTGCGGCTGACGGGGCTCCCCAGATCTGGAGACTCCACATACCCTTCGCCCTCGGAGATGTTGTTATTACACAGAACTGAGGAGATACAAATGGCTGGGATGGAAGGAATGCCTGTGCTTTTGCCCTCCCAGCCAAGCAACTCTGGCCTTCATCTCCCTTCTCCTTAGCACTTCTCATCATCTTTTTGTTTTGTTTGAGACAGGGTCTCGCTCTGTCACCCAGGCTGGAGTGCAGTGGTGCAATCATGGCTCACTGCAGTCTCAAATTCCTGGGCTCAAGTGATCCTCCCTCCTCAGCCTCCCGAGTAGCTGGGCCCACAGGTGCACATCACCATGGTGAGACAATTTTTAAAACTTTTTGTAGAAATGGGGTCTTGCCACATTTCCCAGGCTGGACTCAAACTCCTGGCCTCAAGCGATCCTCCTGCCTTGGCCTCCCAAATCACTGGGATTACAGCTGTGCGCTGCTGTGCCCCCCTCACCATCTTTTATTTTTTTATTTTTATTTTTTTAAGATGGAGTTTTGCTCTTGTTGCCTAGGCTAGAGTGCAATGGCTGGATCTCAGCTCACCACAACCTCCACCTCCCGGGTTCAAGCAATTCTCCTGCCTCAGCCTTCTGAGTAGCTGGGATTACAGGCATGCGCCACCACGCCTGGCTAATTTTGTATTTTTAGTAGAGACAGGGTTTCTCCATGTTGCTCAGGCTGGTCTCGAACTCCCGACCTCAGGTGATCTGCCCGCCTGGCCTCCCAAAGTGCTGGGATTACAGGCTAGAGCCACCATGTCCATCACTATCTTTAAGCAATGCTCCCTCTCCCACCTGAGCCAGAACTCCCTTTCCCAACTGTTATATAGCTGAAACAATTGGAACACTGCCTGGTACATAGTAAGGGTACAGAAATGCTACCTTTGTTATTATTATTCTCCCATCTGTACCCAGGACTCCTTCCACAGTTCCCAGCAGCCTCTCTCCCATCCATCCCCAGCGTGTACCTCTCCGGTCCTCCCACCCCCATCCCCTTGCTGTCGCCTCACCTGGGCTGGTCACCGTAGTGGTAACAGTTGTCGTGGTGATGATGGTGGTCGTCGTCTCCTCCTCTCCTCCCTCAGGCCCAAGGGGAGGCCCTGGGGAGGCAGGGCTGGGTGGGGGTGGGGCTGTGGTTCCTGGGGGCGGGGTCAGCAGTTCTGGCGCAGTGGGGCCTGCCCCCCTGACCCCGTTAGGGGTGACGGCTGTTGTCAGAGGCCCTGTCCCCGGCTCAGTGGCCCGTGGCAGGGAGGGCACTGCGAGAGTCTGGCCGGCCGGAGGGGTGGCTAGCGTGGGGTCCCGATCAGATCCTGGGACAGTGCAGGGAATATCAGAGCACAGGAGGAGCACATGGAGGACCTTGGGTGGGGAGCAGGGCTGAGGGAAGCTAGGGGTTCCCCTGCCATACCACAAAAGCCTCCCGCACAAGGTACAGCACCCCCCACCTTTCCCTTCCCCACCCCAGCCCCTACCTCCTCCCAAGGCTTCCACAGCCTGAGTCCCCCCTCTTTCTCTTCTGGTCCCTTCTCTCCACCCAGCCCCTTCCACCCTGATACTCCTCTCCCTGAGCCTCTCTCTCTGCCTCCTCACTCAGATCACGTTCTCTCTCTGGTTATCTCCTCTCTCCTCTGTCTCATTCTCTCTCGAACTCTTTATTTCCCCATTTCCCTGTTTAGTATTCTGATTGCACTCTGATTTCATGATTCGAGATCCACTAGTTTTTGTGTTTCATTCTCTCTGTCTCTGTCTTCCACCATTTCTCTGAGTCTGGTTCTCTGAATTTCCATCTCTGTTTCTATGTGTCTGTTTTTCTGTCTGACTGTCACCTAATCATTCTGTCTCTGTCTCTCTGGTTCTGTCTGTGCCCAGGTTTGACTTTCTCTGACAGTCTCGTTCTGTGTTCCCTGAATCTCACAGGAATGCAGGCTCTTTCCTCTGCAGTCTCTCTCTGCCTGCTCTTCTCTAGCCTGGCTCCCCATCTCCCTGAGCCCATATCCCTCCCTCTGCCTCTAGGCCACTCCTGCCACTCTGGGGGCCTCACCTGGCAGGTAGCCCATCTCTGGGCCCCTCCTCAGCAGGGCCCCATGAAGCAGTTCAGCCAGGGCCTCAGAGGCCACCGTGGGGGTCTCACTTCCAGGCTCTGGCAATATCTCCTCCTCCTTCAGGGGCAGACCTAGGAGGTGAAGTTGTGTGAGCTTCTCCACTTCCCCACACCCCTTCCTTCTCCAGAGAGATATTTTCTAGAACTCTTCCTCCCTCCTCCATCAGCTGGGCCTGCAGGGGCTCAGATGGTCCCAGGCTCGACTGAGGGCCAAGATCGGAGGAGGGGCTCCCAGCTGCCCTCATACTCCCACTCCCACACCTCTTCTCTCCCCTCCCCTCTCCCTTCTCCCTGGGCTGTGTGGGCCTTCATTGAACACCTTAGCTCTTATGGACCCTGGACAGCGCCAGCAAGGCAGAGGGGTCGCCGGTGCTGCCTTCCCTTTCACCTCAGTGGTGATCTCCCCCCAACCCTGGGGCTCTGCAGAGGATCTGGCCGCACCTCCCAGCCCTTGCTTCCGCAGTGCCTGGCTTTCTCTCTGGGTTTCTGTCTCTGCAGTGTGGCTGTCTTTTCTCTCTCTCTCTCTCTCTCTCTCCCCCCCACCCTCTCTCTCTCTGGTCCTCTGCAGTCTCTGCCTCCTTCCCTGGAGTCTGGCTGGGGGTCAGAGTGGGGGACTGAAAATCTGGTCTTTGAGCCCTGCCTCTGCTCATCTGTCTTTGTCCATTCATCCAAGAACAGTTGTGTGTACAGCGCCTGGCATCTCTCTCAGCACCTCCATCTCCCACCCAGGTCCCTCCATGCTTCTGCCGCCTCCGCAGACATCCCCCCAACTTTCCCAGCCCTCCTTCTTGGATCTAGCCCCTGAGACACTGCTAAAAGCTTCTCTCATTCATTTCTCTGCCTTCTCAATATTGAGGGTTAAGGGGCTTCGGGTTCAAGCCTGAAAGCTCTGGCTTGCCCCTTCCCCATCAGCTGTGCCTCTCCCCTCCCCCATGTGCTCGGAAGACCCAGGATATTAAGAGAAAGGAGGGTGGAGGACCCCGCTGGACGCCTTCCTGGGGCCCACCCCCACAGTCTCATGTCCTTACCCTGGATCCAGGGACAGCTCAGCAGAATTAGGAACAGCAGCTGGGGAGGCGGCGGGTGCTGGGCCCTGGGAGTCCCCATGGCGACTCACCCCGATCTCTCTCCTCTGTGCCTCTCTAAGTAATCTGGCTGCCACCTTTCCTCCGTCTCCGTTTATCTTTCCCTTTAATTGTTTTTTTTTTTTTTTTTTTTTTCCTCGTAGGAGTCAGCAAAGAAAGACAATTTCTCTGCCCCTTGGGATGGAGGGGCAGAATTGGGCTAGGGGTCGCCTGGAGCCCACCCCCCTTTGCTCAGTCTCCTCTGTCCTCTTCTCGCGGCTCTGTGGTGGAGGGGGCGCGGCTCCGGCTGCAGGGGGTGGGGCCGAGAGGGCCGAAGGGGCCGGGTGGCCTGGGTTACCCTCCTGCTCAGGCGCCTGGGTCCACTGGGCTGTCTGGACCCCAAGCTAGGGGACTGGGGAGGAGAAAGACAGCTTCTGGGGGTTTAGGGTGGGGTCGAGGATCGAGGGGGTCTCCACTGGGCTCTAGCGGGGCTTGTCGGGGAGGGGAAGGGGTGGGTTGGGGAACTGGGAGAGCCGAAGCTCGGGCACTGGAGCTGCGGGAGGGAGAAGCTGAGAAAGGTATCGAGCCCACGTCAGATCCTGGGGACGGGCGGAGGGAGGGGCCTGGGATTTATTTGACGGGGAGGGAGGAGGAGGAAGTGCAGATGGAGGAGGGAGGGATCATACGAGCCAGGGCCGTAATCCTCACTCCCGCGGCCCCTAGGGGAGGCAAAGGAAACTCTCTGGTCCCAGCAGTAATTAGCCCCCTCCGCCTGCCATTCCAGCACATCTGGAATCTGAATCTCCTCTTCCCAGGGTGCCGAGGGGCTGCATAGCTTGGTTCGCGCCTGCTAGGCCCCCAATTATGCCCCCTGTTCACATTCAGACCTCCCAAGGGGCTTCCCTTCCCCTTTTACAGTAGCTCGGGTGGAATGGGCTCTCCCTCCTCCAGGGGAATAGAGAGCTTCCACGATTGTGACAAGTCTCGTGGGTGACGGGCCGGGGTTTGGGGAGGAGAGACAGACCCCTCCTCTTCCATAAACCCTGACCCCGGCCAGCTAACAGGCGGCCTCGGCTCTGATTTTCCCTCCGGAGCGCCCTTTTCAGCACCAGCGGCGCGCGGACAGCTCCCCTCGCCCCGCCGGGGCGGGCCCGGCCCGACGCCGCCCGCGATTGGCTGAGGCCGCTTTCGGTGTTTGCCAGGCTCGCGGGCTCCCGGGCTGCCTAGGGCCAGCGGGAGTCACAGGCCGACCGACCGACGGACCAGCCGCCCGACGGACTGGCCTCAGCATCCTTGCCCGCAGTCCCGGGCGCCTGCCCAGCCGTCAGTCCGCGCTCGCCCCGCCCCTCAGGCCCCGCCCCTCAGGCCCCGCCCGATACGACCCGCCCCTTCTTTCGCATTGCGGGACGGCTGGAGGCTGGCACCGTGGCCCCTGCGCCCCACGTGGCGCCCTTTCCGGGCGGGGGGGGTGGGGAGGCACCTCCAGCGACAACTCTCCCCCCTCCCCCGGCACCCGGCTGATTTGCTGTGCCACTGGGAGGGTTCGGGGGTGGCTGAGCTGAGAGGGCTCCGGGAAGGAGTGACGTCAGGGTGAGTGGGAGCCCAGGAAGGAGCGAGTAGGAGAGAGGGAGCGAGAGCCAGGCAGGACCGCAGGGTCGGGGCTAGTGAGGAGCGAGGGCAAGGAGAGAGCAGTGAGGCCGGAGAGAAAGAAGCTGCCGCGGAGGAAGACAGGCTGCGGGTTCCCGGGACTGCAGGTCCAGGCAGGGTAGGAACCGCTGCCCAGGGGAGCTAGGAGGAAGCGGGGAGAGAGAGCGAGCGAAAAGCGGGGGTGGGGAGGAAAGGGGGAGATTGAGGTGGGAGAGAGAAGCAGAGCGAGAGAGAGGAGGCTGCTGGAAGGAGAAAGAAGAGGGTGAGGAGGCGACAGAGGGAGAGGAGGAAGAAGAGGTAGAAGGAGAGAGAAAGGGGAGAGAAAGGAGAGAGGAGGGTTGGAGGTGCATGAAGGAGGGGAGAGGGAGCTTCAGCGTGGAGAGAGGACCGCGGAAGGAGAGAGAGACAGCCCAGAGTGGAATGTGGAAGGGAAACAGTCCAGCGGGGAGCCAGGGGGCAGCCATGGAAGGGACAGGTGGGGAGCTGGGGGGACAGGGGAACTGGGGTCCGGAGGACGCCCCAGGCCTCTTGGCCAGGGCCTCCCTGATCATGCTCCCGTGGCCACTACCCCTGGCCTCCTCGGCCCTCACCTTGCTCTTCGGGGCCCTCACTTCCCTGTTCCTCTGGTACTGCTACCGCCTGGGCTCCCAAGACATGCAGGCCCTAGGGGCTGGGAGCCGAGCTGGGGGTGTTCGTGGTGGGCCTGTGGGATGCTCGGAGGCCGGCGGGCCAAGCCCAGGGGGTCCTGGGGATCCCGGGGAAGGACCTAGGACGGAAGGCCTAGTGAGCCGGCGGCTTCGGGCCTACGCAAGGCGCTACTCCTGGGCTGGGATGGGTAGAGTGAGGCGGGCAGCTCAGGGTGGCCCAGGCCCTGGGAGAGGGCCAGGGGTCCTAGGTATTCAGCGCCCAGGCCTGCTTTTCCTACCAGACCTGCCTTCAGCCCCCTTTGTGCCGCGGGACGCCCAGCGGCACGACGTGGAGCTCCTGGAGAGCAGCTTCCCTGCCATTTTGCGGGACTTCGGGGCTGTGAGCTGGGACTTCTCAGGGACTACCCCTCCGCCTCGGGGCTGGTCCCCACCTCTGGCCCCCGGGTGCTACCAGCTCCTGCTGTACCAAGCAGGCCGGTGCCAACCCAGCAACTGCCGCCGGTGCCCGGGGGCCTATCGGGCACTGAGGGGGCTTCGAAGCTTTATGAGTGCCAACACCTTCGGCAATGCCGGCTTTTCCGTTCTCCTGCCTGGGGCCCGGCTCGAGGGCCGCTGTGGGCCCACCAATGCCCGGGTCAGATGCCATCTGGGTAAGTAGCTGCCGCCTACTGACAACCTCCTTGCCTCGATGATTTCCCCCCCAGACCCTTCTCTCCGCCAGAGCCGTCTGCTGTCTGGTTCTCATTGTGCCTCTCTTCTTCCATGGCTCCCTGTTGCCACCCACAGCAGCATTTCCTCAGCCTCGGTTATCTGCACACCACCTTCATAAGCTTTGCCGTGGTCATTCCCATCTGTACTGCGTTTCTTCACCTTGGCTCTCCCCCCGACCTTTTGTTCTACGTATTTAAAAGAAATATTTATAGCACTATCAGTATTACTTGCCCTAAATAGTACTCATAAAAAGCCTGGACAACACAGTGAGACCTTGTCTCTACAAATAATAAAACAATTAGCCGGGCGCGGTGGCCCATGCCTATGGTCCCAGCTACTGGAGAGGGTGAGGTGGGAGGTTCACTGGAGCTCAGCAGTTTGAGGCTGCAGTGAGCTGAGATTGTGCTACTGCACTCCAGCCTGGGTGACAAGAAAGTACTCATAAACACAAGCTGAAATTTAAAAAAGAAAGCTTTCAACAGTCTAGAACATTCTAGTTAAGTGCTCTAGTCTCTCTGATCCTGAAGCCTACACTTTTTTCTTTTTTGAGGAGTCTCGCTCTGTCGCCCAGGCGAGAGTGCAGTGGCACGATCTTGGCTCACTGCAAGCTCCACCTCCCGGGTTCATACCATTCTCCTGCCTCAGCCTCCCGAGTATCTGGGACTACAGGCACCTGCCACTACACCTGGCTAATTTTTTTTTATTTTGTATTTTTAGTGAAGACAGGGTTTCACCATGTTAGCCAGGATGGTCTCCATCTCCTGACCTCGTGATCAATCCGCCTCGGCCTCCCAAAGTGCTGGGATTACAGGCATGAGCCACCGTGCCTAGCCCTACACCTTCTTTTTTAAAAGGGTTGGTGGGGTGTCAAAGTTACAGTAGCACCAAACTGAGATTTTTTCTTTTTCTTTTTTTTTTTTTTTTGAGACAGGGTCTCACTCTGTCACCCAGGCTGGAGTGCAGTGGCACAAACATGGCTCACTACAGCCTTAACCTCCTGAGATCAAAGGATCCTCTCACCTCAGCCTCCTGAGTAGCTGGGACCACAGGTGCCCACCACCATGCTTGGCTGATTTTTTAAAAATTTACGTAGGCCAGGCGCGGTGGCTCACGCCTGTAATCCCAGCACTTTGGGAGGCTGAGGCAGGCGGATCACCTGAGGCTGGGAGTTCGAGACCAGCTGACCAACATGGAGAAATCCTGTCTCTACTAAAATTACAGAAAATTAGCTGGGTGTGGTGTCGCATGCCTGTAATCCCAGCTACTCGGGAGGCCGAGGCAGGAGAATCACTTGAACTCGGGAGGCGGAGGTTGCAGTGAGCCGAGATCACAACATTGCACTCCAGCCTGGGCAACAAGAGCGAAACTTCATCTCAAAAACAAGAAAAAAAAATTGTGTAAAGACAGGCTGGACCTGAACTCCTGAACTCAAGTGATCCTCCTGCCTTGGCCTCCCAAAGTGCTGAGATTACAGGCGTGAGCCACCGCACCTGGCACTTTTTGATGTCTTAAAGACTGGAAGAAAATGGAAAAGGAAATAATTTTCTGTTATTCCATGCCATGACCTTGTTTTGCCCCCAATCATCTCCTGTGCTGCCAGCTGGATGTGTCCTACACTTCAGGGCACACTAGCCTCAGGATCAGTTCCCAATCCTTCCTCTCTTCCCTCTCTCTGTGCTCTAAATCATGAAAACCTTCTGGCCAATCCTGACAGATGCCACATGTGCTGTTCTTTTCAACCTAGAATCCCCTTCCCCCGTACCACCTCCTGAAAAACTCCTACTCAGCCTTCAGTACTCAAGTTTTCAAGTGCCACACTTCCTCTGGGTTGGCTTCCTGTTCCCCCATCAGTTGAGTTGGCTGCTCACTTTCCTCACAGCACTCAGCCATGTGGTCCTTGGGCCAGGAACGTCTTTAATCTTATACCTCTCAGTGAGACAGCGCCTATCACACAGTAAGCTCTTGAGTCAAACTGTCGAAAGCCCAGGAGGAAAAGCCATTTCCTCCAGGAAGCCTTCTCTTTTCTCGAAATGAGAGGTTGCTGCCAGGTGCCGTGGCTCATCCCTGAAATACCAGCACTTTGGGAGGCCAAAGCAGGAGGATTGCTTGAGGCCAGGAGTTCAAGACCAGCACTGTCTGTATAAGAATAAAATAAAATAAAATAAAATAAAATAACGGGTCTGGCCAGGTGCAGTGGCTCACACCTGTAATCCCAGCATTTTGGGAGGCTGAGGTAGGCAGATCACTTGAGCTCAGGGGTTCGAGACCAGCCTGGCCAACATGGCGAAACCCCATCTCTACTAAAAATACAAAAATTAGCCAGGCGTGGTGGCAGGCAGCTGTAATCCTAGCTACTCGGGAGGCTGAGGCAGGAGAATTGCTTGAACCTGGGAGGCGGAGGTTGCAGTGAGCCAAGATCATGCCACTGCACTCCAACCTGGCGACAGAGCAAGACTACATCTCAAAAAAAAAAACAAAACAAAAAATTAACCCTGCATTGTAGCACATGCCTGTAATCCCAGCAGCTACTCAGGAGGCTGAGACACGAGAATCACTTGAACCTGGGAAGCAGAGTGAGCTGAGATCACACCACTCCACTCCAGCCTGGGTGAGAGAGTGAGACTTTGTCTCAAAAAAAAAAAAAAAAAAAAGATGGGTCACACTACCCACAGCAGCGTTTCCCTAATCTCCTAGCACTTCCCTCCTCCAGGACTGTATTGTAATTATACTGTGGCCACTTTCTGGAAAGAAAGGAGGATGACCACAAAACCTGGCATTTAAGACACTTAGAGCTAGTTGCTAATTGACTGGCCAGGATGGGCCCCTGGGATGGAGGCAGGAGTGCTGGATGCCCGCGTCTCTTCTTACAGGCCTAAAGATCCCTCCTGGCTGTGAGCTGGTGGTCGGCGGTGAGCCCCAGTGCTGGGCTGAGGGGCACTGTCTACTGGTGGACGACTCTTTTCTACACACAGTGGCTCACAATGGTAACGGGGTGCCCATTCTGCAGGGGGGATGAGGGACTCAGGAGCAAAGGAGCGTTGACTAGAAGGCAGCAGAATCAGGCCCAACGGACTTCCTGTCCTACCACCACCATCTTCCAGCTGCATGACCTTGAACAAGCCGCATAACTTCTCCAATGCCCTAGGACCACCACCTTCTTCATCAAGTAACTGCAAGGATTAAATGAGATAATATTACGTACACAGAAAAGCGGTTACCAGCACAGGACTCTGGGTTCCTGTCCTACCTCTTGCACTTGGGCAAAGGACTTAACCTCCTTATGCCTCTGTTGCTTTGTATAAAATAGGGATAATTATGGTAATACCACAGTTTGTTTTGATGATTAAGAGTTGATACATATCGGCCGGGCATGGTGGCTCACGCCTGTAATCCCAGCACTTTGGGAGGCTGAGGTGGGCGGATCACCTGAGGCCAGGAGTTCGAGACCAGCCTGGCCAACATGGTGAAACCCCGTCTCTATTAAACATACAAAGAAATTACCCAGGTGTGGTGATGAGCACCTGAAATCCCAGCTACTAGGGAGACTGAGGCAGGAGAATTGCTTGAACCTGGGAGGCCAAGGTTGCAGTGAGCCGAAATTGCGCCACTGCACTCCAGCCTGGTGACAGAGCAAGACTCCATCTCAGGAAAAAAAAAAAAAAAAAAAAAAAAGATTTGATACATTTAAAGGGTTAGAACAAGGCCTGCCACTTATTTACTGTTTGCTTTTATGGTGTTTGGTGAGTGCTCTGGTGTGCAAGTACCTAATGTCAGTGGCTCTGCTGTTCCTGTCCCATGTGCCCTAGGCTCCCCCGAAGATGGGCCTCGAGTGGTCTTCATCGTGGACCTCTGGCACCCCAACGTGGCAGGGGCTGAGCGCCAGGCCCTCGACTTTGTCTTCGCCCCAGACCCTTGAAGGAAGGTGCTCCCTTCACACACCCAGGCTGGAGAGACACTGCGCTCAGGGACGGCTTGATGGTAGCCAGGACCTCCTCTCTACTGCGGGGGTGGGCGGGGGCGGAGGATGGGAACTGGCTAGTGAGCACTGAAATATAAATTCTGAATCCTCTCCTAACTCCCGACTACTTCCTTCGCAGGGAGAGGCTGGGGCAGGGCCTTATGTCTTCTCCTAGTACAACCAAACAGGTACCTCCTTTTTTTTCTTTCTTTTTTTTTTTTTTTTGTAGAGTCAGGGTCTTGCTTTGTTGCCCAGGCTGGTCTTGAACTCCTGGGCTCAAGTGATCCTTCTGCCTCAACCTCCTGAGTAGTTGGGATTACACGTGTGAGCCACCACGCCCGGCCAGATACCTCCTAACACAGGCATCTCCCCGTCCCTCTCCCCAGGAGCCAGCACCAGTTTCTCAACTTAACTTTATTTCAATAATTTAATAGAAAATTAAAATAATAAATAATATGAAACAGACTGATAACGCTGAGCTGGGCAGGCCCAGGCCAGTCTAGTACAAAGTTAAGGAGGTAGGGAGGATGGTGGGGAGGAGGGGGCGGACTACCCTGCAGGACGCGGGAGGCTGCTCAGACTGTGGTGATGTCAGGAAGGGCCGCACACTTTGGCATGGACGATGCACTAAAAAAAGAGAAAGGGAATTCTAAATCCCTCTTAACCAGCTGGAGAGGGAAGGACGCAGGGCCAGGGTGGGGACAAGTGTTGGCTTCGGAAGGCTCTGAGTGGTGGGGCCGGAATGTACCATGTTGTTAGCAATGGGGTTGGGATGGGTGGAGAAGGGCCAAAGTGAGCTGTGCCATGCAATGAAGGGACAGAGGAGGACCCACGACTTGGCCAGCAGAGCCGGGGCAAAAGTCTGGGAAGGGGAGGGAAAGAGAGAGGGACTGGGTCCCAAGGCAAGAGGAAGGCAGGGGGAGGGTCAGAGGTCAGTCCTTGAAGACAATTTGTTGGCCATGAGGACGCTCGTCGTGGGTGATATGGCGCCGGACATGGATCCTGCGGACACGGTGCTCTCGGTTCTCTTCATCCTCCCCGCGGCCAGCCCCACCAGCTCCAGCTGCTCCCCCTGTGGCCTCCAGGAGGGCTGGGTCTGGGCCCCGGGGAGTCTCGTAGATGAGGATGTTCAGGGTCTCCTCGAAGATCCGGGCCTCTGGAAATTCCACCTGCAAAAGGCCAGCCGGCCCCAGCTCCTTCCTTCTGGTGCAGTCACGCAGGGCCATCCCCCTGCCTAGGGCCCCTGCACCAACACACCTCCTAGCCCTGCAGTCAGGTCCTTGGGCCTGGCCTGGCCTCTCTGCCACTCCTTTACTCAGCAAAGTCATACTTCAAGGCTCAGCTCTGAAGTCAGGCAGGCAGAATTATTTGTTTTCTCTCCTTCATCTCCTTCCCTGCCTAGCCTCTTGGTATATTTTTTCATTTGACAAATACTGAGTGAGTGCACTGCACCAGGTATTGTTCTAGGCACTGCAAAAATAGCAGTGAACAAAACAAGAGTTCTGTCCTCAGGAGGTTACATTCTAGTGGGAGGACTCAGTCATACACTTAAGAAAATATAAACTAGCCTGGCGCAGTGACTCAGGCCTGTAATCCCAGCACTTTGGGAGGCCAAGGTGGGAGGACAGCTTGAGGCCAGGAGTTTGAGTCTAGTCTGGGCAACATGGTGTAACCCCATCTCTACCAAAAATACAAAAAATTAGCTAGGTGTGGTGGCCCACACCTGTGTTCCCAGCTACTCGGGAGACTGAGGTGGGAGGATCACCTGAGCATGGGAGGTGGAGGTTGCAGTGAGCCAAGATTGTACCACTGCACTCCAACCTGGGTGACAGTGAGACCCCATCTCAAAATAAATAAATAAATAAATAAAATAAAATATAAATGCAGTCAAATGATGATGTTTAGGAAACGATATAAGCTGGGTGTGGTGTCTCCTGACTGTAATCCCAGCACATTGGGAGGCTAAGGCAGGAACATCGTTAGAGCCCAGGAGTTCAAGTTCAAAGCCAGCCTGGGCAATGTAGCAAGACCTCATCTATTAAAAAAAAAAAAAGAGAGAGAGAGAGAAAGAGATACATCAGGAAAAGAGATACATCAGGAAAAGGGGATGTGATAGCCAGAGCCAGGAGTGTTACAACTTTAAGAAGGACTCCAGGGAAGGCCTCACTGAGAAGGTGATATTTGACCAAAGGAGTGGGGGAGGGGACAAGGCACACAGAGCAGAAAGAGCAGCCTGGGGAGGGCCAGGGCCAGCGTGAGAGCTGTGGGTCAGGAGTGCACCCAGTGTCTTACTGGAAGATCAAAAGGGAGGCCAATGCAATTGAGGCAGAGATGAGAGGGAATGGAAAGGGATGAAGTCGAAGAGGTGACTGGGGTGTTCCCTTGTGTGGCCTTGGAAGCATCTAACACAGCTCTTAGCAAACTGTTTTTTTAATTTTTTATTTTTATTTTTTATTTTTTCCTGAGACAGAGTCTTGCTCTGTCACCCAGGCTGGAGCGCAATGGCACAATCTCAGCTCACTGCAACCTCCACTTCCCAAGTTCAAGCGATTTTCCTGCTTCAACCTCCCGGAGTAGCTGGGATTACAGGCATGTGCCATTATGCCCAGCTAATTTTTGGATTTTTAGTAGAGACAGGGTTTCACCATGTTGTACAGGCTGGTCTCGAACTCCTGACCTCGTGATCTGCCCGCCTCAGCCTCCCAAAGTGCTGGGATTACAGGTGTGAGCCACCATGCCCGGCCTTTTTTTTTTTTTTTTAATCGTTGTTTGTTTGTTTCTAAGACAAGATCTCACTCTGTTGCCTAGGCTGGAGTGCAGTGGTGTGATCATGTATCCCTGCAGCCTCAACCTCCCGGGCTCAAGTGATCCTCCCACCTCAGCTTCCTGAGTACCTGGGTGTACCACTATGTCCAGTTAATTTTTTTTTATTTTTTGTAGAGATGGGGTCTTGCTGTGTTGCCCAGGCTGGCCTCAAACTCCTGGCCTTAATGGTCCCCTGCCTCAGCCTCCTAAAGTATTGGGATTACAGGTGTGAGCCATGCACTCTAATTATTGGTTTATCTTCCTATCTTCCCAATCAGAGGATGTTTCTTGGAAGCTGGGTCACTGATTCATTCATTCATTCATTCAATAAATGTTTCCTAGCTTCCACTGTGTGAAAAGGGCCCAGCTAATGGGAGATAGGAAAGAAAAAGACATGGCCCTGCCCTCAAGGAACTAACACCTCGCTGCTGATGCAAACCCCCTCCCCTCCACCACACATGATAAAACACTGTCTTTAGCTATGAAGGGAGTGTGACCAACTTTGGGGTTGCTGGATTGAAAGTTCATGAGTGAAGGTGACCCAAAGAAAGTGATGCTTAGCTTGAGTCTTAAGATTAAGTACAAGTTCATTAGGCAGATAGAAGGAAAGAATTCCAAGAGGCAACAGTGTGTGCAGAGGTAAGAGGTAAGAAATAGCACTGAGTGCTTAGAGACTTGTGATGACTGTGGTGTACCTGAGGCATGTGGCTCATAGTAAGCTCGGAAGGGACCAGATGAGGAAGGGCTTGTATTTTGCTCAGCACTTCATTCCCCTTGATTTCCAGCCCGGTACAGTACTTAGCACAGAGCAGGGGCTTGGGGAATATCTTGATGATTGCCACATTAATGACTCAGGATCTACAAACTCAGAGGATGTTCTAAGAGACATCTGATTCTGAGGTTTTAAGAATCTATTTTTGGCAATGGGCCTTTCTGAGTTTCCCTTTTTTTTTTTTTTAATTAGAGTTAGGGCTCACTCTGTCTCCTAGGATGGAGTGCAGTGGCATGATCATAGCTCCCTGCTGCCTCAAATTCCTGGGCTAGGGCGGGCCCGGTGGCTCACACCTATAATCCAAGCACTTTGGGAGGCCGAGGAGGGCAGATCACTTGAGGTCAGGGGTTCAATACCAGCCTGACCAACATGGCGAAGTCTCTACTAAAGAGACTTCTCTACTACATTTAGTCTCTACTAAAAAATACAAAAATTAGCCGGGCATGGAGGCGGGTGCCTGTAGTGCCAGCTACTTGGGAGGCTGAGGCAGGAGAATCACTTGAATCTGGGAGGCAGAGGTTAAGTGAGCTGAGATCACACCATTGCACTGCAGCTTGGGCAACAGAGTGAGACTCTGTCTAAAAAAAAAAAAAAAAAAATAGGCTGGGGGCAGTGGCTCACGCTTGTAATCCCAGCACTTTGGGAGGCTGAGGTGGGTGGATCACGAGGTCAAGAGATTGAGACCATCCTGGCCAACATGGTGAAACCCCGTTTCTACTAAAAATACAAAAATTAGCTGGGCATGGTGGCACGTGCCTGTAGTCCTAGCTACTGGGGAGGCTGAGGCAGAAGAATCGCTTGAACCTGGGAGGTAGAGGTTGCGGTGAGCGGAGATTGTGCCACTGCACTACAGCCTGGTGACACAACGAGACTCCATCTCAAATAATAATAATAATAATAATAAATAAATAAATTACTGGGCTCAAGCAATCCTCCTGCCTTAGCTTCCTGAGTAGCTGGGATTACAGGTGCATGCCATCATGTCACCAAGCCACCACACCTGGCTAAATTTTTTGACTTCTTACAGAGATCAGGTCCCACGATGTTGCCCAGGCTGGTCTCGAACTCCTGGGCTCAAGTGATCCTCCTGCCTTGGCCTCCCAGAGTCCTGGGGTTACAGGCGTAAGCCACTATGCCTCACCCCTTCTGAGTTTCTAATGGCAACTATGGACCCCCTATACAGAAAAATGCATACACCCCCATTTCAGGAGTTGCAAACAGCCTTGAAACCCATCCAACAGGCCTAGGCTAAGCACCCTGCTCTAACCCGTGACCCCCATTTCACAGAGAAACAGAGACCCACAGGGATAGGGTGGCTTGCCCACTGTTGTGCACCCCAGACCCCAGGATCTGGCTCCTGCCTCCTGGTGGTGGGCTCCTTCCCCTGCCAACCTGCTTTTGTCCAGGGTCCTGGTCCTGGCCACCCCCAGCCCCCAACATAGGCTCTGGAGCCCCTCTGACCTTGGTCTGCTTCTTCTCCGTAGCATAGACAATGGAGGTGCAGCACACCTCGGCGATTTTGCGGCCCTGCCCGTAGAAAGACCAGCAGCAGATCTCGTCCCCCAGGACATCCTTGAGGAAGAGTAGCCGCCCGTGGAAGCGCAGGGCCAGCTTGTCGAACAGCTCGATGTTCTTAAGTAGGTTGTCATCTGAAGTGCTGGGGACCAGGGGACCAGGAGGCCTCAGCGCAGTTGGCACCCCTCCCTCTGTACCCCCAGAAGACGGGCCTGGATGCATTCCCAGTCCTCTGCTCCTGCCCAGGGCTTTGGTGCTCAACAGAGAGCCTCCTCCACCCCTGGGGCCAGGCTAAACGGGTCTCAGAAGGGAAGCCACATGCGCTGAGCAAATCCCAGCACAGCACAGCACAGCAGCTCCAGTGAGGGACCGGGAGCCAGGCCACCTCCCCGGGGGTCCTGGTGTCCCCATTTTTTAACTGGGTGACACTAGGCAAGTTACTTCACCTCTTGGTGTCCCGACCTCCTCATCTGTAAAATGGAGCTCACAACAGTACTGACCTCAAGGGGGAGGACTCTGCCAGTTCCTAGAATGAGAGCACTTGGGATAGGCTCGCCACTATCACTTTGTCCTCACCCAAACCCATTTACTGATGACTGAGCTGAAGCTGAGAAGCAGAAAGGACCTGCCTAGAGCGTCAGGGGTAAGAGGCGAAGCCGAATCTGCGAGCAGGCACAGATGTTCTTGTAGGCCCCCCGTGTGGCCGTGGCCCTCGCCTTGGGCAGAAGCAGGGCTGTGCTGCATCCCAGGGTCCCGCCCAGTGCCCCGCACCCCGGCGGTCACCTGGTGTAGGAGTACTTGTTGTTACTGCGGTTGTGCAGGAGCTTCACCACGGGCTGGCGGGGGAGAGAGGATGGACGAGAGGGGTGAGGCTGCAGGGAGAGGCCCCCCCAGTGAGCCTCCACCCTGCAGGGCTTGGGGGCCTCACCTTGGAGGTGCTGGCCAGGAGCTGCTGCTCCTCCCGGGGAGATGTCACCATGGGGATGAGGCACAGCGGGGACAGCGTCTCCCTTTTTTGCTGGGGAAGAAGCGGAAGGTGGTTAACAGCACAACCAAAGGCCACGTACTCCCCCACTTAAAAGCCTTCAAAAGCTGGTTGGGAACAACTCCAGACTCCTCAGTGGTCCGCAGGGCTCTGCAGGCTCCAAGCTCCGCCAGCCTCTCTGCCACTCTCCCTTTGCTTGCTGGGCCTTGGTCCCACGGACACCTTGCTGCTTCACACATCCAGCTTGTGCCTGCCCCGGCCACTGGCTGTGCCCCTGCCCGGGATGCTTCTTTGCTCAGCTGTCAGCGTGGCGTGTCCGTCATGCCATTCAGATCGCAGGTCACACAGTGCCTCCTCAGGGCCAGCCCTCCCCAGCCCCCCTGGCTAAAACAGCCTCCTCTACATCCTGCCTTTTGTGTTATCAGTTTTCTTTTTCTTTTTTTGAGACAGAGTTTCGCTTGTTGCCCAGGCTGGAGTGCAATGGCGCCATCTCGGCTCACTGCAACCTCCACCTCCCGGGTTAAAGCAATTCTCCTGCCTCAGCCTCCTGAGTAGCTGGGATTACAGGCATGTGCCACCACACCCAGCTAATTTTGTATTTTTAGTAGAGACGAGGTTTCTCCATGTTGGTCAGGCTGGTCATGAACTCCCGAACTCAGGTGATCAGCCCGCCTCAGCCTCCCAAAGTGCTGGGATTACAGGCGTGAGCCACTGCACCAGGCCTATCAGTTCATTTTCTACACAGCAGTTAGTGTCTGACTTTTTCTAACTTTTTGTATTTGTTTATGATCTGTCTCTTCCCACCTAGGAATAACTACCTAGTATACAGCTGATGCTCTGTATTTGTTGAATGAATGAACATATTTGTTGAGTGAATGAACTTCATTGGGTGGGATGACGTTGGAGAAAGAAATCTGAAGCAAACCCATGGGCTTCTTTCTCTTCTGTCTTCTAGAATCTTCATGCCAAAATCCCTCTCACTTCTCCCAACCTTGAAAACTCAATGCGCAATTCTAATACAAATTCCAGATTTGTTTTTTGCAGAAACTCATAAGACTCTCTAAAATTAACAGAGAATAATAAAAGTCTACAATTACTGAGGCCATTTTTTTTTTTTTTTTTTTTTTGAGACAGGGTCTTGCTGTCATCCAGGCTGAGTGCAGTGGCATGACCACAGCTTACAGCAGCCTTGACCTCCTGGGCTCAAGCCATCCTCCCAAACTTAGGTCAGTTTTTAAAAATAAGAGCAAAGAGGAAAGGCCGACCCTGCCAGATATTAAGATAGGCTGCAAAGCCACAACAGTGAGAACGGTATCAGTTCGGGCACAGAAACAAAAATACCTGAGAAACACAACAGAGCGATCAGAAACAGACCACTGTGTATATGAGAATTGGTATTTTTAAAAAGACACCACAAATGTGCGAGGGGAATTACGGAGTATGAATTCGTTATCTATCACTGTGTAACAAACTGCCCCCAATTTAGGAGCTTAAATTAACAATATTTATTACTTCTGTTTCTGAGGGTCAGGATCTCAGCAGTGGCTCGGCTGGGTGGCTCCGGCACAGGGTCTCTTCTGAGGCTGTGGCCAAGATGTCAGTGGGGCTGTGGGCATCAAAGGCATGACCGCCCCTAGAGGATGCACTCTGAGAAAGCTTGTTCATGTGGCTGGCAAGTTCGCACTAGCTGCTGGCAGGAAACAACAAATCCCTGCCATGTAGATCTCTCCACAGGGTTGCTTGAGTATCCTCGCAGCATGGCAACTGGCTTCTCCAGAGCAAATAATTCCAGAGAGGGCAAGGTGGAAGCCTCATTGTCTTTTTTATTTTTGAGATGGAGTCTCACTGTGTCGCCCAGGCTGGAGTGCAGTGGCGTAATATCGGCTCACTGCAACCTCCGCCTCCCAGGTTCAAGTGATTTTCCTGCCTCAACCACCCAAGTAGCTGGGATTACCGAGGTGTGCCATCACGCCCAGCTAATTTTTGTATTTTTAGTAGAGACAGGGTTTCACCATGTTGGCCAGGCTGGTCTCAAACTCCCGACCTCAGGTGATCCACTCGCCTCAGCCTCCCAAAGTGCTGGGATTACAGACGTGAGCCACAGCGCCGGGCCCCTCCATTGTCTTTTATGACCTAGGTCTGTTGGTCCTATCCAGTGAGGAAGGAGATGACACACAGGAACGAGCACCAGGGGACGAGAATCATCAGGCTGCCTTGGTGGCTGGCTCCACAGGCCACCGCTGGCTCTCAGTGATTTCCCCCCTCCCACATGCCAAATATACTCACCACCTTCCAGGATCCCCCATCATCCCATTACAGCATCAGCTCAAAGTACAGAATCTCATCATCTCAGTCAGGTCCAGGTGGGGATGTGGCTCTAGCATGCAGTTCCGTAACTATGGCTCCTTAAGTGCATTTCTTTTTTTTTTTTTTTTTTGAAATGGAGTCTTGCTCTGTCTCCCAAGCTGAAGTGCAGAGCCACCACCATCTCACCTCACTGAAAACTCTGCTTCCCAGGTTCAAGTGATTCTCTTGCCTCAGCATCCCAAGTAGCTGGGACTACAGGCATGCACCACCATCCCAGCTAATTTTCTTTAGTAGAGACGGGATTTCACCATGTTGGCCAGGCTCGTCTTTAACTCCTGACCTCAGGTGATCCACTTGCCTTGGCCTCCCAAAGTGTTGGGATTACAGGCGTGAGCCACCGCATCCAGCCCTTAAGTGCATTTCCTATCTGCAGACCTGTGAGCTAAAGAGACAGGTCATCTCCACACTCCCAGTGTGCAGTGGTAGAGGCAGGCACAGGATAACCAGTAAGGACATTCTTGCTCAAAAGCAGGGGAAGCCGGGCGTGGTAGCGTGTGCCTGTCATCCCAGCTACTCAGGAGGCCAAGGTGGGAGGATTACTTGAGCCCAGGAGTTCGAGACCAGCCTGGGCAACATAGCAAGACTCTGTCTCAAAAAAAAAAAAAAGTGGGGCAGGGGACAGGAGGCACATATAAGTCATACATATAAGTCACTGGTGTGTGGAAATTCTGTAATCCAGTTGGAGAAATGCTAGGAACTCTTTGATGCCTACTCCTGTTCATGAATGATTCTCCATGGCTCTCCCTGAGTCGTCCCACCTCTTCCATGAAAGATGTTTGCAGCTCCACAGTTTCATCTGCCTGCTTCCTGCCTGTAAAAGTTTGGGTGTGCAAAGCCGTCTTGTCCTTTTGCACTGGCTCTGTCCCTTTCAGTCCAAGCTGGCAGTGTCTCTGCCAATATAATTCTCTTCATAACTTATTGGGTATCTTGCATGTCTTAGGGTTCACTACATTAGAAAAAAGCCACACCTAGAAATCTCTGCAAGTGGCCAGGCACAGTGGCTCACGCCTGTAATCCCAGCACTTTGGGAGGCCGAGGTGGGTGGATCACCTGAGGTCAGGAGTTTGAGACTAGCCTGACCAACATGGTGAAACCCCATCTCTACTAAAAATACAAAAATTAGCTGGGCGTGGTGGTGGGCACCTGTAATCGCAGCTACTCAGGAGGCTGAGACAGGAGAATCACTTGAACCCAGGAGGAGGAGGTTGCAGTGAGCTATCTCAAAAAAAAAAAAAAGAAAAGAAAAAGAAAAAAGAAAATCTCTGCAAGGTAAGCCCTTCTCTACTTTGGGCTTGTGCTGAGACGCTGAAAGACAACACCTTTAACCTTCTCAGAAGCGTGATTATTATTTCATTCGACTGGAAGTCCCCTCTGAGGCATCTTGTTGGTATTTCTGAGGTCTTAACAAAGGACTTTTTCATCACATCCTCAGCTTGACCTTTAGACCACATTTCCCTGTATTTAATGCCTTGTATTTAATCTTTGCACGGAAGCCATTTGTTAATTTTAACATCACTTGTTATCTGGAAAGGCTGGGAATTTTCAAACCCAACAATTTCAGGCTCTTTTTCATTTAAGTGTTTTTTTTCTTTAACTTACTCTCTCCTCTTCAGTTTTACTATAAGCAGCAAGAAGCCAGGTGGCACCTTCAACATTCTGTCTGGAAAGCTCCTTAGCTAGACCATCCGTTCCTTAGGTATATTTCCTACCCTCCACACTAATGCAGGAGACAGTGTTGCTAAACTTTCTGCCGCTACACAAGGATCTCCTTTCCATCAGTTTCCAATAGCATTTTCCTAACTGTTCTTCAAGCCCTTATTGCAGCTGTCTTAAAGGTCACTGGACTCTTATTAACAGACTTTCTCACCTTTTTTCTTTTAATTTTTTTAGAGACAAGGTCTCACTATATTGCTCAGGCTGGTCTCGAACTCCTGAACTCAAGTGATCCTCCCACCTTGGCCTCCAAAAGTTATGGTATTACAAGTGTGAACCACTGTGCCCAGCCAATACTTTTTAACACTCCTTAAGCTTTTACTAACAATCTCCTCAAAGTCCTTCCAGCTTCTTCCCACTTCTCAGTTGTAAAGTTACTTCTACATTTGAGGTTTCTGTTATGGCAGACCCCCATTCCAGAAACCAAAGTCTGTTCTCTGTTACTGGGTAACAAATTACTACAAACTCAGCAGCTTAAAACAACAGTCCAGGTGTGGAGGCTCATGCCTGTAATCTCAGCATTTTGGGAGGCCAAGGCTGGAGGACTGCTTGAGGTCAGGAGTTCGAGACCAGCCTGGCCGACAGAGCAAGACTCTGTCTCTATTTAAAAATAAATAAATAAAAATAAACATTATCTCACATAGTTTCTGTGGGTCAGGAATTTGGGATGGGCTTAGCTGGGTGGCCCTGGCCCAGAATCTGTCATGAAGCTGCAGTCTGGATTTTGGCTAGGGCTGCAGTCATCAGAAGGTTTGCCTGGGCCTAGAAGCTCTGGTTCTGAGACAGGTCACCACTATGGCGGGGAGTCTGTGCTTGCTGTCGGCAGGGGCTTCAGTTCCTCACCAAGTGGACCTCTGCTTAGGGATGCCTGAGTGTCCTCACATAGCATTCACATAGAGTGAGTGATCTCAAAGAGAGGCAGAAGCTGTAATGTCTTTTATGACCTAGCTTCAAAGTCACATGCTGTCATTTCTGCAATGTCCTATTGGTCATACACAAGGGTCTCCTTGGTGAGGATCTGAAAAGGTCTGCCCTATTTGGTGTGGGAGGGGACTGAACAAGAGCCTGGAAACCAGGAGGCAAGAACCCCTGGTGGCTGTCTTGGGTGCTGGCTACCTCTGGACTGTTTAATACCTGGCACTGGGAAAACTACCTCACCCTATGGAAGACAAAAATGAGCTAAATCCCTTCACAATCATATTTACAAAAGTGAGTTCCATTTAGATTAAAATACCCATATATGAAAAAAATCCATATTTAAAACTATAGGTCAGGTATAGCGGATCACACCTGTAATCCCAGCACTTTGGGAGGCCGAAGTGGGCAGATCGCTTGAGCTCAGGAGTTTGAGACCAGCTTGACCAACATGGCAAAACCCCCTTTCTACAAAAAATACAAAAATTAGACGGGTGTGGTGGCTCATGCTTGTAATCCCAGCACTTTGGGAGACCAAGGCGGGCGGATCACGAGGTCAGGAGTTCGAGACCAGTCTGGCCAACGTCGTGAAACCCCATCTCTGCTAAAATACAAAAATTAGCCAGGCATGGTGGTGCACGCCTGTAATCCCAGCTACTCAGGAGGTTAGGGCAGGAGAATCGCTTGAACCCGGGAGGCAGAGGTTGCAGTGAGCCGAGATCATGCCACTGCACTCCAGTCTGGGCAATAGAGTGAGACTCCATTTAGAAAAATAAAAAATAAAAAATCAGCCAGGTGTCATGGTGCACGCCTGTAATCGCAGCTACTCGGGAGGCTGAGACATGAAAATTGTTTGAACCTGGGAGGTGGAGGTTGCAGTGAGCCGAGATGACACCATTGAACTCTAACCTGGGTGACAGATCAAGACTCTGCCTCAAAAAATAAAAATAAAACTACAAAGCTCACAGGTAACAGAAAATCAGAAAAACATTTTTAAACAAGACCATAAGGATACAGCATTAGGCAAAAAATGGTGAGGAATTGGACTACATCCAAATCAAGAATTTTTCAAGTTGACAATGGAAAGCATGACTTTACAAATAATCTCATGTAATAATGTTGAAGAGAAAAGACTTATAGGTATTCTGTGGCACAAATGTAATTACTGGTTCAGGTAAGGATTATCAATTTGTGTGTCATTGATAGGTAACTGCCTTAATACAGTGGCCAAATACCATATGCATTATTTTATAGTTAGCAACAAGGAAATGTAACAATGATAGAGAAATCAAACCACCATCCCCTAGATCCAGGGGCCAATTATGAACGTCATTAATGACGAGTCATATTAACAATATTATGGGTTGCTTGATGTGGCCCAACGTGAAATACATACATAATATTACCTAAAATGTATTCTAAACAAAATGTTTAATATCAGTCATTTTATTTATTTTATTATTTATTCATTTATTTTGAGACAGAGTCTTGCTCTGTTGACCAGGCTGGAGTGCAGTGGTGCAACCTTGACTCACTGCAACCTCTGCCTCCCAGGTTCATATAATTCTTCTGCCTCAGCCTCCTGAGTAACTGGGACTACAGGCACCCACCACCACTCCCAGCTAATTTTTGTAATTTTTTATTTATTTATTTATTTATTTTTGAGATGGAGTCTCGCACTGTTGCCCAGGCTGGAGTGCAGTGGCACGATCTCGGCTCACTGCAACCTCTGCCTCCCCAGGTTCAAGCGATTCTCCTGCCTCAGCCTCCTGAGTAGCTGGGATTACAGATGCCCACCACCAGGCCTGGCTAATTTTTTTGTATTTTTAGTAGATACAGGGTTTCACCATGTTGGCCAGGCTGGTCTTGAACTCCTGACCTTGTGATCCACCTGCCTCAGCCTCCCAAAGTGCTGGGATTACAGGCATGAGCCACCGCACCTGGCATAATTTTTGTATTTTTAATAGAGATGGGGTTTCACCATGCTGACCAGGCTGGTCTCAAACTCCTGACCTCAAGTGATCCACCTGCCTTGGCCTCCCAAAGTGCTGGGATTATAGGCGTGAGCCACCGTGCCCACCCAATATCAGTCATTTAAAATCTACAGTCTGGTTTACAGGAAATTAAGGATAAGGCTGGGTAATAAACCAAACGATACCGGGAGTAAACAACCAGGCAAAGTTGGAAAGCGGGTCATTGTGCAGGACAACTGGCAGTCTCTTTAACAAGCCAGCATCGTGAGGAAAAAGGGACCCCTTGGATTGTAATAAAGTAATGCTTATGGTATTATTTGGCTTATGTAATAAAGTAATGCTTATGGTATTATTTGGCTTATGTAATAAAGTAATGCTTATGGTATTATTATGGTAACTGTATTAAGGCAGTTACCTATCAATGATAATCCTTACCTGAACCAGTAATTACATTCGTGCCATAGAATACCTATAACTCTTATCATCTCTTCAACATTATTACATGAAACTATTTGTAAAGTCATGCTTTCCATTGTTAACTTGCAGATAACCAGATGCAACGTGAAGATCTAGACTGGACCCTGGTTTGATGAACCAGCTGTAAAAACACATTTCTGGAACAACTGGAGAAACCGGAGTATGCCCTGGACTGGATATTAAATAAAAATTTATTGACATGTAAAGATGGCAATTATTAACAACAACAAAAAACAGATTATAAAACATTTCATACAACACGATTGTATTTTGGCAAGCAAACACACACACACACACATACTCTCACACAGGAAACGACCTGGAAGAATATTTGGTGCTTTTATTTTTTAGATTATTTGTGTTTCTGAAATTTCTACAATTAATAAATACTGCTTTAAAATAATCAATGGTTATTTGTAATTTTAAAAAATCAAGGATTTCCATTCAATGCTAGATGCCACAAGTGGGTGACATTCTAAGAAAAAATATTGGCGATATCTACATTGACTAGAAATTTTTATCTAGAACAGACTTTTTCAACTGAAGTTCCTCATCTGAATCTCAAAAACCAGCAAATATGGCCAGGCACGGTGGCTCACGCCTGAATCCCAGCACTTTGGGAGGCCAAGGCAGGTGGATCACTTGAGGTCAGGAGTTCGAGACCAGCCTGGCCAACATGGCGAAACTCCATCTCTACCAAAAATATGATAAAATTAGCCAGGCATTGTAGTGCACACATGTAGTCCCAGCTACCCGGAAAGCTGAGGCAGGAGAATCACTTGAACCCCAGAGAGGGAGGTTGCAGTGAGGTAAGATCGCGCCACTGCACTCCACCCTGGGCGACAGAGCAAGACTCCACCTCAAAAAAAGAAAAACAAAAACAAAAACAAAAAAACAGCAAATAATTTGAGTGTTTTCTGAACTTTGCTGAGAACAGTAGGTAAATAGTCCCATGCTACAGGCTTAGAGGTTAATTTGTTATGTATATAATCCATGCCCTAGGGAATGTATAAGACATACCCATATGCAGTAGGGCTTAATTATCCCTAGGAACTAAACTAAAATATGCAAGGATCTCCTGCTAAGCAACATGAAAAAGAAAAAAGCAGAAAATCTGGTAAAGAACATGAATAAGCAATTCACAGGAAGGGAAACAAAAAAACACTAGTGAGTATATGAAAAGATGCTGAACCTCATTAGTAATCAGAGGCATGCAAATGAAAATGAGATCACGCTACACTCATTGGATTGGCAAAATTAGAAAGCTGGATGATGCCATGTCTTGATGAGGACATGCAGAAATGTAATCTCTTATGCACTGCTCATTATGAGGATAAAGTATTATAACCATTCGGGAGAGCAATTAGATGATATTTACTAAAACGCCGTTTGCAGGTGTCCTGTTATCCAGCAATTCTACTCCCAGCTACAATGACAGGAGACTGGCACAGAATCAGAAGGGAGCATGTACCAGGATGCTCATGGTGACACGGTTTGTAGGGGCAGGAACTGGAAGGCAATCTAGGTCTCCAACCTCAGGGGAATGTATGAACAAAATATGGTGAATGAACACCGCAGATTTCTCTGCAGCTGTTAGAAGCAAAGAACTAGATGTACTTGGAGCAGCATGAATAGATCTTGAAAAAAAGTGCTGAATTAAAAAAACACAATGCAACAGAAACTGATTCACAGCTTCAATGCCATTTATGGACATTTAAAATGCACACATATGCAGAACAATGCTTTAGCTTTTCGAGCATATGTATCAAAACATTAAAATTGGATGGGTGCCCCTGGGAAAAAGGAAAGTAGGCAGGGGACTGGGAATGAAGGGAAAGAAATAAAACTAAAAGACAAAAGGTTTGCATAGACCAATATTGATGAAGTGCCACACACTGAGGAGTGTGCTGAGCTGCGTGAGGTGCAGAGGGAACCTGGAAAGGAGAGAGCAGGAGTATAGAAAAGTACAGCTCTTGGGAGGCTGAAGGTCAGATAGTCAGGTAGCCTGGGGTCAAATCTGAGCTCTGCTGCTTCCCAGCTCTTTCACCTTGGACACGTCTTCCAAGCTCCCTCGCGTTTCTTTTTACGTCAAACAAGGATACAAGATGTATACACAAGCAGATAGCAGAATTGCTCCTGACACACAGTGGGTACATGATGACATTAGTAAATTTAAAACTACAGGCCGGGTTTTAAAACTTTAGTTTTAACATTAGTAAATTTAAAACTACAGGCCGGTGGCTCACGCCTGTAATCCCAGCACTTTGGGGGGCCAAGGCGGATGGATCACGTGAGGTCAGGAGTTCGACACCAGCCTAACAAACATGGTGAAACCCCGTCTCTACTAAAAATACAAAAAAGTAGCAAAGCGTGGTAGCAGGCGCCTGTAATTCTAGCTACTTGGGAGGCTGAGGCAGGAGAATTGCTTGAACCTGGGAGGCAGAGGTTGCGGTGAGCCAAGATCACGCCATTGCACTCCAGCCTGGGCGACAGAGAGACTCTGTCTCAAAACAAAACAAAAATGCTACAGAGCAGGAATGCACTTCCAAGATCTAGTACAATGAATGTTTCTCAAATGCAAGTGGTAATTTATTAATGGGTCATGAAATAAGTAATGGGTCCCAAACAGCATTAAAAAGAAAGATTATCAGAGTACATTTCACTAAAAGTATCTTTTTATAGAACTGTTATTTCAGTTATATATAATGAGTACTAAAATGCATTTTTTCCCTATGGCAGGCAATCAAAAAGTTTGAAAAACATGGATATTGTCCAAAGGAGTTCTACACCTTTGGGCTTCAAGAACCAGTAAGTATTCCCTGAGACAAAAGTTGTTCAGGGAGGCAACCTTTTAATCTATAAAGGGCATTCAAAAAGAAACTTTTATAATCTTCTCTTACTATTGTAACATAAAAGAAAGGACATTTTTAACATTGTAAAAATAGAACAGAATAACAGGCTTTATGTAAAACTCACTACTTTGTACTTATTTTTCTCCCTTCCCTGTCTTTCGGAACCCGAGGACAGAATCCCAGAGGTAGGAATGGACTCACTGAAGGTCACTGAGTCAGCTGTGACAGAGGTGACACAGAACCCTTATGTCCTGGCTTCACTTTCCAAGCTCTGCTCCTCAGAACCCTAAGGGGTCCACAAAAGTGGAGCCTAGCAGGTGGGGTCTCTAGAATCCCCAACCCTGTTTTACTGGGAGTGGCCCTGCTTCTGTGAGATTTCATTTGAATAAAGAATTTCACTGTTTAAAAAAAAAAAAGAATTAGAAAGCTCCTGGGGGGCGGAAGCCATGGGAGAATGCTGCCTCCCAGGATAGGGCCAGATCGCAGAGGTTATTATATTTCAATTTAAATTTAGATGTTTTTCCCTAGTGACATGAGGGAGCTATTTAGGATTTCTAAGCAAGAGAGAGAATAGATCGGGGTTGTGCTGAAAGATAATTACTCAGGTGCGAGTGTAACAGCTGGACTGGCTGCATAGGAACAGTGGGAAGTAGAGAGCAGCTATTTAACCATTGCAAAGGTCCTGGCATGAGGCTGGGGTGGGGGTGCTGCCTGAGGCGGCAGGGATGCAGAAGATGGCACCTCAAATTCTCTGGGGTTATGGCCAGCCAAAGCCAGGCTCTCCAAGCCATACCCCATATCTCCTTTTTTCTGCTCTAATACCTGCTTGGGCAGCTCTCCCAGGAACATAGGCATGGGGACTCCGAAGGCCCTCACCTGCAGCGCCAGCTGGCAGTCCTCAATCAGGCCCTGCACCAGGTAGTAGCGTGCTTCGCCCAGCAGCTCCCCCAGTTCTCTCGTACTCTCCGGCAGTGGCACAGACCCATCCCGCAGGTAATTGAGGATTGTACCAAAGTGACGGCCGCTCCGGTCAATCAGCACCCAACCTAGTGGGGTGGGGAGAGGCAGGGGGAAAGATGGCTTTGCTGCGGGACCTGGAGCTACTAAATTAAAAAAAAATTTTTGTAGAGATGGAGTCTCACTATGTTGCCCAGGCTGGTCTTGAACTCCTGGGCTCAAGTGATCCTCCCATCTCGGCCTCCCAAGTACTTGGATTATAGGTGTGAGCCACCAAACCTGGCCTAAATTATAAGAAAAAAGGATTCCAGCCAGGCGCGGTGGCTCATGCCTATAATCCCAGCACCTTAGGAGGCTGAGGCAGGCAGATCACCTGAGGTCAGGAGTTTGAGACTAGCAGGACCAACACGGAGAAACCCCATCTCTACTAAAAATACAAAATTAGCTGGGCTTGGTGGCTGGTGCCAGCTACTCGGGGGGGGGCGAGGCAGGAGAATCGCTTGAAGCCGGGAGGTGGAGTTTGCAGTGAGCCGAGATCGCGCCATTGCACTCCAGCCTGGGTAATAAGAGGGAAACTCCGTCTCAAAACAAAAAAATAAAAAAAGAAAAGTAAAGAAAAGAAGGCCGGGCACGGTGACTGACGCCTGTAATCCCAGCACTTTGGGAGGCCGAGGTGGGCGGATCACCTGAGGTCAAGAGTTCGAGACCAGCCTGACCAACATGGAGAAATCCCGTCTTTACTAAAAACACAAAATTAGCCGGGCATGGTGGCGCATGCCTGTAATCCCAGCTACTCAGGAGGCTGAGGCAGGAGAATTGCTTGAATCCGGGAGGTGGGGGTTGCGGTGAGCCGAGATCGTGCCATTGCACTCCAGCCTGGGCAACAAGAGTGAAACTCCATCTCAAAAAAAAAGAAAAGAAAAGAAAAGAAAAGAAAAAGGATTCCAAAGCCACAAAAAAGTCTGAATACTGATCTGTCTCAAACCTGTGCCACAGCCAAGAAATCTCTTTAAAACATCTCCAGCGAGTTCTCCCTTAAGTTTTTATACATATTCAACCAGATAATTAACTCATCCATATCTGGTCTACAGTCAGAAGGCTCTCACCATGAGAAAGTTCTTGCAGAATTACCTTATCAATAAACTGTTAACCCCCGAAGTTAATTCTCACCATCCTATTTAATTAAAATGTCTACCTCCCCCCGTCCAGTTCACTGCCATTTTAACTTTTATATTCTTCATAGAGCTTACTATCAAAAAAAGAAAAAAGAAAGAACTTACTACTATCTGCAATTGCATATGCATATACATTTTGTTTACTTGCTTATTGGTCTTCTGATCTCCCACTTCCCTAAAAAAAGGGAATTTCCATAATTTTGTCAGGTTCATTTACCTATCTCCAGCACTAACTGATATTTTACAAATACTTATTGGACAAATGAATTCTTCCCTTTTTTTTTTTTTTTTTTGAGACAGTCTCTCTCTGTCGCCCAGGCTGGAGTGCAGTGGCGCTGTCTCGGCTCACTGCAACCTCCGCCTCCCAGGTTCAAGCGATTCTCCTGTCTCAGCCTCCCGAGTAGCTGGGCTACAGGCGCACACCACCACGCCCGGCTAATTTTTGTATTTTTAGTAGAGACGGGGTTTCGCCATATTGGTCAGGCTGGTCTCGAACTCCTGACCTCAGGTGATCCACCGCCTCGGCCTCCCAAAGTGCTGGGATTAAAGGCGTGAGCCACCGCACCTGGCCGAATTCTTCACCTTTGATACTTGAAGGCAGATCTCCGCCTCTCAAATTTTTATTCTCCTGCTCTCACAGTCCTCGTTAACCCCTCCCTTAAGACTCTCCCACTCCCAAACTCCAAAACTTCAAAGTCTCACTTGGGCACGAAGGGTCCATACTTGAATGCAACACTCCAAGAAGGTAAGGTTCACCTGCCAAGGAGACCTGTCCACCCTCCACTCTGGTGTCCCTGGCAAACCCAAAGCAGCCTCCTTCTGCAATGTGTGTATACAGGTGGATTCCTAGAGTGTACAGGGACCTGTGTCAGGGGAACACAGAGGCAAACAAGATCTCCCAGCTCTCCTGGCTGGCTGTGAGCAGTTCTGAAGCAGAGAGGGAAACAAAAGGCTGGGCAGTCGGAAGAAACTGAGGAAGGCTGCCAGGAGTAGTACTGCAGGCAGCAGGGCTAGTTCCCAAGTCTTGAGCTGAGGGGTGAAGGGTGGGAGAGGTGGTCATGAGGATTATGAACTGACACGTTCAATCACTTACCACAGCGCCTGGCAGTTAGGGGTTCCGTAAGTGTTGGTTATTGCTGGGGGTAAAGGATTGGGGGAGGAGAAGAGAAATTATGAATGAGAAAGGGGAGGAGATGGGATGTGGGGGCTGGAGGGAGCTGAGAATGAGTTGACTGGACAGTAGCGGGCAGAGAGAAGGGGCATGAGGAGCCCCGGTGGTGAGAGACTGCGGGGAACGGGAGTTGGGGGTCTGGGGTGGGGGCACGGTAGGGGCGCCGCTCGTACCTCCGGCATCGGTCAGCACCTCCACGCGGCCGCTGAACATGGCTTTGAGCATGGTGTCCTGTCCCGTGAGGGTGCGCAGCGTGGTGTAGTGCAACGAGCCGCCCACGTTCAGCTTCACGTATTTGCTGTTCGGGGTCAGCGGCTTGAGACCGTAGGCGGCGGGGCCAGGCTCGAGACCCGAGGGCTTGGGGGCTTCCAGGGACGGGGCCGCGGCGGCAGCCGGGCCCGAGGCCTCCGCCGACATGCCGGGTAGCAGCGGCGGACGGCGATCCCAGGATCTCTCCGCGCCCTGCGGCCTGCTCCCGAAGACCCTCGGCCGGCCCCCAGCCCTTGGGCCAGACCGCTCGGCGCACACGCCCACTCACCGCAGCTACTCTGCAAGACCGGCCCTCCGCCCCATCTCGCTCGCACCACCCGGAAGCCGGCGCCGGGCAGCTGCGCAGGCGCGGCCCCGCCCCTGAATGGGGGCGGGGCTGCGAGTATGGAGCATGCGCAGTGGCCTCGCTGGGGGATCCCGTAGAGGTTTGGCGTGTGGCCTGCGGGTTCCCCGGGCGGGTCGACGTGCGCTCCTCTCTGGTCTCGAGTCACCAGGACCAGATCGAGGATGCGGCCGACCCCCTGCCCGATGTGGAAAGCGAAGTCTCCACCTCGTGATTGGGTCTCTGCTGTCAGAGAGCTTCACGAGCTTGAGGGGAAACAGACAGAGAGGTCTGGGCATTGGGCAGTTTCCCGCCTCCCAGCCCCGCGCACTGAACAGACTGTGACCAGAACTGCGAACAAAGCGCGGAGGGAAGCTCTTAAAGGAGGCCAAAGCGGCCGGGCGCTGTGGCTCACACCTGTAACCCCAGCCTGTAAGCCTAGCTACTCGGGAGGCCGAGGCAGAAGGAGCGCTTGAAGCCAGGAGTTGGAAGCTGCAGTAATCCGTGATCGGACCGTTGCACTCTAGCCTGGGCAACATAACGTCCTTTGAAAAAAAAAAAAAAAACAGAGGCCAAAACGGGTAGCAGTGGTGCCCGGGCACCAAGGATGGAAGGCCTCTCTGAGGAGGTGATGCCGAGCTGAAGCTGGGAAGCGGATGTGAGGGAAGAGTTCCAGGCAGAGGGAAGGCAAATGCAGAGATCCTCAGGCAGGAACACTGAACTGTTCTCCGTATTTGAGGAGCAGAGGGCGTGTCAGTGGTGGCCGCAGCAGCTGAGCAAAGGTCTTAGAATCCCAGCTAATGTCGTGGGACCTAGCACCCAATCCCAAAAGAAAGAAGAATAGATAGGAACCCACTGTTGACAAGAAGGTGCACTGAGAAGTGTTTTTATCTGACCCGATCTGCATCCAGTTTAGAAGCCGATACATCAGGGATTTAACAATCTGTCTTAATGTCTAGCAAGGGGGGTTGCTGGAGGGAAAACACAGAGTCAGAGTTCTATCTTCAGCCCTGCCAGCAGGTCCCTGGGAGATGCTAGACGAGTGACTTTTCTCTGGGCGTGGTTGGTGTAAGGGATGCACACGCAGGAGGAAGGTCGGAGTGTAAATGTGTGACCTGGGCCTGTTACTGGGTATAAATGGGCCTGTAGTGACCGGGAGCTCATGTTCTACCAAAGGGGTTGCCAATTTTCTGATTTCGAGTGTGGCGGTGTAAAAGAGAAAAGCAACTGCTGCCAGCTGGGAGCTGGTTTGCACCCTCACTCCAGAAGCCTTGATGTTGCTAGGAGCTGACCTGGCACCAACAGCACGGCCATGGTGGTGTCCTGTTGAGCAAAATAATTTCACAAAAAACATCAGACAAGGTCACTCTCTGACTGATCTAGAAAAAGACCATTCCATAATAAAGCCTCAATACAGAAACAAGAACATTGTCCAAACCACAAAAATTACCAACACAATCCTCTCTCCCACAGCGTAAGTTACTGCTGCTTTTTTTTTGGTTGTTGTTTTTGTTTGTTTTGTTTTGTTTTTGAAATGAAGTCTTGCTCTGTTACCCAGGCTGGAGTGCAGTGATGCAATCTTGGCTTACCACAACCTCCACCTCCAGGTTCAAGCGATTCTCCTGCCTCAGCTTCCAGAGTATCTGGGATTACAGGCACCCACCATCATGCCCAGATCATTTCTGTATTTTTAGTAGAGACGGGGATTCACCAAGTTGCCCAGGTGAGTCTTGAACTCTTGACCTCCGGTGATATGCCCACCTTGGCCTCCCAAAGTGCTGGGACTACAGGTGTGAGCCACTGCACCTGGCCACTGCTGCTTCTTTACCAAGTACAGTTTTAGCTTGATTCATTCCTCCCATCTTCTAGATAAGAATTATTAAGATAACCAAAAAGAATTATCCCTACTTCCTGATAGCATCCAACCCAGAGCAAATGCCCCCCTTTTTGGACCCGCCTAGGAAGTCCCCTAATGAAAGTTCCAATCCTGTAATAAGTCCTTTCACACATGTTCTTGCTGAGATGTCTGTGGTGTTCAGCCTCCCTTGTTCAACTACAGGTGCTTCCTGGTGGTCCTTGGTTGGAGGGTACTATCAGAAATGGAGGAGCAACAAAGATTCAGCTGAAGCCCTCACTGCCTGGGACTGGGACCCTTGACTCGTCATTGTATGCACACCTGAAACTGCTTATGTCGCTGAGGTGCCAACCTGCTGATGGTTGGAAGCTAATTGAGTTCTGATATTGTGTTGATACCCTTAAGCATTGGGTTTACTTTTTATTTTAATTAATTAATTAATTAATTTTTGAGACAGAGTTTCACTCTTGTTGCCCAGGCTGAAGTGCAATGACACGATCTCGGCTCACCGCAACCTCCGCCTCCTGGGTTCAAGCAGTTCTTCTGCCTCAGCCTCTTGAGTAGCTGGGATTACAGGCATGCACCACCACACCTGGCTAATTTTATATTTGTAGTAGAGACAGTTTCTCCATGTTTGTCAGGCTGGTCTCAAACTCCTGACCTCAGGTGATCCACCCGCCTCGGCCTCCCAAAGTGCTAGGATTACAGGCGTGAGCCACCATGCCTGGCCATATTTTTTATTTTTCATTTTTTACTTTTTGAGATAGGGTCTCACTCTGTTGACCAGGCTGGAGTGCAGTGGTACGACTCAGCTCACTGCAACCTCTGCTTCCCAGCTCAAGTGATTCTCCAGTTTCAGCCTCCTGAGTAGCTGGCACTAAAATTAACCAATGCCGGTTAATTTTTTTTTTTTTTTTTGGCGGGGGACAGAGTCTCGCTCTGTCTCCCAGAGTGGAGTGCAGTGGCGCTATCTCTGCTCCCTGCAAGCTCTGCCTCCCGGGTTCAAGCAATTCTCCTGCCTCAGCCTTCTGAGTAGCTAGGGTTACAGGCATGCGCCACCACACCTGGCTAAGTTTTGTATTTTTAGCAAAGATGGGGTTTCTCCATGTTGGTCAGGCTGGTCTCAAACTCCTGACCCCATGATCTGCTCACCTTGGCCTCCCAAAGTTCTGGGATTACAGGCATGAGCCACCACACCCAGGAATGCCGGTTAAGTTTTATATATATATTTTTTTGTAGAGATAGGGTTTCACTCTGTTACCCAGGCTGGTCTCAAACTCCTGAGCTCAAAGCAATCCTCCCACCTTGGCTTCCCAAAGTGCTGGGATTATAGATGTGAGCCACCATGCCCTGCCAAGCATTGGGTTTATTTGGTTTTTCAGTTTTTTTACTCCTGGAATAAGGCCCCCACACTGGATTTTTGGTTATCTGATCAAATATTTATTTTGTCCTTGGTGCAATTGTTTTCTGTCCTTCTACACTCATTCCTATGGTGTTTTCTTGTCTAGTATTTTGAATATTGTTTGTCTATAAGAGGCAAAGTCGATATAAAAAGGATGGATGTAGGCTGGGCGCGGTGGCTCAGGCCTGTAATCCCAGCAACTTTGGGAGGCTGAGGTGGGTGGATCACCTGAGATCAGGAGTTCAAGACCAGCCTGGCCAAAATGGTGAAACCCCGACTACTAAAAATGCAAAAAATTAGCTGGGTGTGGTGGCAGGTGCCTGTAATCCCAGCTACTTGGGAGGCCAAGGCAGGAGAATCGCTTGAACTTGGGAGGCAGAGGTTGCAGTGAGCCGAGTTCGTGCCATGGCACTCCAGCCTGGGCGACAGAGAAAAAAAAAAAAAAGTCTCTGTCTCAAAAAAAAAAAAAAAAGAAAAGAAAAGGATGGATGTGTAGCCTCGGATGTCTAAGGGCATCACAAACCTATTATTGCTGAATCTCTGGTGACCGAACACAACTTATCCCTCTAGGAAGGTAGGGATGCCAACTGTTGAGGGGTTGTGCAACTAGTTAGCATCCGAGAGTCTTATTTGTTATCAGAATTAACCAGAGAAATCACTCCAGCAACCAAGAGCCAGTAAGTGTGTCCTACAACCAGCTCCAGAGACTGTACAATTCGGAAGGTATTCTCAGACTAATGTCCTTTGGGTAAACTTTGCCCAGGTCACCATTTCTTTTTTGTTTTTGTTTTTTGAGACAGAGTTTTACTCTTGTTGCCTGCTGAAGTGCAATAGGACAATCTCAGCTCAGCTGCAACCTCCACTTCCCGGGTTCAAGTGATTCTCATGCCTCAGCCTCCTGAGTAGCTGGGATTACAGGTGCCTGCTACCATGTCCGGCTAATTTTTGTATTTTTGATAGAGACAGGGTTTCACCATGTTGGCCAGGTTAGTCTCGAACTCCTGACCTCAGGTGATCCACCCACCTCTGGCTCCCAAAGTGTTGGGATTACAGGCATGAGCCACCACGCCCAGCCCCAGGTCACCATTTCAAAGCCTTGAAAAGGATTTCTTTGGTTTTGTCTATGTCCTTGCAAACTGCTTTGTTTCATTTCTTCTGCTCAGTATCAGGGGGCTTTCTCTGGCCTCTGATCAGCGATGGTGTTTGGCCACATTCTAGAGATACGAAGTTGTATAAGCACCATTCTTTTAGACCCCAGTCACAACTAAAATTGGGCCAAAGACCTGCTCCCTTCATGTTTTCTCACGATTGCAATAACATGTACCCATATATCTGTAACTGACACAATTTCACCAGGGACAGTTTGTAATTGCCGTAGCCATTTGGTGGAACTTTTGATAATAACAAGATTGTTCATTTGGGAGGTGCCTCAGAACACAAAGGGAAGAAACCTTTGTGAGATTGTTTGCCTTGTTTGTTAAAAACAAAGATTATTTTGTTTAACATAGGCAATATTTCATTTACCTATTTTGCATATTAATAAATGCTGTCGGCCAGGCACAGTGGCTGACACCTGTAATCCCAGCACTTTGGGAGGCTGAGGCGGGCGAATCACTTGAGGTCAGGAGTTTGAGACCAGCCTGGCCAACATGGTGAAACCCCGTCTCTACTAAATATACAAAAATCAGCCAGGCTTGGTGGTGCGCACCTGTAATCCCAGCTACTTTGGAGGCTGAAGCAGGAGAATTGTTTGAGTCCATGAAGTGGAGGCTACAGTGAACTGAGATCATGCCATTGTACTCCAGCCTGGGCAACAAGAGCAAAACTCCATCTAAAAAAAAAAGAAGGCCCTCACCAGATGTGGCTGCTTGACTTTGGAATTCCCACCCTCCAGAACTGTAAGAAATAAATTTTTAAAAATAAAGTACCCAGCCCCTCAGGTATTCTATTGCAACACAGAATGGACTAAGACAGTGTTTATATGTCAAAATCTATTTTCCTGTGTTTAAACTGTCTTCCTTCTCCTTGCAGAGGGAATATAACCTTAGCCTTTTGGAGTGATAATTTCATGTTTGTCTGAAGTAGCTTCTTCTCACATTTTCTTTTTTTTTTTTTTTATGTTCAAAATGCTTTTATTTCTAGGAATTTAGTTTTATTTTTAATTTTTTAATTATTATACTTTAAGTTTTAGGGTACATTTGCACAACGTGCAGGTTTGTTACATATGTATACATGTGCCATGTTGGTGTGCTGCACCCATTAACTCGTCATTTAGCATTAGGTATATCTCCTAATGCTATCCCTCCCCCCTCCCCCCACCCCACAACAGTCCCCGGTGTGTAATGTTCCTCTTTCTGTGTCCATGTGTTCTCATTGTTCAATTCCCACCTATGAGTGAGAACATGTGGTGTTTGGTTTTTTGTCCTTGCCATAGTTTGCTGAGAATGATGGTTTCCAGCTTCATCCATGTCTCTACGAAGGACATGAATTCATCAATTTTTATGGCTGCATAGTATTCCATGGTGTATATGTGCCACATTTTCTTAATCCAGTCTATCATTGTTGGACATTTGGCTTGGTTCCAAGTCTTTGCTATTGTGAATGGTGCCACAATAAACATATGTGTGCATGTGTCTTTATAGCAGCATGATTTATAATCCTTTGGGTATATACCCAGTAATGGAATGGCCGGGTCAAATGGTATTTCTAATTCTAGATCACTGAGGAATCGCCACACCAGCTTCCACAATGGTTGAAGTAGTTTACAGTCCCACCAACAGTGTAAAAGTGTTCCTATTTCTCCACATCCTCTCCAGCACCTGTTGTTTCCTGACTTTTTAATGATCGCCATTCTAACTGGTGTGAGATGGTATCTCATTGTCTTCTCACACTTTCCTGCTGTCCATTTCATTCTCTTTTTCCTCACCTCTCTTGGAAAGCTTTAAAGATTAACTAATCAAAAAATTTTTCAGTTGTATGTGCACAGTCTAGGTAAATCCAGTCCTAAAAGAAATAGAAATGCCTAAAATGCTAAAAGAAACAGAAAATCATATATATATACGTATATACATGTATATCAAGATCAGCTTGGGTAACATGTGAGACCCTGTCTATACAAAAAAAAATACATGTATATACGTATATATATATAGTGTCTGTACATATAGGCACTAAAAAGTATATTTATGTAATAGCCTTTGCTCTTCCAGTTAGAAGAAAAGATCTATCACGCCTGTAGTCCCAGCACTTTGGGAGGCCGAGGAGGGCGGATCACGAGGTCAGGAGATCGAGACCATCCTGGCTAACACGGGGAAACCCCGTCTCTACTAAAAAAAATACAAAAAAATTAGCCAGGCATGGTGGCGGGTGCCTGTAATCCCGGCTACTCAGGAGGCTGAGGCAGGAGAATCGCTTGAACCCAGGAGGTGGAGGTTGCTGTGAGCCGAGATTTTGCCACTGCACTGCAGCCTGGGCAACAAGAGCAAAAACTCCATTTCAAAAAAAAAAAAAAGGTCTTAGTTCCAAGACAAAAGAAGAGCTTTTGGCATGATTCAGTTAAATTTTTTATTCACTCATGTAAAAATGATGCCAGCGTGATATTTTGGTTTGTACAAGAACAGGGTTAATTCTCTTTCTCTCTCTCTCTCTCTCTGAGACAGGGTCCCACTCTGTCACCCCATCTGGACTGCAGTGGCATGATCATGGTTCACTGCAGCCTCAACCTTCTGGGCTCAAGAGATCCTCCTCTCTCAGCCTCCCAAGTAGCTGGGACCCCAGGCACACACCACCATGCCCAGCCAATTTTTTGTTGTTGTTGTATAGACAGGGTCTCACATGTTACCCAGGCTGATCTTGAGCTCCTGGGCTCAAGCAGTTCTCCCACCTTGGCCTCCCAAAGTGTTGTGATTACAGACATGAACCACTCACTGCTCCTGGCCCTCATGATTTAAGCCTTCTCAATGTATTTATGTTGATCTTATGAGTTAAGTAAATTGTGATGGTTTTCATAAATTGTTTAAATGAAAATTATACACAGGCACTCCTTGTTTTATTACACCTCACTTTATTGCTCTTCACAGATATTGCATTTCTTACAAATTGAAGATGTGTGGCAACCCTGTGTTGAGCAAGTGTTTTTTGTTTGTTTGTTTGTTTGTTTTTGCAGTGGAGTCTTGCTCAGGAGGCTGAGGCAGGAGAATCACTTGAATCCAGGAGGCAGAGGTTACAGTGAGCCAAGATCGCATCACTGCACTCCAGCCTGGGCAACAGAGCGAGACTCTGTCTCAAAAGAAAAAAAAAAACTGGAACAGCCTGATTGCTGATATGGAGAAAGTTTTAGTGGCCTGAATAGATCAAAACAGCCACAACAGCTCTAAATCTCTTCATTACTATGAAGACTGAGAGGGATTAGGAAGCTGCAGGAGAAAAATTTGAAGGTAGCAGAGGCTAGTTCATGAGATTTAAGGAAATGAGCCATCTGCAGAACATAAAAGTGCAAGATGAAGCAGCAAGTGCTGTGTAGAAGCTGCAGCAAGTTATCCAGAAGATCTAGTAAGATAATTGATGAAGATGGTTTACTAAACAACAGATTTCCAATGTAGACAGAACAGCCTTCTATTGGAAGAAGATGCCATCTAGGAATTTTATAGCTAGAGAGGAGAAGTCAAAGCTTTGAAGGACAGGTTGACTCTCTTGTCAGGGACTAATGCAGCTGGTCTGGTGACTTTAAGTTGAAGCCAATGCTCATTAACCATTTTGAAAGTCCTAGGGCCCTGAGGAATTATGCTAAATCCATTCTGCCTGTCCCCTATTAATGGAACAAAAAAGCCTGAATGGCCACATGTCTGTTTATAGCATGGTTCATGGAATATTTTAAGCCCACTGTTGAGACCTAGTGCTCAGAAAAAGAGATTCCTTTCAAAATATTATGACAGTTCCTCTGGTCATCCAAGAGCTCTAATGGAGATGTACAAGGAAATTAATGCTGTTTTCCTGCCTACTAATGCAGTATCTGTTCTTCAGCCCATAAGCCAAGGAGTAATTTCAATTTTCAAGTCTTCCTGCAGTTGACCCTTGAACATTGTGGGGGTTAGGGGTGCCAACCCCAACACAGTTGAAAATCCATATATAACTATTTTTCTTTTGTAGAGATAAGGTCTTAATATGTTGCCTGGGCTGGTCTTGTACTCCTGGCCTCAAGCAATCCTCCCACCTCAGCCTTTTTCTTTTTTTTTTTTTTTTTTTGACAGAGCCTCGATCTGTCACCCAGGCTGGAGTGCAGTGGTGTGATCTCAGCTCACTGCAACCTCCGCCTCCTGGGTTCAAGTGCTTCTCTTGCTCCAGCCTCCCAAATAGCTGGGATTACAGGTGTCCGCCACCACACCCAGCTAATTTTAGTATTTTTAATAGAGATGGGGTTTCACCATGTTGGCCAGGCTGGTCTTGAACTCTGACCACAAGTGATCTGCCCACCTCTGCCTTTCAAAGTACTGGGATTACAGGTGTGAGCCACTGCCCCTGGCCTTGGCCTCATATAACTTTTGACTCCCCCCAAACTTAACTACCAATAGCCTACTGTGAACCAGAAGCCTTACCAATAACAGAAACAGTCAATTAACACATACTCTGCATGTTTTATATATTATATACTGTAGTCTTACAACAAAGTAAAGTAGAGAAAAGAAAATGTTATTAGGAAAATCATAGGAAGAGAAAATATATTTATGGTACTGTACTGTATTATGTATACCATAAGTTTATGTCGTATGTTTATAAGATGAATCATCTGTCTGAAATGGTGGGCAGCCACAGCTGCAGACCCCAATCCACATTACATATCAAGCAGTTGAACTTTTTTTTGTAATGTCATGACTTTCCCCTGCTTCTTAGAAGCACTTCCAGCATGACTAGTGGCACTTCACGTGGGTCCCGTGGTGTTATACAAGGCTTACAGTATTGCACTAAACACAATAAAGAACACAGGAGAACCACAAGAGATCACTTTTTACTGTAATACATAATTTACTGGAGAGATAAACTGCTCATGTGGAGATGATTAGCATCACATAGCATTTAAAAAATTATTTTTTCTGCTGCACTTTAAAAATTCTTTTACTTTTTTTTTTTATTATTATTTTGTTGATGTTGAGATGGAGTCTTGCTCTGTCACCCAGGCAGGAGTGCGGTGGCACGATCTTGGCTCACTGCAAGCTCTGCCTCCCGGGTTCACGCCATTCTCCTGCCTCAGCCTCCTGAGTAAGCTGGGACTACAGGCGCCCGCCACAACGCCCGGCTAATTTTTTTGTATTTTTTTTAGTAGAAACAGGATTTCCTCATGTTAGCCAGGATGGTCTCAATCTCCTGACCTTGTGATCCGCCCTCCTCAGCCTCCCAAAGTGCTGGGATTACAGGCGTGAGCCACTGTGCCCGGCCTGCTAATTTTTTAATTTTAAATTATTATGGGTGTATTAGTCCATTTTCATATTGCTATGAAGAGATACTTGAGACTCGGTAATTTATAAAGAAAAAGAGGTTTAATAGATTCACAGTTCCACATGTCTGGGGAGGCCTCACCATCATGACAGAAGGCGAAGGAGGAGCAAAGACACGTCTTACATGGTGGCAGGCAAGAGAGTGTGTGCAGGGGAACTGCCCTTTATAAAACTATCAGAGCTCATGAGACTTATTCACTATCATGGGAACCGCATGGGACCATCTTGGTTCACTGCAACCTCCACCTCCCAGGTTCAAGCGATTCTTGTGCCTCAGCCTCCCAAGTAGCGGGGATTACAGGTGCCTGCCACCATGCCTGGCTAGTTATTGTATTTTTAGTAGAGATGGGGTTTCACCATGTTGGCCAGGCTAGTCTCGAACTCCTGACCTCAGGTGATCCACTTGCCTTGGCCTCCCAAAGTGCTGGGATTAGAGGTGTGAGCCAAATTTTTCTTGAGTTACAAAAGAAGACCATAGAGAGTCAAAGGTAACAGGATGAAGATAAGGAAGATCAGATAAAGAAAACTTTAATTAAAAGGGTATTAAAGACAATAACAGGCAATATGAATAACAGAACAAAGGGTAGGAAAACGGGTAATGCACAGCCATAGAAATGAACAAAATCATGTCCTTTGCAGCAACATGGATGCAGCTGAAGGCCATTATCCTAAGTGAATTAACACAGAAACAGAAAACCTAATATCATATGTTCTTACTTGTAAGTAGGAGCTAAACATTGAGTACACATGGACATAAAGATGAGAACAATAGAAGCTGGGAACTGCAGAGGGGAGGAAGGGAGGAGAAAGGGCTGAAAAACTTGCTATTGTTCCCTACTTGGGCGATGTGATCAGCAGAAGCCCAATCTTCAGCATCACACAACATGTCCTGGTAACCTCTGCATATAAAATTAAATTAAATTGAAAAAAAGGAAAAGGGCCAGGTGTGGTGGCTCACATCTGTGATCCCAGCACTTTGGGAGGCTGAGGCATGAAAATTTTTTGAGGCCAGAAGTTCAAGACCAGCCTAGGCAACACAGCAAGACCCTGTCTCTACAAAAAAAAAAAAATTTTAAATTGGCTAGGTGTGGTGATGTATGCCTGTATGTCTAACTACTCAAGAGGCTGAGGTGGGAAAAAATTGCTTGAGCCCAGGAGATCGAGGCTACAGAGAGCTATGACCACCACTGCACTCCAAACTGGGCGACAGAGTGAGATGAACCCATCACCCCCCTACCATAAAAAAGCAGAAGAAGAAAGGAAGAAAATAAAAAAGGTACCGAGTAATCAAATAACTAATCTTGTTCTGTTGTATTCCGCAGGAGAAGGTGACATATGTCTTTTCATTTGGGAAATGTGAATCCAAGGATCAACAAACAAGTTTTATTATTGTGTCAGTTACCTGTTAAGATACTTTCCTTGGCCAGGCTTGGTGGCCGACATCTGTGATTTCAGCACTTTGCAAGGCTGAGGTGGGTGGATCACTTGAGACCAGGAGCTCAAGACCAGCCTGGGCAACAAAGGGAGACCTCGCTTCTAAAAAAATTAAAAAGATTAGCCGGGCATTGTGGTGTGCACCTATGGTTCCAGCTACTTGAGAGACTGAAGCAGGAGGATCCTTTGAGCTCGTGAGGTAGAGGCCACAGTGAGCCTTGATCATGCCATTGCACTCCATCCTAGGCAAAAGAGCAAGACCCCATCTCTTAAAAAATAAATAATACTTTAAATTTTAGAATACATTGCATGAAACTTACCATCTTGGCTTTTTTTTTTTTTTTTGAGACAGAGTCCTGCTCTGTCGCCCAGGCTGGAGTGCAGTGGCGTGATATGGGCTCACTGCAAACTCCACTTCCCAGATTCAAGCAATTCTTATGCCTCAGTCTGCTGAGTAGCTGAGACTACAGGCACACATCACCACGCCCAGCTAATTTTTGTATTTTTAGTAGGGACGGGGATTCACCATGTTGGCCAGGCTGGTCTCGAACTCCCGACCTCAGGTGATCCGCCTGTCTCGGCCTCCCAAAGTGCTAGGATTACAAGCATGAGCGGCTGTACCTGGCCCATCTTGGCAATTTCTTTTTTTGAAATGGAGTTTCGCTCTTGTCACCAAGGCTGGTGTCAAGTAGCTGGGATTACAGGCGCCCGCCATCATGCCCGGCTAATTTTTGTTTTGTTTTGTTTTGTTTTTGAGATGAAGTTTCGCTCTTGTTGTCTAGGCTGGAGCGCAATGGCGTGATCTTGGCTCACTGCAACCTCTGCCTCCCAGGTTCAAGCGATTCTCCTGCCTCAGCCTCCCGAGTAGCTGGGACTACAGGCGCCCGCCACCACACCTGGCTAATTTTTGTATGTATAGTAGAGACAGGGTTTCACCATGTTGACCAGGCTGGTCTTGAACTTCTGACCTCAGGTGTTCCACCCGCCTCGGCCTCCCAAAGTGCTGGGATTACAGGTGTAAGCCACCGTGCCCGGCCTAATTTTTGTTTTTTTTTTAATAGAGGTGGGGTTTCACCATGTTGGCCAGGCTGGTCTCAACCTCCTGACATCAGGTGATCCACCTGCCTTGGCCTCCCAAAGTGCTGAGATTACAGGCGTGAGCCACTGCACCCAGCCAACATCAACAATTTTATAGAACACCACGACAGAGACAAGGCCACTCTATGACTGTGGTGGATCAGACAAAAACAAAGCCACTGTGTACTCATGATGTCTGAACACAGACAAAAACAAGAACATTGTCCAAACTATTTAGTCCTGCTCCTTTCTCCCACCTTTCAGTTGAAAATTACGGTACTCAGACATAGAATTACCTCTTCCTGGCCGGGTGCGGTGGCTCATGCCTGTAATCCCAGCACTTTGGGAAGCCAAGGCAGGCAGACCACGAGGTCAGGAGATCGAGACCATCCTGGCTAACACAGTGAAACCCCGTCTCTACTAAAAATACAAAAAAAATTAGCTGGGTGTGGTGGCGGGCACCTGTAGTCCCAGCTACTCGGGAGGCTGAGGCAGGAGAATGGCATGAACCTGAGAGGCGGAGCTTGCAGTGAGCCAAGATCGCGCTGTTGCACTCCAGCCTGGAGACAGAGCGAGACTCCATCTAAAAAAAAAAAAAAAAAAGAATTACCCCTTCCTTCCTGATGCATCCAAACCAGAGCAAACCCTCTTGCCTCAAATCCTCTCCTGAAACATAACACGAGCATAAGTCCTACAATAAGTCTTTTTTTTTTTTTTTTTTTAATTAGACACGTGGGGTTTCACTATGTTGCCCAGGCTGGTCTTGAACTCCTGGGCCTAAGCGATCTTCCTGCCTTGGCATTCCATATTGCTGGGCTTACAGGCGGGAGCCACCATGCCCAGTCTAAGTCATCTTCAACACCTCTTTCTGAGATGCCTTAGAGTTCCCCATATTATGTGGGTCTGCCTCATTGCTATGAGTCCGTAAAACTGACTTTGTTTTTTGTTTTGGGTTGTTTTTTTTTTTTTTTTTTTAGACATGGTCTCATTCTCTTGCCCAGGCTGGAGTACAGTAGTGCAATCATGACCTACTGCAGCCTCAACCTCCCAGGCTCAGGTGATTCTCCCACCTCAGCCCCCTTGAGTAGCTAGGACTACAGGCACATGCCACCACACCCCACTAATTTTTTGTATTTTTTGTAGAGATGGAGTTTCATCATGTTGCCCAGGCTAGTCTCAAACCCCTATGTTCAAGCAATCCTCCCACCTTAGCCTCCCAAAGAGCTGGGATTACATGCATGAACCACCACACTCAGTCCCCCAACGTTGTTTTAAAACTTTCTTTTAGGTGTGTTCTTGGTGGCCCTTAACAGAAGGACATTGACACTGGAATCTGGATGTTTGTTTGTTTTGGAGACAGGATCTTGCTCTGTCACCCAGGCTGGAGTGCAGTGGCACAATCTCGGCTCACTGCAACCTCTGCCTCCTGGGTTCAAGCGAATCTCGTGCCTCAGCCTCCCAAGTAGCTGGGATTACAGGTGCCTGCCACCACACCTGGCTAATTTTTGTATTTTTAGTAGAGACAGGGATTCACCATATTGGCCAGGCTGGTCTTGAACTCCTGGCCTCACGTGATCCACCCACCTCGGCCTCCCATAGTGCTGGGATTATAGGTGTGAGTCACTGCACCCGGCCTGGATTTTTTTTTTTCAGTGAAAGATACTGATTTTTTTTAAGTTGACTCAAAGCAAGTTTTAAACACTCTGTGTCCACTTCATGTTGCTATCACAGAATATCACAGTCTGCGTAGTTTAGGAACAATAGACATTTATTTGGCTTATGGTTCTAGAGGCTGTGAAGTCCAAGATACAGGAGCTGCCTCTGGTGAGACATCATCACGTGGCAAGAGAGCATGAGAGAGAGAAAGAGGGGGCTGAATTTGCTTTTATAACAAACCCATTCCTGAAATAATGGCATTAATCCATTGACCTAATTGCCTCTTAAGGATCTCACCTCTCAACAGTATTACATCAGGGATTAACTTTCCAACACCTGAGATTTGAGGGACTCATTCAAACCATAGTACTCTGAAATTGGATATATAGGTCTATGGGTGAGATTCCCACTGAGGGTTGCCAGTTTGCAACCTTTCAGTTGAATGGTCTCCCTCCTGGATGTCAAGGTTAATACTGCTATGAACAGCTATTATGCACCTAAGTTGAACCAGGGAGAGAACACATCCTTCCGCATGTACTATTTTATTTAATGTTATTTTCTACTAAGTCATTCAGAACTCTCTGGACTCTCTTCATGCTGTGTAATTTGCAAGGTTGCCTGCTGCATGTTTGGTTATAAATGAGGTCAAATCCCAATTTTGCAGGAGGACGTGGATGTATGCCCATTCCCTTCACACTGTGAGCCAGTAGCCATGGGAACTATAATCAAGTACACAATAACTCCCCCATGAACAAATCCTCAGGGAACAAGCTTCAATTGAATGAAACTGGCTTGACCACAGAGGAATCTGGGGGACTTTCTGAGCTTCGCGGACTTGTGCCGCCTCCTGACTTTAAGCTGGCTCTGGAGGAGGAGGAAGTGGAGGTATCTCAGGTATGGACCTCTTTCTGGAAGCTGGGACTTGGACCAGGCAAAGAAAGGAGGCGGTGGGGAAAATTCCCCCAGAGAAGGCAGGAGTGGGCCCTGCATACCAGGTCCCCAGGTCTCTGAGAGCTTTACTAGTTCTGGGAGTGTGTGGATCAAGCCTAAAGTCTAGAAGGAATTCTAGCATCACCCAGGGCGTTGGCTGGAATATCTTTAAGGACCCTTCCAGCCCTGGAATCATAGCAGCAAAGGACCCAATTGTATGACAGCTGCTTTGGCCAGTGAAGATGGAAAGACCAGGAAAAGCTTTAGGCTAAGCAATGGAGTTCACACCCCGCTAATTCACCTCCCTTGCGGCATCCCTGACATTTCCCACACAATATGTCCTTCATTCTGTTCTCCAAAAAGCCATTGCCTTCCTCTAACTGACTGAGATGAGCCCTGGAAACCCTGATGCCCACCAGACCCCTGCCTTTCCTCTTCTCTGCTGTTGGCCAAGGTTTCTGCCTCAGTTGCCCTGTCTGACAATACAGTTTCCCTAGGACTGGAGCTAGCCCTGGCATCCCAGAATCCCCAACAGGTGCTAGCCCCTGGAGTCAGGACTGTCTTCCTGTGTCCCTGTGCTTGCTGCAGAATAAACTGATTACTTTTAACTACCATTCTGAATATAGTCACTACCAGGAACCGCTGACTACCTGTGACATACCATCTAGCATGGTACCACAGCACCTGGCCCAGCATCTTGGGAGGCCAAGGTGGGAGGACTGCTTGAGGGCAGGAGTTTGAGATCAACCTGGGCAACTACATAGTGAGACCCCACCTCTACAAAAAATTTCAAAATTAGCCGAGTGTGATTGCACATGCCTGTAGTCCCAGCTACTTGGGAGGCTGAGGCAGGAGGATGGATTGAGCACAGGAAGTGGAGGCTGCAGTGAGCTATGATTGCACCACTGCACTCCAGCCTGGGAGACAAAGGGAGATTCCGTACATAAATAAACAAATAAATAAAAAACAAAGGAGATGGATTTTTTTCTACAAGAGAGTTACATGCAGGGTGCTAGGTACTATAGGTGGAGACTTGCCGAGGTTCAGTGGGAATGGGAGCTCAATCCTGAGAGTGGGGGAAGGCATTACAGAGGCTGTGACCTTTGAGACTGGTCTTGAAGAAAGAGAAAATGTGTACAAGGCAGAAAGAAGGGAGAAAGTTACCCGAAGAGAGAACTGCACCAGCCAAAAATATGGAGGTATGGAGTAGGTAGAATTGTGAGACATTTATGTGACTGGAGTGAAAAATGAGAGATGATGCTGGAAAGGAGAGTTAAGGCCAGGTTTTGAAGGATCTCTTAAAAAAATAATAGGCTGGCGAGATTGTGCCACTGCACTCCAGCCTGGGCGACAGAGCAAGACTCCGTCTCAAAAATAATAATAATAATAGTAATAATAGGCTGGGCACAGTGGTTCACACCTGTAATCCCAGCGCTTTGGGAAGCCAAAGCGGGCAGATCACTCAAGATCAGGAGTTCAAGACCAGCCTGGCCAACACGGCAAAACCCTGTCTCTACTAAAAATACAAAAATTAGCTGGGCGTGGTGGTGTGCACCTGTAGTCCCAGCTACTAGGGAGGCTGAGGCAGAAGAATTGCTTGAACCCGGGAGGCGAAGGTTGCAGTGAGCAGAGATTCTGCCACTGCACTCCAGCCTGGGTGACAGAGCAAGACTCTGTCTCAAAAAATTAATAATGATAATAATACATTAATTTTGAGATAAGATCTTGCTCTGTCGCCCAGGCTGGAGTGCAGTGATATAATCACAGTTCACTGCAGCCTCAAGCTCCTGGGCTTAAGCGATCCTCCTGCCTCAGCGTCCCAAGGTGCTGGGACTACAACCATATGACACTGACGGAGCAAGAGCACTGTCATCTGGGACAAACACCGCCCCTTTAAGTTACAGCTCCCTTTCTAGCCTCATGCATTTCAAGGAAATCACTTCTCTTCTAACTACAAGCAGACAGAAAGAGCAGACAGGAAAACGCAGATAAGACAGTTTGGGCATAGAGGGAGGTGGGGGCAAAGTCTCTTGGGTAACTGCCAAACTTCACCCTCATACAACGGGCCCCAGTAAAACAGTGGGCCTTAGGCCGGGCGTGGTGGCTCATGTCTGTAATCCCAGCACTTTGGGAGGCTGAGGTGGGCAGATCACGAGGTCAGGAGTTCGAGACCAGCCTGATCAACACGGTGAAACCCCATCTCTATTAAAAATACAAAAATTAGCCGGGCATGGTGGCGCGCGCCTGTAATCCCAGCTACTCAGGAGGCTGAGGCAGGATAATCCCTTGAACCTGGGAGGCAGAGGTTGCAGTGAGCCTAGATCACGCCACTGCATTCCAGCCTGGACAACAGAGAGAGATTGTCTCAAAACAAACAAACAAAAAAATAATGGGCCTTAATAAGCACATTTCTTTCCCTTCAGTTGCACTAAGATAGGGAAGTTAAAAGCAGACTCAGGGGATATGCCTATAGCTGCAGAAAAAAGATAAGCACAAGATAAGCACAACAAAGAGACACAGAAGCAGTCCAAGCCTCTGATAAACTCTCCCACCCTGAATCCTTACAAACTCTTTGTAAGAAAGGGTGGCTCTGACCTAACTTGGCCAGCTGCCAAGTTTATTATTCAAAATAAACCTGTCCCTGATGACTGTCAAACCACCCTTCATGTTTCTCTCCTCTTTCTTTAATTCTTACAGCCACCACGCCTGGCTAATTTTTTTGAATTTCACTGGAGGTCTTGCTGTGTTGCCCAGGCTGGACTTGAACTCCTGAGCTCAAGTGATCCTCTCGCCTCAGCCTCCGAGTGTTGGGATTGCTGGAGGATCATATCTGTTTCCAAAGGTGGAGCTTTCTGCTGGAGGCAGCAGAGTTCTTCAGGCAGAGCAGCTGAGTCTTGAGGTTGCTCTTTTAGGAAACAAACTCAGGAGGCGCTGTGGAAGATGCATTGAATGGAGTAGGAGGTGGAGGCAGCGAGAAGGGTGAGGAGACACTGCTGAGCCCTGATGAGAGACAAAGAATGTCTGAAGGAAGCAAAGGGAATGGAGAGGAGGGGAAGGCTTTGGGAAGACTGTGATGCATGGAATGCGTGGGATAAGGGCAGAGGGTGGAGTCCAGGCTGACTCAGAGGTTTATTGCCTGGGAGACTGGGTAGATGATTACACTGTAACCTGAGATGAAGATACAGTAAGAGGAGTTTATATGAAGAAAAAGTAGGCCAGGCGCAGTGGCTCACGCCCATAATCCCAGCACTTTGGGAGGCTGAGGCGTGTGAATCACCTTAGCCCCAGAGTTCCAGATCAGCCTGAGCAACATAGAGAAATCTCATCTCTACTAAAATTCAAAACAATTAGCTAGGTGTTGTGGTGCAGACCTGTAGTCCCAGCTACTTGGGAGTCTGAGATGGGAGAACCGCTTGGGCCCAGGAGGTCGAGGCTGCAGTGAGTCATGATCGTGCTACTGCACTCCAGCTTGGGCGACAGAGCAAGACACTGTCTCAAAAGGAAAAAACAGAAAAAGTAATAAGCTCAGTTTTTAAACAGAAATTGTAGTAGAATACAATGTAAAATTTACCATTTAACCATTTTACAGTGTACAATTCAGTGGCATTAAGTAAATTCACAATGTTTGAAAGCATCACCTTGATCTAGCTCCAAAACATTCTCATCACCCCAAAGGAAACCCCCAAATCCATTAGGCAGTGATTCTCTATTCCCCTGTGTGCCCAGCCCCTGGCAGTCCCTAATCTCCCTGTAGATTTGCCTGTTCTGGACATTTCATATGCATGGAATCATACGATATGTGACTATAGTTTATGGCTGGCCACTTTCACTTAGCACAATGTTTTCTTTCTTTCTTTTTTTTTTTTTTTTTTGAGACGGAGTCTCGCTCTGTCACCCAGGCTGGAGTGCAGTGGCACGATCTCGGCTCACTGCAAGCTCCGCCTCTCGGGGTTCACGCTATTCTCCTGCCTCAGCAGAGTAGCTGGGACTACAGGCGCCCGCCACCACGCCCGGCTAATTTTTTGTATTTTTAGTAGAGATGGGGTTTCACCGTGTTAGCCAGGATGGTCTCAATCTCCTGACCTCGTGATCCGCCTGCCTCGGCCTCCCTAAGTGCTGGGATTACAGGCGTGAGCCACTGTGCCCAGCCAGCACAATGTTTTCAAGGTTCATCCATGTTATAGTATGTATCAGAATTCTTTTTTTTGGAGACTCAGAGCCCCATTTTTTTTGGAGACTCAGAGTCTCATTCTATCACCCAGGCTGGAGTGCAGTGGTGCAATCTTGGCTCACTGCAACCTCTGCCTCCCAGGTTCAAGTGATTCTCCTGCCTCCCGAGTAGCTGGGATAATAGGCAAACGCCACCATACCCAGCTAATTTTTGTATTTTTAGTAGAGAAAGGGTTTCGCCATGTTGGTCAGGCTGGTCTCGAACTCCTGACCTCAAGTGATCTATCTGCCTTGGCCTCCCAAAGTGCCGGGATTATAGGCGTGATCCACCGCGCCTGGCCCCTTACCCATTTTTCAATTGGTCAATTTTCTTTTTCTTATTGAATTGTAAGAGTTATTTCTATGTTTTAAATACAAGTACTTTATCAGATGTAAGATTTGCAAATACTTTTTCCCATTCGGTGAGCTGTCTTTTCACCTTGTGGCTGGTATTCTTTTTTTTTTTTTTTTTTTTGAGACAGAGTCTTGCTCTGTTGCCCAGGCTGGAGTACAGTGGCAGGATCTCGGCTCACTGCGAGCTCCACCTCCCGGGTTCACGCCATTCTCCTGCCTCAGCCTCCTGAGTAGCTGGGACTACAGGCGCCCGCCACCATGCCCGGCTAATTTTTTGTATTTTTTTTTAGTACAGATGGGGTTTCACGGTGTTAGCCAGGATGCTCTCTATCTCCTGACCTCGTGATCCACCCGCCTTGGCCTCCCAAAGTGCTGGGATTACAGGCGTGAGCCACCGCGCCCGGCCTTGTGGGTGGTATTCTTTGAAACACAAAACTTTTTATTTTGATGAAGTCCCCTTTATCTATTTTTACTTTTGTTACCTGTGCTTTTGGTATCATATCTAAGAAATCATTGCCAAATACAATATGATGAAGATTTTCCCCTATGTTTTATTCTAGGATTTTTATGGTTTTTGCACTTAAGTTTAGATCTTTGATCCATTTTGAGTTAATTTTTTGTATGTGAGCTAAGCTTTCTATGTGGGGTACAGAAAAGGGCTAACCTCATTATTTTGCATGTTTCCCCCACCCCCTGCCCACCAACATTTGTCAAAAATACGAATCCTTTCCCCCATTGAATAGTCTAAACAACTATTTTCAACAAGGGAAAATAGTTGAAAATCAATTGTTGAAAATCAATTAACCATATATGTGAGGATTTATTTCTGGGTTCTCTATTCTACTCCATTTGTTTCTCTATCTACCCTTAGGTCAGTATCACACTGGGTTTTTTCTTTTGTTTGTTTTAACTTTTTAAATTTCTTGTTTTTAATTTTTGTGGGTACGTAGTAGGCATATATATTTATAGGGTACAGGAGATACTTTGATAGAGGCATGCAACGCATAATAATCACATCATGATAAATGGGGTATCTATCCCCTCAAGCATTTATCCTTTGTGTTACAAATAACCCAGTTAAATTCTTTCAGTTATTTTAAAATATACAATTAAATTATTATTGACTGGCCTGGCGCAGTGGCTCGTGCTGTAATCCCAGCACTTTTGGAGGCCGAGATGGGCGGATCATTTGAGGCCAGGAGTTCAAGACCAGCCTGACCAACATGGTGAAACTCCATCTGTACTAAAAAGACAAAAAAAGTTAGCCAGGCCTCAGGCGCCTGTAGTCCCCACTACTCAGGAGGCTGAGACAGGAGAATGGCGTGAACCCAGGAGGCAGAGCTTGCAGTGAGCTGAGATCGTGCCACTGCACTCTAGCCTGGGTGACAGAGCGAGACTCCATCTCAAAAAAAAAAAAAAAGTTAGCCAGGCCTAGGGGTGCACGCCCATAGTCCCAGCTACTTGAGAGGCTGAGGCAGGGGAATTGCTTGAACCTGGGAGGCGGAGGTTGCAGCAAGCCAAGATCATGCCACTGCACTCCACCCTGGTTGACAGAGCTAGACTCCGTCTCAAAAAAAAAAAAAGAATGGCCTGGCGCTGTGGCTCATGCCTGTAATCCCAGCACTTTGGGAGGCCGAGGCGGGGGGCAGATCATGAGATCAGGAGTTCGAGACCAGCCTGACCAACATAGGGAAACCCGTCTCTACTAAAAATACAAAAATTAGCCAGGCATGGTGGTACATGCCTGTAGTCCCAGCTACTCAGGAAGCTGAGGCAGGAGAATCGCTTGAACCTGGGAAGCAGAGGTTGCAGTGAGCCAAGATGGCACCACTGTACTCCAGCCTGGGCAACAGAGCAAGACTCTGTCTCAAAAAAAAAAAAAAAAAGAAGAATCATATTGCTAAAAAAAATAGTTTTTCATTCTGTCTATATGTCATAAGTGAGATGACTTGAACTCCCTAAGCATATGTGTCCATTATTTCCACCATTAAAATGAATTAAGGTGCTTGGCATGACTGCCCCCTGTTTATTAGTTCTAATAGTTTTTTAGTGGAGTCTATGTTTTTTCTAAATATAAGATCTTATCATCTGCAAACAAGAATAATTTTTACTTCTTCCTTTCCAATTTGGACGCCCTTTGTTTCTTTCTCTTGTCTAATTGTTCTAGCTAGGTCTTCCAGTACTATGCTGAATAACAGTGGTGAAAGTGGGCATCCTTGTCATGTTCCAGATCTTAGAGGAAAGTCTTTCGGGTTTTCCTCATTCAGTATGATACTAGCTGTGGGTCTGTCATATATGGTTTTTATAATGTTGAGGTATGTTTCTTCTACACCCAGTTTTTTGAGGGTTTTTATTATGAAGTAGTGTTGAATTTTATCAAATGCTTTTTCAGCATCAATTGAAATGATCATATGGTTTTTGTCTTTCGTTTTGTTGATATGATGTACCACATTAATTGATTTGTGTATGTTGAACCATCCTTGCATCCCTGGGAGAAATTCCACTTCGTCATGATGATCTTTTTTTTTTTCTGAGGTGGAGTCTTGCTCTGTCACCTAGGCTAGAGGGCAATGGCACAATCTCAGCTCACTGCAGCCCCTGCCTCCTGAGTTCAAGTGATTCTCCTGCCTCAGCCTCCCCAGGAGCTGGGACTACAGGTACATGCCACCACACCCAGCTAATTTTTTTTATTGTAGAGTCAACATTTTGCCATTTACCCAGGCAAAATGAGTAACATTGTGACCTCCTGGGTTAAAGTGATCTTCCTGCCTTAGCCTATCAAAGTATTGGGATTATAGGCATGAGCTACCATGCCCAGCCAAATACTATCTTATTACCCATTATTTTAAACTGATAACTGATGACAACTTTTTTTTTTTTTTGAGACAGAGTCTCGCTCTGTCGCCCAGGCTGGAGTGCAGTGGCACGATCTTGGCTCACTGCAAGCTCCGCCTCCCGGGTTCGTGCCATTCTCCTGCCTCAGCCTCCCAAGTAGCTGGGACTACAGGCACCCGCCACCGTGCCCAACTAATTTTTTGTATTTTTAGTAGTGACGGGGTTTCACTGTGTTAGCCAGGATGATCTCGATCTCCTGACCTCGTGATCCACCCGCCTCGGCCTCCCAAAGTGCTGGGATTACAGGCGTGAGCCACCACGCCCGGCAAACTGATGACAACTTAACACTGGTTGCATAAACAAACAAACAAGCAAAATGAAAAAAAAAATAATAAAAACTCTACACTTTAACTTCCTCCCCCCCTGCTTTTTTTTTTTTTTTTTTTGAGATGGAGTCTCACTCTGTCGCCCAGGATGGAGTGCAGTGGCGCTATCTCAGCTCACTGCAACCTCTGCCTTCCATGGTTCAAGCGATTCTCCTGTCTCAGCCTCCTGAGTAGCTGGGACTACAGGTGCACACCACCACACCTGGCTAATTTTTGTATTTTTAGTAGAGACGGAGTTTCACCATATTGGTTAGGCTTGTCTTGAACTCCAGACCTTGTGATCCACCCGCCTCAGCCTCCCAAAGTGCCGGGATTACAGGCATGAGCCACCGTGTCCAGCCCCCACTGCTTTTTAATGTGGTTCCCTTTATGTCTTATTGTACTATGCCTTGAAATGTTGTAGTTATTGTTTTTTTATTGGTTCATTGTTTAGCTTTTCTACTTAAGAGTAGTTGGCCAGGCGCAGTGGCTCATGCTTGTAATCCCAGCACTTTGGGAGGCCTAGGTGGGTGGATCACCTGAAGTCGGGAGTTCAAGACCAGCCTGACCAACACGGAGAAACCCTGTCTCTACTAAAAATACAAAATTAGCTGGGTGTGGTGATACATGCCTATAATCCCAGCTACTCGGGAGACTGAGGCAGGAGAATCTCTTGAACCCGGGAGGAGGAGGTTGCAGGGAGTCGAGATCGCACCATTGCACTCCAGCCTGGGCAACAAGAGTGAAACTCCATCTCAAAAAACAAAACAAAACAAAACAAAAACAGATAATGGTAGTTTATATACCAAAATTACAGTGTTATAATACCCTGTATTTTTCTGTGTGCTTGCTATTACCAGTGAATTTTGTACCTTCAAATGATTTCTTATTGCTCATGAACATCCTTTTCTTTCAGATTGAAGAACTCCCCTTAGCATTTCTCGTAGGACAGGTCTGGTGTTGATGAAACCCTTCATTTTCGTTTGTCTGGGCAAGTCTTTATTTATCCTTCATGTTTGAAGAATATTTTTACCAGACATACTATTCTAGGGTAATTTTTTTTTCTTTTAGCACTTTCAATGTCATGCCATTCTTTCCTGGCCTGTAAGGTTTCCACTGAAAAGTCTGCTGCCAGATGGGAATTGGAGCTCCATTGTGTGTTTTTTTGTTTGTTGTTTGTTTGTTTGTTTTTCTGAGATGGAGTCTCGCTCTGTCGCCCAGGCTGGAGTGCAGTGGCGGGATCTCAGCTTACTGCAAACTTCACCTCCCAGGTTCAAGCGATTCTCCTGCCTCAGCCTCCTGAGTAACTGGGACTACAGACATGCACCAATACACATGTGTGTGTGTGTGCGTGTGCGCGTGTGTGTGTATTTTTAGTAGAGACGGGGTTTCACCATGCTGGCCAGGCTGGTCGTGAACTTCTGACCTCAGGTGATCCACCCACCTCAGCTTCCCAAAGTGCTGGGATTACAGGCGTGAGCCACCACGCCTTCTAATGCATTCTTTAGTATGTCAATTGCATTTTCCAACTCTAGAATTTCTGCTTATTTTTAGTTATTTCAATCTCTTTGTTAAATTTATTGATAGAATTCTGAATTCCTTCTCTGTGTTATTGTGAATTTCTTTGAGTTTCCTCAAAACGTCTTTTTTGAATTCTCTGTCTGAAAAGTCCCATCTGTGTTTCTCCAGGATTAGTCCCTGGTGGCTTCTTTGGTTCATTTGGTGAGGTCATGTTTTCCTGGATGGTCTTGATGCTTGTCAATGTTCATCAGTGTCTGCACATTGAAGAGTTAGGTATTTATTGTAGCCTTTGCAGTCTGGGCTTGTTTGTGCCCATCTTTTTTGGGAAGGCTTTCCAGGTATCCAAAAAGACTTGAGCTCCAAGCCCAATAACACTGTGGTTCTTGTGGACTCATATAAGTACCACCTTGGTGGTCCTAGATAAGATCCAGATGAATTCTCTGATTACTAGGCAGAGACTCTTGTTCTCTTTCCTTACTGTCTCCCAAATAAATGGAGTCTCTGTCTCTTTGCTGAGCTTCCTGGAGCTAGGGGTGGGGTGATGCAAGCCTTCTTATGACCACCACCATTAGGACTGTGCTGGGTCATACCTGAAGCCAGCACAGCAGTGGGTCTCACCCAAGGCCCACTGTAACCACTACCCGAATACCATCTATGTTCACTCAAGGCCCTAGGGCTCTACAATCAGCAGCTAGGGCCACCAGTCTGATTTCTATCTTTCCCTTCAGGGCAGCGAGTTCCTCCAGGTCCTGGGAGGGTCCAGAGATAATGTCTGGGAGCCACGGATTAGAGTCAAAAACCTTAGAAATCTACCTGGTGTTCTATTCTACTGCAGCTAAGCTGGGACTCAAACCACAAGACAAAGTGCCTCCCACTCTACCTTCCCCTTTCCATGGACAGAGGACAGAGGAGCCTCTCCCAGTGGCCACTACCACCACTGGCCTGCAGAGAGTTCTGAACACTCACTTAAAGCCCAAGGCCTCTTCAAGTCAACTTGTGGTGAATGCTCTCAGGCCTGGGACTCACCCTTTAGGACAGTGGGTCCCCCTCTGGCCCACAGCAGGTCCAAAAATGTTGTCCAAGAGCTTAGGTCTGGACTCGGGGACCCCAAAAATCTGCTTGGTACCCTACCCCACTGTGTCCGAGCTGGTATCTAAGGGGCAAGACAAAGTTCCCTTTACTCTTCTCTCCACTTTTCTCAAGCAGTAGTCTTTCACCAGGGCCACCACAGCTGGTAATGTGCTGGGCCCTACCTGAAGCCAGCACAACTCAGACTCTTATCCAAGGTCCACAGATACTACCTGGGTATTGCTGTTGGCTATTCAGGGACCAAGGGCTCCTTAGTCAGCAGGTGATAAGCCCTTCCAGGACTGCGTCCTCCCTTCAGGACAGCAGGCTCCCTTCTGGCCCAGCGCATGTCTAAAAATGTCATCCAGGAGCTAGGGCCTGGAATGAGGGCCTCATGACTGCCTGGTGCTCTATCCTATTGCGGCTGATCTGGTATCCAAGATGCAAGACAAAGTCCTCTTTACTCTTTGCTTTCCTCTCCTCAAACACAAGGAAGGAGTTACTTTCGTTGCTGTGAGCTATGCCGCCTGGAATCGGGGGAAGGGTGGTGCATGCACTCCTTTAGCTGCCCCAACTACTGCCTAGCTAGGTCATGTGCCATCCTAGTCCACTGGCTCTAAGGCCAGCCCAGCACTAGGACTTGCCTAGAAGTTGCAGTCCTTGTATCCTAAAATGCCTTTCAAATTTACCTAGGACCCCAGAGCACTTTAGCCTGCAGTGGCAAGGCTTGCCGCAACTTGAGTTCTGACCACTAGGATGGACAATTCCCCTCTGGTTCGGGCTGATACAAATGCTCCCTCCTTGGGCAGGCACTGGCTGAGTCCAGCATGGCTTTGCTCTCCACTGTGACAGGGCAGCACTGAGTTCACTGGCAAGTCCCTCAGTTCAATGCCAAGTCCCCCAGTCCATGTGCTCTCTCTCCTCCAAGTGCACAGTTTCTCTCTGTGCCATGCAGCTACTGCTAGGGGGTTGGGGAGGGGTGGTGTCAGCGATTCAAGACAGTGTTTCCTGCCCGGGCACGGTGGCTCACACCTGTAATCCCAACACTTTGGGAGGCCAAGGCAGGCGGATCACTTGAGGTCAGGCCAACATGGTGAAATCCCGTCTCACTGAAAATACAAAAACCCGGCGGGCGTGGTGGCACATGCCTGTAGTCCCAGCTACTAGGGAGGCTGAGGCAGGAGAATCGCTTGAACCCGGGAGGCAGAGGTTTCAGTGAGCCGAGACTGCACCATTGCACTCCAGCCTAGGCAACAGACAAAGGGAGACTTCATCTCAAAAAAAAAAAAAAAAAAAAAAAGGCTGTCTTTCCTACCCTCTTCAGTGCCTCTTTCAGTGATATGAAGTTAAAATCAGCTACTGTGACCACTCACCTGATTTTTGGTTCTTATGATGGTTCTGAGGAGGCTTCTATTCTGCCATCTTGCTCTGACTTCCCACTACATTGTGTTTTGTTTGTTTGTTTGTTTTTGACATTCACTCTGTCACCTAGGCCGGAGTGCAGTGGCCAAATCTGGGCTCACTACAACCTCTGTCTCCCAGGTTCAAGCAATTCTCGTGCCTCAGCCTCCTGAGTACCTGGGATTACAGGCGCTTGCCCCCACTCCGGCTAAATTTTTGTATTTTTAGATGGGGTCTCACCATGTTGCCCAGGATGGTATTGAACTCCTGGCCTCAAGCGATCCTCCCGCCTCAGCCTCCCAAAGTGCTGGGATTACAGGCATGAGCCACCACGCTTGGCCCCCCTACAGTTTTTGTTTGGTTGTTTGTTTGAGACAGAGTCTAGCTCTATCCCCCAGGCTGGAGTGCAGTGGCGAAATCTTGTCTCACTGCAACCTCCGCCTCCGGGGTTCAAGCGATTCTCCTGCCTCAGCCTACCGAGTAGCTGGGATTATAAGCACTCGCCACCCAGTTAATTTTTGTATTTTTAGTAGAGATGGGGTTTCGCCATGTTGACCAGGCTGGTCTCCAACTCCTGACCTCAGGTGATCCACCCACCTTGGCCTCCCAAAGTGCTGGGATTACAGGCGTGAGCCACTGCACCCAGCCCCTACACTGTTTTGATTATGATAGCTTTGTAGTAAGTTTTAAAATCAGGAAATTGAGTCCTTCAACTTTTTTTCAAGACCATTTTGGTATTCAGGGTCCCTTGAGATTCTGTATGAATTTTAGGATGGGTTTTTCTGTTCCACTGCCCTCCAGCCTGGGTGACAGAGCGAGACTCCATCTCAAAAACAAAAAAACAAAAAAAAAAATCATAGGGATTTGATATGATTTGTTAGGAATTTGCATTGAAACTGCAGATCGCTTTGGGTAGTATTGCCATCTTAACACTATTAAGTCCTTCAATCCATGAATGTGGGATGTTTTCTCTTTTGGGGGTCTTCTTTAATTTATTTCAGCAGTATATTGTAATTTTCAGTGTACAAATCTTTGAGCTCCTTGGTTAAATTTCTAAGTATTTTATTATTTTGATGCTATTGCAAAGGAAGTTATTATTTAAATTTCCTTTTCAAATTGTTTGCTGCAAGTGTATAAAATCTGAGTTGATTTTATGTCCTGCAACTTTGCTGAACTTAATTCTAAAATTTTTGTGTGGATTTCTTATGATTTTTCTATATATAATTATATAATCTGTGAAAAGAGATCCTTTTACTTCTTCCTTTCCAATGTGGAAGTCTTTTGTTTCTTCTTGGCGAATTGCTTTGCCTAGAACTTCTAGTACTTTGTTGAATAGAAGTGGTGAGAGCAGGCATCCTTGTCTTGTTCCTGGTCTGAGGGTACAAGCTTTTAGTCTTTCCCTGTAGAGTATGATGTTAGCTGTGGTTTACGGCCTTTATCATTTGGAGGACATTCCTGTCTATTTCTAGTTTATTGAGTGTTTTAATCATGAAAGGGGTTTGGCTGGGCGCAGTGGCTCACTCACGCCTGTAATCCCAGCACTTTGGGAGGCCGAGGCAGGCAGATCACCTGAGGTCAGAAGTTCGAGACCAGCCTGACCAACATGGAGAAACCCCATCTCTACTGAAATACAAAAAAATTAGCCGGGTGTGGTGGCGCTTCCCTATAATCCCAGCTACTCCAGAGGCTGAGGCAGGAGAATTGTTTGAACCTGGGAGGCAGAGGCTGTGGTGAGCCGAGATCACGCCATTGCACTCCAGCCTGGGCAACAAGAGTGAAACTCCGTCTCAAAATAAATAAATAAATAAATAAATAAATAAATAAATAAATAAATAAATAAAATCATGAAAGGGTGTTCATTTTTTCAAAGCCTTTTCTGCATCAATTGAGATGACCATGTGTTTTCTCCCCGGTTCATTCTATTAATGTGGTGTATTACATTGATTTTTTTCTTTTTTTTAAGACAGAGTCTTGCTCTGTCGCCCAGGCTGGAGTGCAGTGGCTTGATCTCAGCTCACTGCAACATCTGCCTCCCAGGTTCAAGTGATTCTCTTGCCTCAGCCTCCCAAGTAACTGGTATTATAGGCACCTGCCATCATGCATGGCTAATTTTTGTATTTTTAGTAGAGACGGGGTTTCACCATGTTGGGCAGGCTTCTCTCAAACTCCTGACCTCAGGTGGTCTGGCTGCCTCGGCCTCCCAAAGTGCTGGGATTACAGGTGTGAGCCACTGCACCCAGCCACACTTTGCATATTTTGAAGTGCATCTATTTACTTAGCATTCGTGACTTGAATAATTTCACCAAATGAATAATTTTGGGTAGTTTGAAATTCGTTCTTCCAATTGTTACACCTTGTTTGGTGTTTGTAATAAACACGTAAAGGTAAAAAAAAACAGTTTTTCTGTATTCTGCCAATCATACTTTTATATAATAAATCATCCATTTTTTTCCCATAAAAAAAAAGAAAGTTATTGCTTAATGTTACAGAATTTCTGTTTGGAGTGATGAAAAAGTTTTGGAAATAGTAGTGACAGTTGCACAAAATTGTGAATGTAATTAATACCACTGAACTGTGCACTTAAAAATAGCTAAAATGGCCAGGTGCAGTGGCTCATGTCTGTAATCCCAGCACTTCCGGAGGCCAAGGCAGGTGGATCACCTGAGGTCAGGAGTTCAAGACCAGCCTGGCCAATACGGTGAAACCTCGTCTCTACTAAAAATACAAAAAATTAGCCAGGTGTAGTGGCAGACACCTGTAATCCCAGTTACTTGGGAGGCTGAGGCAGGAGAATCACTTGAACTCAGGAAGTGGAGGTTGCAGTGAGCCAAGATTGCACCATTGCATTCCAGCCTGGGCAACAGAGCGAGATCTGTCTCAAAAAAAAAAAAAAAAAGCTAAAATGGCAAGTTTTATATTATATATGTTGTTTACCACACACACACACACAAATACTAAGAAAAAAATCAGGCAGATCCTCTTCTAACAACACTTACAGTCTATTAAGTGAATCTGGGCATTTTAAAGAAAAAAATAACTATTTTTGGTTACGGAATCAGGATAGTAGTTGCCTATGGACACGGGCAGTGGGGACTGACTAGAAAGGGAAGGGAAGGAAGTTCTTGGACCTAGAAGTGTTTTATGTCTTGATTGGGGTGTTTAGATAGGCATTACATTTGTCAAAACTCATGAAATTTTATACTTTAAGATCTGTGCATTTCACTCTATGTAAATTTTACCTTAGTAAAAAACAAAACAGGCTGGGCGTGGTGGCTCACGCCTGTAATCCCAGCACTTTGGGAAGCCAAGGTGGGTGGATCACTTGTAGTCAGAGGTACGAGACCAGCCTAGCAACATGGTGAAACCCCATTTCTACTAAAAATACAAAAGAAATTAGCTGGGTGTGGTGGCAAGCGCCTGTTATCCCAGCTACTTAGGAGGTTGAGGCAGGAGAATCGCTTGAACCTGGGAGCTGGAGGTTGCAGTGAACTGAGATGGACCCACTGCACTCCAGCCTAGGTGACCGAGCGAGACTCCATCTCAAAACAAAACAAAACAAAAAATGTTAGCAACTTCTAATCCCTTGACAGTTTATATATACCGCAGTGATTTTCTCCCACTTCTCACTCACGTGGGATCTTATCATACAGAGGTTTTAAATTTTAAACAATTAAATTTATCAACCTTCTTCATTTATGGTTTCTATATTTGTGTGTCTTGCTTCAGAAAGTATCTCTTATTCCAGGTAATCATATTATCCTATTTTTAAATTCTATTTTGGAATAAATATTTCTTATTCCAGGCAATCATATTATTCTATTTTTTTTCTATATTTTTATTGTTCTTTCCTGTGTGGGACATGTAGCTGGTGGGCTAGCTGCAGACCACGGGCAAGTTTGCTAACATTGCTAAGTCTTGGTTTTCTCATCCATAAAATAGGGATAATAATTTGCTTTGTTATTGACATGATTTAATAAAGTAATATTTATTTGTTTATGTATTTATTTTAGAGACAGGGTCTTACTCTGTTACCTAGGCTGAAGTGCAGTGGCAATCTCGGTTCATTGCAGCTCAAGTGATCCTTCTGCCTTAGCCTCCAGAGTGGCTGGGACTACAGGTACTGGGACTACAGGATGGGACTACAGAGTGGCTGGGCATCCAGCTAACTTAAAAATTTTTTTGGGCTGGGTGCAGTGGTTCATGCCTGCAATCCCAGCACTTTGGGAGGCCGAAGAGGGATTAAGAGGTCAGGAATTTGAGACCAACCTGGCCAAGATGGTGAAACCCCGTCTCTACTGAAAATACAAAAATTAGCCGGGCGTGGTGGCAGGCACCTGCAGTCCCATCAGGAGGCTGAGGTGGGAGAATCGCTTGAACCCGGGAGGTGGAGGTGGCAGTGAGCCGAGATTGCGCCATTGCACTCCAGCCTGGGCTACAAGAGTGAAACTCCACCTTAAAAAAAAAAAAAAAAAGCCGGGCGCGGTGGCTCACACCTGTAATCCCAGCACTTTGGGAGGCCGAGGCGGGCAGATCACGAGGTCATGAGATCGAGACCACCCTGGCTAACATGGTGAAACCCTGTCTCTACTAAAAAATACAAAAAATTAGCTGGGTGTGGTGGCAGGCACCTGTAGTCCCAGCTACTTGGGAGACTGAGGCAGGAGAATGGTGTGAACCCAGGAGGCGGAGCTTGCAGTGAGCAGAGATCATGCCACCGCACTCCAGCATGGGCAACAGAGCGAGACTCCGTCTCAAAAAAAAATTTTTTTTTGGCCAGTCACGATGTGTCACACCTGTAATCCTAGCACTTAGGGAGGCCAAGGCGGGTGGATCACTTGAGGTCAGGAGTTTGAGACCAGCCTGGCCAACATGGTGAAACCCCGTCTCTACTAAAAATACAAAAATTAGCCAGGGACAGTGGCATGCCTCTGTAATCCCAGCTACTCAGGAGACTGAGGCAGGAGAATCACTTGAACCCAGGAGTTGGAGGTTGCAGCGAGCCGAGATCACACCACTTCACTCCAGTCTGGGCGACAGAGCAAGACTCCATCTCAAAAAAAAAAAGTCTAGATGGGGCCGGGCAGGGTGGCTCACACCTGTAATCCCAGCACTTTGGGAGTCTGAGGCGGGTAGACGGCTTGAGCTCAGGAGTTCGAGACCAGACTGCACAACATGGTGAGACCCCGTCTCTACTAAAAATACAAAAAGAGAGAAAAAAAAATAGCTTGGCATGGTGGTGCACACTTGTGGTCCCAGCTACTTGGGCGGATGAAGTGGGAGGATTGCTTGAGCATGGTGAGGAGGGAGGTTGCACTGAGCCAAGATTGCGCCACTGCCCACCAGCCTGGGTGACAGACCAAGACCCTGTCTCAAAAAAAAAAAGAAACAAAAAAAAGGTGGGGCTCACTGGCTCACACCTGTAATCCCAGCACTTTGGGAAGCTTAAGGTGGATGGATCACTTGAGGTCAGGAGTTCGAGACCAGCCTGGATGACATGGCAAAACCCTGTCTCTACTAAAAATACAAAAAAATTAGCTGGGCCTGGTGACGCACGCCTGTAGTCCCAGCTACTAGGGAGGCTGAGGCAGGACAATTGTTTGAACTCAGGAGGCAGAGGTTGCCGTGAGCTGAGATCGCACCACTGCACTCCAGCCTGGGTAACCAGAGTGAAACTCTGCCTCCAAAAAAAAAAAAGAAGAAGAAGAAAAAAGGTTTAGGCAAACATGCACTTTTCCTGTTGCTTTTTTTTTTTTTTTTGAGATGGAGTTTCGCTCTTGTTGTCCAGGCTGGAGTGCAATGGCGTGATCTCGGCTCACTGCAACCTCCGCCTCCTGGGTTCAAGCGATTCTCCTGCCTCAGCCTCCCAAGTAGCTGAGATTACAGGCATATGCCACCACGCCCGAATAATTTTGTATTTTTAGTAGAGATGGGGTTTCTCCATGTTGGTCAGACTAGTCTTGAACTCCCAACCTCAGGTGATCCTCCCGCCTCGGCCTCCCAAAGTGCTGGGGTTACAGGCATGAGCCACTGCGCCCAGCCTGAACATGCCAGATTGTAGTTCCAGGAGGCCAGAGATCATGAATACTTTGTCCACCACTATATTCCCAGCCCACAGAATACACAGCCTGGCAGCCAACAGATGCTTATTGAATGAACGAGCCTCAACAGGGCTTTCTCATTCCCACATGCCATGCTGTGGTCAGGCTTAAATCATAACCCAACTTCTGCCACCTAATATATGTATGACCTTGGTTAAATTAAACCAGCAGTCCCCAACCTTTTTGGCACTGGGGACCAGTTTCATGGAAGACAATTTTTCCACCAGGGGAGGAATGGTTTCGGGATGATTCAAGCACATTACATTTATTTTGCACTTTATTTCTATTATTATTACATTATAAGGTATAATAAAATAATTATACAACTCATCATAAAGTAGAATCAGTGGGATCCCTGAGTTTGTTTTCCTGCAACTAGATAGTCCCATCTGATGTTGATGGGAGACAGTGAGAGATCATCAGGCATTAGATTCTCATAAGGAGCAACCTAGATCCCTCGCATGCGCAGTTCACAATAGGATTCATGCTCCTATGATAATCTAATGCCGCTACTGATCTGACAGGAAGCAGAGCTGAGGCGGTAATGCAGGCAATGGGGAGTAGCTGTAAATACAGATGAAGCTTCTCTCACCAGCCATTCACTTCCTGCTGTGCGGCTCAGTTCCTAACACGTCACGGACTGGTACTGGCCCCACGGCCCAGGGGTTGGGGACCCCTGACTTAAACTAAGGGCCAGCTTTCCAGAATAACATCCACTTTGAGGGCTTGTTGAGTGGATTAAGTCAAAATGTTGGTATACTTGGCTGGTGCGGTGGTTCACACCTGTAATCCCAGCACTTCGTGAGTCTGAGGCGGGTGGATCACCTGAGGTCAGGAATTTGAGACCAGCCTGGCCAACATGATGAAACCCCATCTCTACTAAAAATACAAAAAATTAGGCCGGGCGCGGTGGCTCACGCCTATAATCCTAGTACTTTGGGAGGCCAAGGCGGGTGGATCATTTGAGGTCAGGAGTTTGAGATCAGCCTGGCCAATATGGTGAAACCCTGTCTCTACTAATAAGTACAAAAATTAGTCAGGTGATAGTGGCGTGTGCCTGTAATCTCAGTTACTCGGGAGGCTGAGGCAGGAGAATCCCTTGAGCCTGAGAGGCAGAGGTTGAGGTGAGCTGAGATTGGGCTGTTGTTGAGTTGTAGGAGTTCTTTATATATTATAGATATTAACCCCTTATAAGATATATGATTTGATATTTCCTCTCATTCTGTTGGTTGCCTTTTCACTGTCCTTTCCTTTTTTTGTTTTTGTTTTTTGTGGGGCAGAGTTTTGATCTTTTGCCCAGGCTGGAGTGAAGTGGTGCAATCTCAGCTCACTGCAACCTCCACTCCCCAGGTTCAAGCGATTCTCCAGCCTTAGCCTCCGGAGTAGCTGGGATTATAGGCGCCCGGCACCATGCCTGGCTAATTTTGTACTTTTAGTAGAGATGGGGTTTCACCATGTTGGCCAGGCTGGTCTCAAACTCCTGACCTCAGGTGATCCACCCGCCTCGGCCTCCCAAAGTGCTAGGATTACAGGCTTGAGCCACCGTGCCCAGCCTGTTGTGTCCTTCGATGCACAGAAAAGACTCTTTTCTCTACTGAACGCCCACAGCACCCTTGTCAAAAATCATTTGACTAGTCAGGGCACAGTGGCTCACGCCTGTAATCCCAGCACTTTGGGAGGCCGAGGCGAGAGGACTGCTTGAGGTCAGGAGTTCGAGACATGCCTGGGCAACATGGCAAATGGCAAAACCCCGTCTCTACACACAATGCAAAAGTTAGCTGGGCATGGTGGGTGGCGTGTGACTACCGGCTGTCTCAACTACCCAGGAGGCTAAGGCGGGAGGATCTCTTGAGCCCAAGACGTCCAGACTGCAGCGAGCTTTGATTGTGCCACTGAACTCCAGCCTGGGCGATGACAGAGCAAGGCTCTGTCAAAAAAAAAAAAAAAAAAAAAAAAAAATCGGCCGGGTGTGGTGGTTCACGCTTGTAATCCCAGCACTTTGGGGGGCCGATGCGGGCAGACCACGAAGTCAAGAGATCAAGACCATCCCGGCCAACATGGTGAAACCTCGTCTCTACTAAAAATACAAAAATTAGCTGGGCGTGGTGGCGTGCGCCTGTAGTCCCAGCTACTCGGAAGGCTGAGGCAGAAGAATAGCTTGAATCCGGGAGGCGGAGGTTGCAGTGAGTCGAGATCGCGCCACTACACTCCAGCCTGGCGACAGACTGAGACCCCGTCTCAAAAAAAAAAAAAATCATTTGTATATGCGAAGGTTTTGTGCCACAAACTTTTGTGGCTGTTGATACAAACGACATGGCCTCTGCCTTAAGGAAGCCACAGTCGAATTAAATAGATTCCGTTTCAAGTAGCATCTGTCCTGTGTGCTTAGTGGGCACTGGGCCCATGTTTTCCCACATTTTACCCTTTAAGCTTCTGATCCAACCGGTGAGATAGATAGGATGATCCTCTTTAGTAGAGGGGTAAGCTTAGTCCCCTGAGAGCGCGGCTATGGCTTATGCGAGGGTACGGACAGTCAGGATTTGAACCCAAAGTTCCTGGCTCCATGTGTCATGCTACCTCCAGTCAGATGTTCTCACCTCCAAAACTTGGGCAGAAGTGAACTGAGATGCTCTCTACTGAGCAACTCTTCAGCTCCAGCATCCTATACATTAAGGAGTCACTAAAAGTCAGGGTCCACGAGAAAGGTGCAGATCGGGGTGCACAGAAGAGCGGAGTCCAAAACACCACTCCCAGCCCCAGTGGACAGAGTCCTCAAGTGGCAGCCCTGCAACTCTGAGCGGATGCCGAGTCCTCACCGGGAACCCGGGCGCGGCTGGTCTGTGCTATTGGCGCGGGTAGGGGACGCACAGCCCAAAAATGCCCGCGACAAGCTTCTGGGGCAGTTCTCGCCAGTCTCTCTGGAGGGAGCCTACGGGTTCTGCGACGTTTCTCGCACTTGCTCCCTGGCCTCGCTCCCGTTTCCACCCCTCCCACGGAGGTTTTCCTTTCTGGTGGCTCCTTCCTTGGGTGTCCCTTTGGTACGCCCCCACCCTGGCGGTGAGCTGCGAGGCTGGCGCCCGCGTGGCCACTGCGCATGCGGACCCGGCCGCGGGGCGGGGCCGCGCGAGGAGGAGGGTCGGGGACGGAAGCGCAGAGCACGGACCCCGCCCCCTCGCGGCCCCGCTCGTGACGTCGCGGGGGGCGCCGGCCTCCGCCCGGCCCCGAGGGGTAAGAGCGAGCGGCTGGCGGATCCGACGCGCGAGACCGGGAGGGGACGAGGGCGTTGCAATCGTTCGGGGCGGGGGCTTTCCGGGGAGGGGGTGCTCAGGTGCACCAGCGGCGGCGGACCCTCAGACTCTGCCCTCCCCTCCCTTTAACCCCCTTCCAGCCGGACGGGAGGCGGGGCAGGGCTGAGCATTTGTGACACCTACATTTCCGTGGCTCCCTTCTTTTCCCCCGACCCCTGTTTATCTCTTCGCCTTCCAGAAGTTCTTTTCCATCAGGCCGTCGCACCTTGCGTGGGAAGGAGCACCCCACTTGGAAGCAGGAGGCGGGGTTCAGATCTTGGCCCTACCCCTCCTGTGTTAAAGTCCGCGAGCCTCAGTTTCCCTCACAGTATTTTTTGCCTCGCCTTACCCGGTTTTGAGGATCTGTACGAGAAAGAGAAAGGAAGTGGACATTTGTTGAATTCCTGCATGGCCAAATACCACGCAGACTGCTTCATCCGCCACGTTTAATCCTTATTACTTGGTGTTCTCAGAACTCCCATTTCATGGATTCTTAAGCTCACAGAGTCAGTGAATAACAGAAAGGGATTCAGATCTAGCCGTTTAGCTGCACAGTGGAGTTCTTCTCCAGAGTCTTCCCTTGTCTGGGCTCTGGCTGGAACTATTCCTCAGCCAAATCCTCGCCCCAGAACAGTGCTTCCTGTTTCTCCAGCTGAGAAGTCTCCCTTTCAGTTTCCTTCTTCCAGCACGGAGTACACTGCTCTGCCTCCACTTAGATTACTTCAGAAATGAAATGCAGCAAATATTTATCCAGCAGTGCAGGGAGTTGAACTTTTGGAGTCGGGAACCTTGGATTCTTGTTCTGGCTCTGCCACTTACTGTGTGGCCTTGGGAAGTCCTTTGTCTTCTCTGAGCTTTCTTTTCTCTTTGCGTAAAAGCGGTGCTCTTGTCCCATTCTCCCTCCCTGTCTTCCAGCAGGCTCTCCCCGGAGGCTCAGCCCCCTCTGCTCCCCATGGGCAACTGCCAGGCAGGGCACAACCTGCACCTGTGTCTGGCCCACCACCCACCTCTGGTCTGTGCCACTTTGATCCTGCTGCTCCTTGGCCTCTCTGGCCTGGGCCTTGGCAGCTTCCTCCTCACCCACAGGACTGGCCTGCGCAGCCCTGACATCCCCCAGGTAAGTTCCCCACCCCCGTACCCGCTCTTCCTTCCAACCTAGACAGGCTTTTGCTGCTAATCTCATCTCACCCGTCTTCTTTTGCTCACAGGACTGGGTCTCTTTTTTGAGATCTTTTGGCCAGCTGACCCTGTGTCCCAGGAATGGGACAGTCACAGGGAAGTGGCGAGGGTCTCACGTCGTGGGCTTGCTGACCACCTTGAACTTCGGAGACGGTCCAGACAGGAACAAGACCCGGACATTCCAGGCCACAGTCCTGGGAAGTCAGATGGGATTGAAAGGTGAGATCAGAGGCTGGGTGTGGTGGCTCACGCCTGTAATCCCAACACTTTGGGAGGCTAAGGTAGGTGGATCATTTGAGGTCAGGAGTTCAAGACCAGCCTGGCCAACATGATGAAACACCATCTCTACTAAAAATACAAAAATTAGCCAGGCATGGTGGCAGGCGCCTCTAATCCCAACTACTCGGGAGGCTGAGGAAGGAGAATCGCTTGAACCCAGGAGATGGAGGTTGCAGTGAACCGAGATCGCACCATTGCACTCCAGCCTGGGTGACAGAGCAAGACTCTGTCTCAAAAAAAAAAAAAAAAAAAATCAGGTGCGGTGGCTCATGCCTGTAATCCCAGCACTTTGGGAGTCCGAGAAGGGCAGATCACGAGGTTAGGAGTTCGAGACCAGCCTGGCCAACATGGTGAAACCCCGTCTCTACTAGAAATACAAAAATTAACCTGGTGGTCTGGTTGCGGTGGCCCACAGCGGTAATCCCAGCAGTTTGGGAGGCCGAGGCGGGCAGATCATGAGGTCAGGAGTTTGAGTCCAGCCTGACCAACATGGTGAAACCCCATCTCTACTAAAAATACAAAAATTAGCCGGGCATGGTTGCACGTGCCTGTAATCCCAGCTACTCAGGAGGCTGAGGCAGGAGAATCACTTGAAGCCAGGAGGCGGAGGTTGCAGTGAGCCGAGATCGTACCACTGCACTCCATCCTGGGCAACAGAGCAAAACTCGGTCTCAAAAAAAAAAATTAGCCAGGCTTGGTGGTGCAAGCCTGTAGTTCCAGCTACTTGGGAGGCTGAGGCAGGAGAATTGCTTGAACCCGGGAGGTGGAGGTTGCAGTGAGCCAAGATCGTGCCACTGTACTCCAGCCTGGGAGACAGAGCAAGACTCCGTCTCAAACAAACAAACAAACAAAAATACAAAAAGTAGCCAGGTGTGGTGGCAGGTGCCTGTAGTCCCAGCTACTTGGGAGGCTGAGGCAGGAGAATCGCTTGAACCTGGGAGGCGGAGGTTGCAATAAGCAGAGATCACACCACTGCACTCTAGCCTGGGCAACAGAGACTCTGTCCCGCCCCGCGCCCCCCCCACCACCCTGCGCCAAAAAAAAAAAAGTAAGGTGAGATCACAGAGGACTGTGGGGTCGGGTATCAGAACACTCAGGGCTGGGCCCTGCCTCTGACCTCACCAATGATGACCTTGGGCACATCCCTGGACTTTAGTCACTTCTGTGATTAGGGCTTTCAGTGAACATGCTGCCGACAGGGTAGGTTTTCTATGAATGCTTTCTTCCTCTGCCAGTTCTGATGTTCTTTGAGTCTATCCTTGGAGGTAGGATGAAATGGGCTAGGTTTGACCTAATGTTTTCTCATCCTTTAGCCACCTCCTCCTAGAGGCCCCTTTTTCCTTAGCATAGTTCTGTATGCCACAAAAGATGCAGAAAAAAATTAGACACCATCAATTTCCAAAGAGCTATAGTCTTCTGGGAAAATGACAAGCGATAGGGAGAATGTGAAAATGTCAGTGGATGCCAATAATCCCTGTGTGACATTTGGCCTTATCTAAAATATGCTAAGATAAAGAGGGATGGAAGAGGGTGGTATTTTCTGACTTCTGAGGTCCTTTACAACACTATCATTCTAAGATTCTCCTGTGAGTATATATGTGTCGGGGGAGTGGGTCTCTGCATGTCCAGATGTACATGTATGTTAACAAAAATAAGGAATGTGTCCGATATATGCAGACTTGGGACAATTCTTTCCCATTCTTTTTACTTTTAAATAGATATATAATAGTTTTATTGAGATATGATTCATGTACCATACAATTCACCCATTGAAAGTGTACAGTTAGGGCCGGATGTGGTGGCTCATGCCTGTAATCCCAGCACTTTGGGAGGCCAAGGCAGGCAGATTGCTTGAGCGCAGGTGTTCGAGACCAGCCTGGACAAAATGGCAAGACTCTGTCTCTACTAAAAATACAAAAAAAAAAAAAAAAAAAAGCCAGGCGTGGTGGTGCACACCTGTGGTCCCAGCTACTTGGGAGGCTAAGGTGGGAGGATTGCTTATCCCTGGGAGGCAGGGCTTGCAGTAAACATTCTCCTGCCTCAGCCTCCTGAGTAGCTGGGATTACAGGTGCTCGCCATCACGCTCACCTAATTCCCGCCCCCCAGCCCAAGGAGTCTTGCTCTGTCACCCAGACTGGAGGGCAGTGATGCGATCTCAGCTCACTGAACCTCTGCCTCCCAGTTTCAGGAGATTCTCCTGCCTCAGTCTCCCAAGTAGCTGGGATTACAGGCATGTGGCACCATGCCCAGCTAATTTTTGTATTTTTAGTAGAGATGGGGTTTCACCATGTTGGCCAGGCTGGTCTTGAACTCCTGACCTCATGATCCGCCCGCCTTGGCCTCCCAAAGTGCTGGGATTACAGGTGTGAGCCACTGCGCCTGGCCAATTTTTGTATTTTTTATAGAGATGTGGTCTCACTATGTTGCCCAGGCTAGTTTCAAACTACTGGGCTCAAGTGATCCTCCTGCCTCACCTCCCAAAGTGCTGGGATTACAGGCATGAGCTACCGGGTCTGGCGTATTACCCAATTGTTTTATTTACTTTCTCTTGATTGCTAGTAAGGTTGAGCCTCTTATGGTTTATTGTCTGTATTCATGTTGCCTGTGAATTACCTGTTTGTTTCCTTTGTTCCTTTTTCTTTTAAGTTATTTGTCTTTTTCTTCTTGATTTGTAGGTCTTTATTCTAGATAGTAAACCTTTTGTCATTTAAATATATTATAGGTATTTTCAATATGTTACTTGTTTTTTTAACTTATCTTTCATTGCATAGAAGTCTTTAATTTTTATGAGGTTAGGTTTATCACTCTTGTCCTTTATTAAAACTTTTAGGTTTTGTGTCTTTCATAGGAAGCCCTTCCTCATTTTAAAATTAGAAAATATTCTGGCCAGGCGTGGTGGCTCATTCCTATAATCCCAGCCTTTGGAAGGCTGAGGCAGGTGGATCACCTGAGGTCAGGAGTTCAAGACTGGCCTGGCCAACATGATGAAACCCCGTCTCTACTAAAAATACAAAAAATTAGCCAGGCATGGTCGTGGGCACCTGTAATCCCAGCTACTCACAAGGCTGAGGCAGGAGAATTGCTTAAACCTAGGAGGTGGAGGTTGCAGTGAGCTGAGATTGCACCACTGCACTCCAGCCTGGGCAACAAGAGTGAAACTCTGTCTCAAAAATAATAAAATAAAATAAAATAAAATAAAATATTCTGTATTTTCTTTAAATACTTAAGTTTTTTTTTAGTTTGTATAGTTCTTTAATACATCTGAACTTTATTTTATAAGATAACAGTTTGACGCTATGTTTTTTTCTACATGGAAATTTTCCCAAGGCCATTTACTGAGGCCATCCTTTCCCCACTAATTTAAAATAGGGTGAGAACCTTTTAATGGATTTTGGTACCAAGTGAGAAACTGCTTTCTTAAAAAGAATGAACTAGTTTATGCAAACTGACATGGGCAATGTGTATCTGCCCATTTCACTGCAGCCTTGCGAGTATTAGTATGGTTGTTGTATTGATTGTAATTTAAGTTAATTTAAATTACAACTTAATTTGTGTTTATATTGATACAAAGTTATTTTCATTTCTCAGTGATATAAATAATGGTATATGGAATACTTTATTGAATAGAATCAATGCCAAAACACCTGGTATTATAGAAAGCCTTAAAAAATGACTAGGGGCAGGCGTGGTGGTTCATGCCTGGAATCCCAACATTTTGGGAGGTCAGGGTAGCAGGATGGCTTGAGCCCAGGAGTTTGAGTCCAGCCCGGGCAATACAGTGATACCCTGTCTCTACAAAAAAATTTTTTTAAATTAGCCAGGTAGGTGGCACACACTTGTAGCCCTGCCTACTCAGGAGACTGAGGTGGGAGGATCACTTGAGCCTAGGAGGTTGAGGCTCCCGTGAGCTGGGATCGTGCCACTGCACTCCAACCTGCACGACAAAGTGAGACCCCATCTCAAAAAAATAAAGAAAGAAAGAAAATACAAGAAAAGGGCCGGGCACGGTGGCTCACGCCTGTAATCCCAGCACTTTGGGAGGCCAAGGCGGGCGGATCACGAGGTCAGGAGATCAAGACCATCCTGGCTACCACAGTGAAACCCCGTCTCTACTAAAAATACAAAAAATTAGCTGGGCCTGGTGGTGGGCACCTGTAGTCCCAGCTACTCGGGAGACTGAGGCAGGAGAATGGTGTGAACCCGGGAGGCGGAGCTTGCAGTGAGCCGAGATTGCGCCACTGCACTCCAGCCTGGGTGATAGAGCGAGACTCCGCCTCAAAAAAAAAAAAAGAAAATACAAGAAAAGAAGCGTGAAGACAGAGGCTCCCGCGTCACCTCTCATTTTCTTCCATTTTCTCTTCTGTGCCTTTCACAGGATCTTCTGCAGGACAACTGGTCCTTATCACAGCCAGGGTGACCACAGAAAGGACTGCAGGAACCTGCCTATATTTTAGTGCTGTTCCAGGAATCCTACCCTCCAGCCAGCCACCCATATCCTGCTCAGAGGAGGGGGCTGGAAATGCCACCCTGAGCCCTAGAATGGGTGAGGAATGTGTTAGTGTCTGGAGCCATGAAGGCCTTGTGCTGACCAAGCTGCTCACCTCGGTAAGAGCCTCAGATGGGTCGCCAGGGTTTTGTAGACTGCCTGCTGACTACTGTATCTTGAAGGTCCCTGGAAACAATTCTACCTTGTAGAAAAAGCACAGGTTTTATAACCCTGCCTTGGGGGCTGTGTGACGTAGAACAAGTGTCTAAACATCTCTGAGTGTCAGCATCCTCATCTGTAAAACAGAAAACATGACCCTATCTCTTAATTCCATCAAATAAGGATTAAATGAGAATGACCGTGAAGTGCCCAGCACATTGCCTGGGACATAGAGATTTGATAAGTGACAGCTATTGTTGTTTACTATTGTCTTTAAAACATTCTCTCTACTTCAAAGGAGTTCAGAAGCTATAATAAGAGGCAAATGGGCTAATTGCTATTAGAGAGATGTGAGCAAAGTGTTATGCAAACACAGAGAAAGGAGCCATTAACCCTAACTTGAACATTTATGGAGAGTGCATCACAGAGAAGGTGGCATTTACCAGAGAGCATTGTGCACAGTGGTTTATAATGCACAAAGTGCTCTCAGGGTTCATTAATTCATTTGATCTTAAAATAGCCTTTTGAGGTAGGTGTTATTATCCCATTTTACAGATGAGGAAACAGGTTTAGAGAAAGGGAGTGAATTGCTGCAGGCCACACAACTGGTTAAGTGGCAGAGCCAGGGTTGCAACCCACACCTTCTGTCAAGTCAGAATGATCCTTGAAGAATGAGGAAGATTTGGACAGGGACTGCAGTAGAGGAGGTTCAGGAGAGGGGGAGGTACACTCCAGGCAAAGGCACCAGCATGCGCACAGGCCTAGAGATTGAAAAGTGTTCAGCCAGGTGTCACATCTGTAATCCCAGCACTTTGGAAGGCCGAAGCAAGGAGAATGCCTGAGGCCAGGAGTTCCAGACCAGCCTGGAGAACATAGCAAGACCTCGTTTCTTTTTCGCTTTTTTTTTTTTTTTTTTTTTTGAGACGGAGTCTCACTCTGTTACCCAGGCTGGGGTGCAGTGGCACAATCTCGGCTCACTGCAAGCTCCACCTCACAGGTTCATGCCATTCTCCTGCCTCAGGCTCCCGAGTAGCTGGGACTACAGGCGCCTGCCACCATGCCCGGCTAATTTTTGTATTTTTAGTAGAGACAGGGTTTCACCTTGTTAGCCAGGATGATCTCAATCTCCTGACCTCGTGATCCACCCACCTCAGCCTCCCAAAGTGCTGGGATTACAGGTGTGAGCCACTGCGCCTGGCGACCCCATTTCTTAAAAAAAACATTTTTTTTTTTAATTAGCAGGGTGTGGTGGTACACACCTATAGTCCCAGCTACTCAGGAGGCTGAGGTGGGAGGATCCTTTGATCCCAGGAGTTTGAGGCTGCAGTGAGCCATGATTGTGCCACTGCACTCCAGCCTGGTTGCCAGAGTGAGACCCTGTCTCAAGAAGGAAAAAAAAAGAAAGTGTTCAGCCTTTGGGAGCACTCCATGTTGAGAGGCTTAGGAAGGAGAAAAGGCAAGAGAGACCACAGGGATTTGATGGAGAGGCTCTGTGAATGCAGGATAGAGGGCTATGACCTGATGCTGAAGGCCGTGGGGGCCACTGAGGAGTTTTAAGGAGGAGAGAGATGTGCTTCCCTGGTGCTGGGTGGAGAATGGCTGAGTGGAGGAGGGCCATCAGTCAGGAGGCTGCTGCACACTCCACTCTCACATTTGAAAATACCCCATGAGGCACGGTGGCTCACGCCTGTAATCCCAGCACTTTGGGAGGCCAAGGCCGGTGGATCACTTGAGGTCAGGACCAGCCTGGCCAACATGGTGAAACCCCATCTCTACTAAAAATTTAAAAATTAGCTGGATGTTGTGGCGGGCGTCTGTGATCCCAGCTACTCAGGAGGCTGAGGCAGGAGAATCTCTGGAACCTGGGAGGCAGAGGTTGTAGTGAGCTGAGATCATGCCACTGCACTCCAGCCTGGGCAACAGAGTGAGACTCCGTCTCAAATAAAGAAAAAAAGAAAAGACCCCATGAGGAGCACAACCTGGGACTTGGAATCAGAGATCTGGTTTCCAGATCTAGCACTGCTTGCACTTTTTTTTTTTTTTTTTTTGAGATGGAGTCTTGCTCTATCGCCCAGGCGGGAGTGCAGTGGCGCAATCTCAGCTTACTGCAAGCTCCGCCTCCCAGGTTCACGCCATTCTCCTGCCTCAGCCTCCCAAGTAGCTGGGACTACAGGCGCCCGCCACCATGCCCGGCTAAGTTTTTGTATTTTTAGTAGAGATGGGGTTTCACTGTGTTAGCCAGGATGGTCTCAATCTCCTGACCTCGTGATCCACCCACCTCGGCCTCTCAAAGTGCTGGGATTACAGGTGTGAGCCACCGCACCCAGCCACTTATACATCTTTAAACTGTGGATCATAATGAAGTTTCCTATCTCATGGAGTTATGATGGGGTTTCAGGTTGATAATTGGGCAAGAAAGTAGTTTTTAAACCATCAAGACAAATGTTCGAGCCTGGGCAACATGGTGAAACCCCATCTCTACAAAAAAACACACAAAAAATTAGCTGGGCGTGGTGGCACACACCTGTGGTCCCAGCTACTCAGGAGGCTGAGGTGGGAAGATCGCTGGAGCCCAGGAGGCGGAGGTTGCAGTGAGCCGAGATTGCACTACTGCACTCCAGCCTGAGTTACAGAGTGAGACCCTGCCTCAAAAAGAAAAAAAAAAAAAAGGGCCAGGCGCGGTGTTTCACGCCTGTAATCCCAGCACTTTGGGAGGCCGAGGTGGGCGGATCATGAGGTCAGGAGATCAAGACCATCCTGGCTAACACGGTGAAACCCCGTCTCTACTAAAAATACAAAAAATGAGCCAGGCGTGGTGGCGGGCACCTGTAGTCCCAGCTACTTGGGAGGCTGAGGCAGGAGAATGGCGTGAACCCAGGAGGCGGAGCTTGCAGTGAGCTGAGATCGCGCCACTGCACTCTAGCCTGGGCGACAGAGCAAGACTCCATCTCAAAAAAAAAAAAAAAAGACAAATGTCAGCTTATATGAAAATAACATTTTCCCTTCAGTTGCTCCCTAGATGTGGAGAGCCCTCTCCCTCATGGAGGCTCCTTCTATAGCCCTTGGACTGGATTAACATGTCCTCCTCCTCCTCTCCCTGTACCCCTCCCTAGGAGGAGCTGGCTCTGTGTGGCTCCAGGCTGCTGGTCTTGGGCTCCTTCCTGCTTCTCTTCTGTGGCCTTCTCTGCTGTGTCACTGCTATGTGCTTCCACCCGCGCCGGGAGTCCCACTGGTCTAGAACCCGGCTCTGAGGGCACTGGCCTAGTTCCCGACTTGTTTCTCAGGTGAGGTTCTTTGCTCCAGTCCTGCGGGAGCAGGGAATGGGGTGGGGGTGGGGGTTGTAACCGGGGTAGAGCAGATCCTTGGACTTTTCCTCAAAGACTGCTGCTTCTGAGTCCCCGAGAACCTCTTCAACCACAGCTCTCCCTTAGGGACTGGGAACAATTTGACACCGTCAGCATTCAATATTTTTCTAATTACTTTAACTTTTTTATTATAAAATAGTTAACACTTATGTAGAAAAGTCCAATAGTATAAAAGGACAGCTTGGCAAATTATTATAAAGTGGATACTTATAAATACCACTGAGTAGAATATTACCAGCTGTCCAGAAACCCCCCATGGTCCCTTCCTTCCTGACAATGCCCTCTCTCTCCCTAGAAATTACTGTCCTGCTTTATAATGTATTGCCATGTATGTATTCCTAAATAATATAGTTTGGTTTTACTTATTTTTGAAACTATGTAGACAGAATCATACACATTCTTTTGTGGCTGACTTCTTTCAAGCAACATTGTGATTTTAAGACTCATAACTAGTTCACATCCAAGCATTTGGGTAACAATGGTGAGTTAAGAGGGTTCACATTTGATGATTTGTCCTGAATATGAACCATGTTTGTCTTGCTTTTGTCCTGAAATTCCAATACCCAGTTTTATGATGGAAATTTTGTAAAATTCAACTTGAACCGCTCAGAAGAGTCTAACTGATGATACTCATTTACTGGGGACATAGTATGTGCCCAAGAACTTGACATGCACCTTCTGTCTTCCATTTAGTCATCGTTACCTTTAGAAAAAGCTGATTCCGTTAACAAGATCTTTGGAGGGAATCAGCTTCACAAACGTAGCAGTGGGTGGGGGTCATGTTGGTTAACCAGTTCACACATCAGCTCACTAAAGGAAAAAATATTTCTGCAAAAAATCTTCACTTGTCAGAGGGGGGTGCATGAAATTTGAGAGCCATGTGTTATGCATCCAGCTCTTGAACTGGTCTCAGCTTCAGCTGGCTGCAGTGCCCTAGGAAGTTACTATGGGAAAAGTGGAAATAGTTGAGGCCCAGGGAACTGATCAGGCCAGAGGAAGTGGAAGCTCAAGATCAACTGTGCTTATTTTGCTGATGGCTGGGCCTAAATGCCCCAACCACCTACTTGGGACAGGAAATGACAGGACCCTCTCAACCTTGGACTGGGAAAGGAGGGCTTCCTGGCCCCTGACAGACCCTGGGGTCCTGAGGCTACCTTAGTTGGGATTAAATGCCCGTATTGGTCTCTAGCTGTCACTCCCTCTGCTCCTTCCTCAATTTCTGCACACATCTCAGAGCTTCCTCTAGCAGCTCTTCGACCTGTTTTGTTGTTTTATTTTCTTTCTCCCCAGGTGTGAATCAACTTCTTGGGCCTTGGCTCTGAGTTGGAAAAGGTTTTAGAAAAAGTGAAGAGCTGGAATGTGGGGGAAAATAAAAAGCTTTTTTGCCCAGTGGCGTGTATGGTGTTTATTGGGGGTTGGATTGAGGTGGGGATTTTAGGGTAGGCAGGCTTAGAAGTTTTGGGGGACTCTTTCCTGTTGACTCTCTAGTTTGGACACAGGTTGGCATAGGGCATAGGTTACTTGAGCTCTCCCCATGGTTGACTTGGCTTTGGTAAACACCTGTCTTGTTTTCTTCTACGAAATAAAATGGATAATTACAGTTAGTTGGGCGGGTGGGGTGTCAGGTCATGGAAATGCTGTGACATAAATGCACTGTGACCTTGGCAAGTCTTGCAACCTGCAGCGCCTCAATTTCCGTAAGAGATTTGACCGATTGAGTTTTCCCAGCGTCGACGCGCAAAGATTCCTCGCACTTGGAGGCCCTTTTCCAGGTTAGATGGTTGCTAACCTCGGAGCAGTCTATTTTCCCGCCTTTTCCGCGCCCAGCAGCAGCTTCCTTTGCCCCTCCCAACTTCCACCCTGCGCGCAGTCGCAGATCGCCGCTGCTGTCCGTCCACCCGCGCCCCCTCAAAGCTTCCCCTAGCAACAAGCTCGGGCTCAGAGCGAAGGCGGGGCGAGCGCATGCGCTGCAGCTCTGTCCACCGCCAGTCGTGGGACAGAGTGCCGGGCTCCTCCCCTTGCAAGTCTAGCTCTTCTCCCCGCCTCCTCCGGCCTGGGGTCCGCGTGGCGGGGCGGGCGCGCACTCGGGCTTGGCGGCTGCCGGTCTCCCAGGCCGCGGCAGTGAGGAGAGAGGGCGGGGCTGAGTCCTCTGCGCCCCCGCCCCCTTTAGCCCGGCGTCCCTACCGCGCCTGCGCGCTCCCGCCCGGTCTCCATCTTGGAATTGGGAGGAAGAGGGAGAGGGAGACCGGGACGAGACCGGGGCTGTGGTGCGGAGAGAGGCTGAGACGGAGAAGAGGAGAGGCAGAGAGGGCGCGGGGACCGTCAGCAGCACCTTAGCTACAATCGTTCAGCTATTCTCGGAAGAGAGAAGGGAGAGGGAGGAGGCCGGGGCGGGAGTGGGGGCTGTCACCCTCGGACCCCGGCGTGAGAGGGGCCGTGCGGCCGGACGTCCTCGGGGTGGGCCCCCAGTCGGTGGCCGAAGACCTACAGCTCAGGCCCCTGGGTCCCAAATTTCCAGGCTTTGCCCCTCCTCCTTTCTCAGATACCCGGGTAACAGTCCTCATAGTCCAGATATCCGGGACTCGGGTCCCAACCTCTCTAAACCTGGGTCTCTGTTTCATAGAATTTCAAATATCAGGTTCAGGCCCCTGCGTGCACCAGTATCCGGGGTTCATTCCCCGGGCGTTCAAATATCGGATTCAGTCTCCATCCCGTTCAGATATTCGGGGTTCAGACCCCACAATCAGAAATCCGGAATTCGGCAGCTGTCGCCCTCGACGAGGGGGAGGACTGGACCGCGAGGTCAGATTAGGTTGTCACCCCCTCCCCTCCAGGGGAGGCTTCCCGGGCCCGCCCCTCAGGAAGGGCGAAAGCCGAGGAAGAGGTGGCAAGGGGAAAGGTCTCCTTGCCCCTCTCCCTGCTTGGCAGAGCCGCTGGAGGACCCCAGGCGGAAGCGGAGGCGCTGGGGCACCATAGTGACCCCTACCAGGTGAGACACGGGGTGCAGGGGCGCGGGTCCCTGTGTCTAGTTCTGAGAAGAAAGGGTGCGCCTTTCTGAGAAGCTGGACTTGGGTAGGCCCTCTCAGGATGGGGAAGCCCAGCTGAGCGAGTGGTCAGCCTCTGGCTAGCCTTGCCTTCTGTTGCCACCCCCTTCCCCTTCCTCTTCCCTTCATTGTGTCTGGTTGGTGGGGGACCTCAGGTGACAGGGTCTCTGATGTCACCGGCGTTCACACCCTAGGGTGCTTCAGCTAATCAGATGGATTTGCACTTCAGTCTTCTCTCCTTCACTTTGCCCCTCACAGCCACCTCTCCTCCCTGATATGTCCCGTTCTCCTGGCTATTCTGTGGTTTTGATTCCCATGCCTCTGATTCCCATGGTGGGTCTGCTTATCTGCTTTTCAGGCCTGGTCTGGTTGGATTTCTTGTCCTTGCAAGGAAGTGTGTGTATATGTGTTTGTGTGTATGCGTGTGTGTGTGTGCTTGGAGGTGCCTGGCAATGTTTTCCCCCAGCTGCAGTTACCTTCCAACCTCTTGCTGTGATGGTGTCAATAATCTCATCCATTTGTCAAACGATCTGTCTTTTACAAAGTGCTTTGACAGCCATTCTCTCATGTGACATCCCCGCATTCACCCTGTGGGGGCCTCTTTTATTGGCATCTTCCCATTTTACAGTTGAGAACGTTGAGGCCGAGAGAGGTTGCCCAAGGTCACACAGTGGCAGAACCAGAATTTGAACTCAAGTCCTCAATCACATCTTTCCCTGATGCATGCCTGGTTCTTGCCATCTCTTTTCCTCTGAGTTTGGGCTCGGCCAGGGGTCCCTAGGAGTCCAGGCTGGGGTGAGGTTTAAGAATGGGGATGAGATGAGCTTCCTTTCCAGGAGGGCTCTACTCAGAAGCTTTTCCTGATGGGAGCCTCTGGCTTTTGCCTCTGCCTCATGGAGTTTTCTATCCACTGTGACCTTCATCTTTACCCCAATCCCAGGGTTTGGCCTGGATTCCTGAGAGGGCTCTCTCCTGACAAATGGTAGCACTAGTGGCATCTTTTAACTGTTCAAGCCAAGCTGTTGGGGTAGAATGATCCCCCAAAGGATTAAAGCTTTGTGGGGACCTTGGAGGCAGGGAAGGAAAAATCCATATGCTGAGTGTCTGCATGGTGTTCCTAAGTATGAGATCTCATTAAAATCTTAACAACAGCTCCATGCTGTAATCCATTTCACTGAAGAGAAGACCAAGAACTGGAAGGAACTTATTTAAAGCCCTGTTGCTGTACATTGCAGACGGGATGTACTGGTAGCATAGCTTAGGAACAGATAGATACGGGTTTCCTCATCTGTAGAATGGAGATAACATTGTTCGTTTTGGAAGGTGGTTATGATTTAGCACAGACCTTGGTTATTGTTCAAGTGTTTGTTGTTATTATGGGGAAGGGGACCTGCATGATGTTTTGCCAGTGGGTGGCACCCCTCCGTGTGGCCTAGGTTAGCATTCTGGGGCCTTGTGTTGGTAAAGAGGTCAGGAAGATTCCTTTGGCAAGTTGAGAGCACCTGCCTTTGTGTGTGGGTGTGTGGTGCTGGTGAGGGGTGCTTGGCACTGTTGCTGGCAGAAGGGAGAAAAGGGCCGGCTTTGAGCAACCTGCGAGCTGCTGAGGGCTGAGCAGAGAGCAATCACTCAGTCTCCCAGGCTATTCTGAGCCCTCTGCACCCTGGGGGCCCACTGGAGAGTCAGGCTCCCTCCTTGCCCTCCAGCTTCCAGTTGGGCTGAGACAAAATTAACAACACAACAGGAAACAATGCATGACAGAATAAATTACATGCTAAAATTGTTAGGTGCTTTTGAGTAGCTAGAACTCTGCCCCAGGAGTCCAGCTCTGCTGAAGGCTCCTTTGTGCCTAAATTCTGACAAGTGCTTAGGCTGGAGCCTGTCTTGGAATCTCCTTGAGGGTTTTGGTTCTGGTATCCTGCAGGAACTTTCTCCGGGTGTTTGGTTGGGTGCCCTAGGTGCTCTTCCCAATGGCTGGAGTGGTCAGGACAGGCTTCCTGCAAGAGGGGAGCTGAGCTTGGGGTGACAGCTGAGAGAGTAATGGATACAGGCCTAACCGGGGAGCCGAAGGTCCTGTTCTCTGACCTTGGAGAAGTCCTTTTTCTTCTCTGTGCCTCAGTGACCTCACCTAGGAAATGGTGATCATGATTCTGCCCTGCCTGTTTCGAAGGGCTGCTCTGAAATCATAGTGATGGAGGACCAGCTTTGGACAAGGCACTTAACCTTGCTGAGCCTGTTTCTTTATCTGTAAGATAGGGGAAATCATAGTACTTGCTTCATAAGGTTGTAGTGAGGACTGAATAGAGATAATGCACGTAAGGTACTCAGTAAATGTTATTTGTACCCTGCAAATGTCCTGTACCTGTGTGTGATGCTTATGCAGTTGGACAGGACAAGTAAGGTGGCCCAGAGCACAGAGAGGCCCTCATAGCCAGATGCCATTTATATCCCTATTCTTCCCATTCTAGATCTCCCCCTGACTTTTTTGAGAGTGACTTTGCGGGCTCCTCTGGGCCAGTACCCACTTCTAACAATGGACGGATTTCCACCGCCTCCGGCCTGGCCATTTCCTGTTCTCTTCCAGGGTGTGAGAGGTTGAGGGAGGAGGGGGCCTCAGCGCCAAGGGGAACAGAAAGGTGCCTGGAAACAGTTGGGGTATAGGACTTATGGGACAGGACACTTGGGGCTCTGGAGTGCTGGCTGGGAAGCAGAATGTTTTATCCTTGAGGGGAGATACAGGGGCTATAGGGAAATGAGAACTTGTTGAGCACTGAAGGGGGTGGTGAGGATACTTAGCTTCCCAGAATCTTCCTAGCAGTTTTAGGGACTCCAGGGACCCAGCCCGCGTGATCTGGTTGCCAGGGCAACTTCATTTTTTGGAGCTTTGATGTTGTTCCTAATCTCCCCCTCCCCTTCCTCAGCAGTGCCTCCTCCTCATCAGGGAATGAGGGGAGGAGATGGCAGAAACTTGATGGGTCCCTTCCTCTCCCTGAAGGCTCAATCCTTGATCTCTAAGGGTCCCATTTCCATTCCTCAGGCCAGGCCCCACTCTCAGGGCCCCCAGGGGCCACCATGCCAGCTGGGGGCCGGGCCGGGAGCCTGAAGGACCCAGATGTGGCTGAGCTCTTCTTCAAGGATGACCCAGAAAAGCTCTTCTCTGACCTCCGGGAAATTGGCCATGGCAGCTTTGGAGCCGTATACTTTGTGAGTTGGGTCTTGGGAGGGTGTAATAGGGATGGGGACTCTTCCTATCCCTGTGGACTTCCCAACAGCCCTTGCACACTACTCCATCACACTGGTCTTTCCTGCCTTCTCTTGCTGGGCCAGCAAGTCTTCCCATGCCCGGCTCTCAATGGGGCCTTCAACACCTTCTGGTCTGGTCCTCTAGGCCCGGGATGTCCGGAATAGTGAGGTGGTGGCCATCAAGAAGATGTCCTACAGTGGGAAGCAGTCCAATGAGGTGGGCCAGGTGCAATACAGCCAGGTTGGGGACAGGGGACTCCTGTCTCAAGATGCAAGCTGGGTAACCTCTGCCTACCCTGACCCCCTAGAAATGGCAAGACATCATCAAGGAGGTGCGGTTCTTACAGAAGCTCCGGCATCCCAACACCATTCAGTACCGGGGCTGTTACCTGAGGGAGCACACGGCTTGGGTGAGCTGGTGCCAGATTCTGGCCTGATCTTTACTCCTATTCATGCCCGTCCTTATCGTAGTCCAGTCTCTTAGGTGGTCCCTGTTCGTGGTGCTGTTGTGGGATCTTGGGAAGGAGGAAGTCTCTTTTGACCGCTTTAGTCCTCAGACATACCCACTGAGCAAAAGCCTGGCTCAGTGACACAGGCTGTTAGCAGGTGGGACAGGTCACTGTGGGCTGGAGAAGGTGGAGATTGAATGGGAGTTTGAAGGGATTCAGATGGGCAGTGGTGAATGTCTTGGGCCCAGACTCTAGAAACTCTCCCACCACCCCCTCATTGTCTCCAGTTGCGCTTCCTCCCTGTCATCACCCCGGGGACATAGCTTGAGTACAGGACAGTCAAGGAAGCTCTGTTTTGAGTCCCTGCCCAGGAGACTCTGATCTCTGACCCTTGTCTCTTCCTTAGCTGGTAATGGAGTATTGCCTGGGCTCAGCTTCTGACCTTCTAGAAGGTAAGTGACTGATAGGCCAATAAGTGGAGAAGGGAGAAGAGCAGGGGAGCCATAGGGAAGGGTTAAGGGGAGTTTATTCCAGTCCCACCCTTGCGCTCCCTCGGGTTGATGTTCTTCCTCACTCTCCAGTGCACAAGAAACCCCTTCAGGAGGTAGAGATCGCAGCTGTGACCCACGGGGCGCTTCAGGGCCTGGCATATCTGCACTCCCACAACATGATCCATAGGTACAAGCAGCACCGGCAGTGCCTGGGAGGGGAGTGCTATCTGCACCACCTGTCACTTAGCTGGGCTGCCCCTGCCTAGCTTTCTTGAGACACATGTCTCATCCCTGTACTTTGCCTCTGGCAGGGATGTGAAGGCTGGAAACATCCTGCTGTCAGAGCCAGGGTTAGTGAAGCTAGGGGACTTTGGTTCTGCGTCCATCATGGCACCTGCCAACTCCTTCGTGGGCACCCCATACTGGTGAGTGAGTGAGTGGTGGTGAGTGGAGAGACCTCCCAGGGATGTTGGGAGTAGGAGTGACAGGGTCTCGGCGGGTGATTTGCCTCTCTCTCCTGACCATTCTCCTAGGATGGCACCCGAGGTGATCCTGGCCATGGATGAGGGGCAGTACGATGGCAAAGTGGACGTCTGGTCCTTGGGGATAACCTGCATCGAGCTGGGTAAGAACATCCTCCCTGTTCCCTCATCATCTTTTCCATTCTTTCCTGTTAGTTCCCAGACTCCGGACTACCCCCTTCTCCTAGGGATGGGATCCCAGGCCTCCAAGTTCCTGTCCGTTGTGACTCTACCCTGGAGCCCAATACAGGCAGCTGGCAAATTCTGCCAGCTCTTAGGCCTAGAGATTTTGTAGCATTCATCTCTTCCTGTCCACTACCCTGGTTCTGAATCTTTTCTTAGTGCCCACCATGTGCTGTGCCATGGACTGTGATTCTGGAGGGATAGCAGTGAATGAAAATCCTGCCCTCATGGAACTTACATTTGATTTAGGGAAACCAGGCAGGCATGTTTTCTTTCAATGTGATGAACGCTGTGTGGAGAAGTTACAGGAGCGGTTCAAATGTAAAACAGGGGACTTGACCTAGTTTAGGGGCTGAAGAAGGCCTCCTTGTAGGAGAATATTGAAGCCAACCTGCAAGATAAATAATAGCTGTTTGCAGAATGTAGGGAAGAGCTTTCCAGGCAGAGAGAACAGCATGTGAGAGGCCTAGAGGTAAGTGCAGGCCTGGGGAACTGGGACTAGCTTCAGTTATTTGGAACCTAGCATGTAATGCAGAGAATATTGAAGGATAAGGCCAGAGAGTTAGGTCCAAGTGAGTTCCTAAGGCCTTGAAGCCATGCCAAGGTTCTCATCTCTGTCAGCCAGCACTATTGAAACAATTCTTTAATGAGGTAGGTAACCTTTATAAGGCTTCCAACACAATGCCAGGCACAAAACAGTTGCCTAAGAGTTGCTGTTAGTTTCTCTTATCAACAGCCTCCTGCAGTGATCTCTCCAGTCTCTTCTCCCTTCCAGTCTGTCTTAAGTACTGATGCCAGAGAGGTCTGCCTAAGCTCAGTGCTGTCATTTCACTCCCTGTTTGGAGCCATGAGTGGCCCCCTGTTGCCTTCAAGACTGAAGCCATCCCCATCCTTCCTCCCACCAACCTAGAGGCTTTGCTTCGTAAATGCTGGCCCTTTCCTTCATGGGCTCCACCCTCTGAGTGTGTCATGAACTCTTCCACTTCCTTGCCTTGGTTCGTATTGGGTCCTCTGCCCGAGGTCAGAGATTTGGACGAGCCCTTCTCCTCCATCTTCACAGTCTCCATTTACCATTAGATGCCAGGCCCAGACAGTTGATGAAAAATGTAAGAAACGGACCCAAGTATAAGAAAAAGCTAGATCTGTCCATTTTATTTCTAGTTTTTGGAAGAGATGTGGATACAGAGAAATATTACTCTACTATTGAAAAAAATATATATCAGTCTGATTATAAATGTCAACTCATACTAAGTCAATATCAGGGAAGCAGTGTGGAGAAGGATGTGGCAAACTGGAGATTGCTGTTTCCATAGAAAGAGGGCAGCTAATGCTTATCTCCAGACCATTGTTATGCAGTAATGTAGACTCCATTTCACCAGATTTAATTCTTAAGGAGAAACTGGAAACTTGTATTATTATTTGATTATTACTTTTGGCAGTTAATTTTAAAAATCACCGTTTAGGCCAAAACAACATGACATTTGTCTGGGCTACAAGGGACTCTTAGCGACTCTTAGCTTGCACTTACCTTTCTAATCTCAGGGCTTTTTACAAAGCCCTTCTCTGAATTCCCTGAAGATATGCTAGCTTGAAGGCTCACTGCATACTCTCAACTTCCCAGCCACTTCCCTGTTTCCCTCTTATACCAGTTAATACTTTGATGTTATTTTTTCAGTCCTATTTAATCTTTTAGACTGGAGGTTCCTTGAGGGTGGGGCCTAATTCTTGTTTTTATCTTCCCCATAGCAATTATCAAGTTATCTGCTCCCTTTGGCACCTAAGAAATATTAGTTGGGGTGATAACTGAATGGCTGTCCTTCTGCCTTCGTTACTGCTTTTGTGGATGTTATTTTCTTTGACCCCTATTCCACCCGTGTGCAGTGGAGAGGATGGGTGTTGTATTTTACAGAGGAAGGAATTAACTGAGACGCAACAGGATGATGGGAACTTCTCAAGGTCATGTGGCAAGGAAGTCAAGGAATTGGGGTTTGAACCCAAGTCGTCTCAGTTCCATTCCATTGTCCTCTACCCCCTGCCACCTCTCACCTTCTTCCCTTTCACCTTTTTCTGTAGCTGAACGGAAACCACCGCTCTTTAACATGAATGCGATGAGTGCCTTATACCACATTGCACAGAACGAATCCCCCGTGCTCCAGTCAGGACACTGGTGAGGACTGAGATTCCGAATCTGGGCCCAGGCGTTAGGCCATGGGGTATGGATGCCTGACTCATGCCTTCCCCACCCCTCTCCCACCCTCCTGTGACTTTCAGGTCTGAGTACTTCCGGAATTTTGTCGACTCCTGTCTTCAGAAAATCCCTCAAGACAGACCAACCTCAGAGGTTCTCCTGAAGGTGAGGGCCTGCTGGCCTAGCATTCTCCTGGAACTGTAGCTTGTTACAGCCACAAGAACCCCCAGGGAAATTAGTGGTTCCCAGTTCCTCCTCCACCAAGAGCTTCGTTGATGAATTCCCACCCCATCCCCAATGCCTAGTGGACTCTGTGTTTTACAAGATTTTGTCTACCAGACTGCCTTAATTTATTAAGTAATAAACTGTTTTCCCTTCTTTTATTAATCAAAGATTTATATAATTGCCAGCCAGAGCTTCTGGTCAGCATGTGATAACCAGGGTTGCCCCACTGATCTGATGTAATGCAAGCCAAAAGCCTGTGTAGCCTTATCATGGGTAAATGTATGATTTCCCTTAGGTGTTTTTTGAATTATCAAAAATGGAGGGGCCCCATTCCCTTCACAGACCCATGGGGGCCTGAGGAGCCGTAGTTGGAAACTTCAGATTATGTAGTTGGACCCACTTGTTTTATAATTGTAGGATACTGTATGAAGCCCAGAGGGGCCTCATGACATGTCCAAGGTCACATAGCCCTTTAGTAGAGGAGCTGGACGAGAATCCAGTTCTCCTGACTGTCCCTGCCTGTCAGCCATGCTTAGAGGAAGAAGAGTCTGTCTGGGGAGTAGGTACTGGGTGGTACAGAAAATTGTGAGAGAAGGGCTTGGGATAAGGCCAGCATCAACCCGTGGTGGGCGTGGGCCCCAGAAGAGTGCCTCAGGCCTGAGGGAATGCCAAGGGCTGTGGGTTGTGGGGGGAAGGGGAGTTGGCAGCAGACCTCAGTGCCCTCTTCCCCCAGCACCGCTTTGTGCTCCGGGAGCGGCCACCCACAGTCATCATGGACCTGATCCAGAGGACCAAGGATGCCGTGCGGGAGCTGGACAACCTGCAGTACCGCAAGATGAAGAAGATCCTGTTCCAAGAGGCACCCAACGGCCCTGGTGCCGAGGCCCCAGAGGAGGAAGAGGTGACCCAGCTTGCCCTAACACCCCTCTTTATACCCCATGTGTGCCTGCCCCCTGCAGTTGCTTGGCCCCTTCCCCAGCCCTACTCACACCACCATCTTCCCATGCTACCTCCATGCATATGCCCCAGGGCTTCCCCTTCCCTGTCCAGCAGCCTACGCCCTGTTCGCAGGAGGCCGAGCCCTACATGCACCGGGCCGGGACTCTGACCAGCCTCGAGAGTAGCCACTCAGTGCCCAGCATGTCCATCAGCGCCTCCAGCCAGAGCAGCTCCGTCAACAGCCTAGCAGATGCCTCAGACAACGAGGAAGAGGAGGAGGAGGAGGAGGAAGAGGAGGAGGAGGAAGAAGGCCCTGAAGCCCGGGAGATGGCCATGATGCAGGAGGGGGAGCACACAGTCACCTCTCACAGCTCCATTATCCACCGGCTGCCGGTACACAGCTCACCCTTGGGGGACCCGAGCCACCTGCTCTAGAACTGCCTGGGTCTTCGCCCTCCTTCCCTAAGTGCAGCACTCCTCTGAGTCTGATTGGCTGTCCTCAGGTAGCTCTCTTTGGACCCAGTGGCCTCTGAGCCTTGGGTGTTCCTTCTATCTCCCTCTAGGGCTCTGACAACCTATATGATGACCCCTACCAGCCAGAGATAACCCCCAGCCCTCTCCAGCCGCCTGCAGCCCCAGCTCCCACTTCCACCACCTCTTCCGCCCGCCGCCGGGCCTACTGCCGTAACCGAGACCACTTTGCCACCATCCGAACCGCCTCCCTGGTGAGTGTAGCCATCCTCACTCAGCCTGCTCGCTGTCTGTTTTTTAAGTCTTTTTAAGTCTAGAAATGATTTCCTCCCTGTGGCATGGGATTGAGTCTGGATTCTACCCTCATTTTCTGTTGCTGGCTCCTGCCTGCTCCCCTTAACCCTCCTGCTTCCCTCCTCTTCCCAGTGGACTGTTTTGGTCATATGGCCCAATCTGGGTGTTTCTAGCTTGGCAAACTCTTACTCCGTTTTTGTGGCCTGACTTAACTGACATCTCCTGGGTTGCCTTCCCAGGCTCCTCTGGTGAGTCAGATGCTTCACAGTTGTGTGCTGGGGAAGCCCAGTGCTGGGGGAGCCCTGTGCCTGTGGAGCCCTGTGCTGGGGGTGTCCAGTGCTGGGGAGCCCTGTGCCGGGGGTGCCCTGTGCTTGGGTGGTCCTGAACAGCATCATGATAGGTTTGCCAGATTCTGTGCCCCAGAGGGCAGGGATGGTGTTCAGATATCTGTCTCATGCCAGCAGTTAGCTCTCAGGCTTACACACAGGCCTGTGTTAACCCTCCCAGCCCCCCTGGGAGGGGAAGGGTAAGATCCCATTGGAGAAATGAGGCACCTGTGGCTCAGAGGGGCCACTTGCCCCAGTGCCTTTGGTGGCTCTCTGCTCCTGTAAGCAGGCCCTTAGTCCTCTCCTAAAATCAACTCATGGCAGTCTTTCTCAGTTCACAGGAAAAAGTGTTTAGGCTTTTCATAAAACATAGTTTTTCATCTATGTTTTTAGATCACGTTCCTGCTGAGCTGCATTTGAGCGTCAACAATCCCCTTAGAGGCCACTGATTAAGTCTAGTATGTTCTTATGGCCTCTGCTTGGTGCTGGTTGTGTTCCAACAATTCTTCAGATCCCATGGTGTTGTGCGGTACTGTGCTGAGAGGTCTTGACTGCCAGGGGCTTGGCTGCCGGGACTAGTTTGAGAGCCACTCATAGAGTCAATTGAGAATGAGACCTGAGATCAGACTTTGGATGAAGGTGTCCAAGCCCAGTGTTCTTGTTATTCCAGCATCTTGTGGCCCCGATCCCACCTCAATACCTGGGGAGTGATAGGCCGACCATGTTTGCTGAAGGGGAAGGAAGCCAACACTTATTAGATAGAGTCCGAACTTACCCCACAGCCCCTATGAGGAGGTATTATTTCCCCATTTAACAGATGAGGGAACTGGTGCTTTGAGAAGTTAACTTACTTGAGATCACATGCTTGGTAAGTGGCAAAGCTGGGATTTGATCCCAGGTATGTCTGACTCACTGTTTCAAATTAGTATGGATTGTTCCTACTTTTGTGCCAGGCCCTGTGCTCGCCACCTTTTATCATTCGGCCACACCAACTTGTGATGTAGATAATATCACCATTATCCAGTTGAGGAAACAGGCTAGAGTGGCCGTGTGTGAGGAAGGTGTTAAATGAGAATGAAACCCATGAGTTGAAAACCCATGCTCTTCCCCACGGAAGACCCCTTGTGTTAATTAACTAGGGGCCAGGCTGAGCCCCAGCTCTCACCCTCTCTCCTTCCCCAGGTCAGCCGTCAGATCCAGGAGCATGAGCAGGACTCTGCGCTGCGGGAGCAGCTGAGCGGCTATAAGCGGATGCGACGACAGCACCAGAAGCAGCTGCTGGCCCTGGAGTCACGGCTGAGGGGTGAACGGGAGGAGCACAGTGCACGGCTGCAGCGGGAGCTTGAGGCGCAGCGGGCTGGCTTTGGGGCAGAGGCAGAAAAGCTGGCCCGGCGGCACCAGGCCATAGGTGAGAAGGAGGCACGAGCTGCCCAGGCCGAGGAGCGGAAGTTCCAGCAGCACATCCTTGGGCAGCAGAAGAAGGAGCTGGCTGCCCTGCTGGAGGCACAGAAGCGGACCTACAAACTTCGCAAGGAACAGCTGAAGGAGGTGAGCTAGGGCTGCTTGGGGGCGGAGCCGATGGCGAGCCAGGTGGGTCCTGACCCTGCTTCCCTCTGCACTCGCCCAGGAGCTCCAGGAGAACCCCAGCACTCCCAAGCGGGAGAAGGCCGAGTGGCTGCTGCGGCAGAAGGAGCAGCTCCAGCAGTGCCAGGCGGAGGAGGAAGCAGGGCTGCTGCGGCGGCAGCGCCAGTACTTTGAGCTGCAGTGTCGCCAGTACAAGCGCAAGATGTTGCTGGCTCGGCACAGCCTGGACCAGGACCTGCTGCGGGAGGTAGGCATCCCAATCTCTGTTCCCCTCCCGCTCACTCGTGGATCCCAGGGACCCACCCTTTTCCATTTTCCTCATTCTTGTCTTCTTTCTCCTTGGCCCTCGAGTGTTACAGTTCAGCTTTGCTTCAGTGCCCCTTTTACTTCTCATCCCCAACAGACCCTGCCAGAATTTCCTTAGGCCTCTTTTCCCAGGCCAGGGAGGAGCTTGCCTCCCCTACACCCTCATCTCCTGCCATCCCCAGCTCCCTCTGCCAAGGAGCCCTGGCCCCTCACTTCCTTGATACTGACCAGGCCCTGGGCCCTGTGTTTCTTCCGCCATCCCCAGCTCCCTCTGCCAAGGAGCCCTGGCCTCTCACTTCCTTGATACTGACCAGGCCCCGGGCCCTGCATTTCTTCTGCCTCAGGACCTGAACAAGAAGCAGACCCAGAAGGACTTGGAGTGTGCACTGCTGCTTCGGCAGCACGAGGCCACGCGGGAGCTGGAGCTGCGGCAGCTCCAGGCCGTGCAGCGCACGCGGGCTGAGCTCACCCGCCTGCAGCACCAGACGGAGCTGGGCAACCAGCTGGAGTACAACAAGCGGCGTGAGCAAGAGTTGCGGCAGAAGCATGCGGCCCAGGTTCGCCAGCAGCCCAAGAGCCTCAAAGTACGTGCAGGCCAGCGCCCCCCGGGCCTTCCACTCCCCATTCCTGGGGCTCTGGGCCCACCCAACACAGGCACCCCTATAGAACAGCAGCCCTGCTCACCTGGCCAGGAGGCAGTCCTGGACCAAAGAATGCTTGGCGAGGAGGAGGAAGCAGTTGGAGAGAGAAGGATTCTGGGAAAGGAAGGGGCCACTTTGGAGCCCAAGCAGCAGAGGATTCTGGGGGAAGAATCAGGAGCCCCTAGTCCCAGTCCACAAAAACATGGGAGCCTGGTTGATGAGGAAGTTTGGGGTCTGCCTGAGGAGATAGAGGAGCTTAGGGTGCCCTCCCTTGTACCCCAGGAGAGGAGCATTGTTGGCCAGGAGGAGGCTGGGACATGGAGCTTGTGGGGGAAGGAGGATGAGAGTCTTCTGGATGAGGAGTTTGAGCTTGGCTGGGTCCAGGGCCCAGCACTGACTCCCGTCCCTGAGGAGGAGGAAGAAGAGGAAGAGGGGGCTCCGATTGGGACCCCTAGGGATCCTGGAGATGGTTGTCCTTCCCCCGACATCCCTCCTGAACCCCCTCCAACACACCTGAGGCCCTGCCCTGCCAGCCAGCTCCCTGGACTCCTGTCCCATGGCCTCCTGGCCGGCCTCTCCTTTGCAGTGGGGTCCTCCTCTGGCCTCCTGCCCCTCCTGCTGCTGCTGCTGCTTCCATTGCTGGCAGCCCAGGGTGGGGGTGGCCTGCAGGCAGCGCTGCTGGCCCTTGAGGTGGGGCTGGTGGGTCTGGGGGCCTCCTACCTGCTCCTTTGTACAGCCCTGCACCTGCCCTCCAGTCTTTTCCTACTCCTGGCCCAGGGTACCGCACTGGGGGCCGTCCTGGGCCTGAGCTGGCGCCGAGGCCTCATGGGTGTTCCCCTGGGCCTTGGAGCTGCCTGGCTCTTAGCTTGGCCAGGCCTAGCTCTACCTCTGGTGGCTATGGCAGCGGGGGGCAGATGGGTGCGGCAGCAGGGCCCCCGGGTGCGCCGGGGCATATCTCGACTCTGGTTGCGGGTTCTGCTGCGCCTGTCACCCATGGCCTTCCGGGCCCTGCAGGGCTGTGGGGCTGTGGGGGACCGGGGTCTGTTTGCACTGTACCCCAAAACCAACAAGGATGGCTTCCGCAGCCGCCTGCCCGTCCCTGGGCCCCGGCGGCGTAATCCCCGCACCACCCAACACCCATTAGCTCTGTTGGCAAGGGTCTGGGTCCTGTGCAAGGGCTGGAACTGGCGTCTGGCACGGGCCAGCCAGGGTTTAGCATCCCACTTGCCCCCGTGGGCCATCCACACACTGGCCAGCTGGGGCCTGCTTCGGGGTGAACGGCCCACCCGAATCCCCCGGCTACTACCACGCAGCCAGCGCCAGCTAGGGCCCCCTGCCTCCCGCCAGCCACTGCCAGGGACTCTAGCCGGGCGGAGGTCACGCACCCGCCAGTCCCGGGCCCTGCCCCCCTGGAGGTAGCTGACTCCAGCCCTTCCAGCCCAAATCTAGAGCATTGAGCACTTTATCTCCCACGACTCAGTGAAGTTTCTCCAGTCCCTAGTCCTCTCTTTTCACCCACCTTCCTCAGTTTGCTCACTTACCCCAGGCCCAGCCCTTCGGACCTCTAGACAGGCAGCCTCCTCAGCTGTGGAGTCCAGCAGTCACTCTGTGTTCTCCTGGCGCTCCTCCCCTAAGTTATTGCTGTTCGCCCGCTGTGTGTGCTCATCCTCACCCTCATTGACTCAGGCCTGGGGCCAGGGGTGGTGGAGGGTGGGAAGAGTCATGTTTTTTTTCTCCTCTTTGATTTTGTTTTTCTGTCTCCCTTCCAACCTGTCCCCTTCCCCCCACCAAAAAAAGAAAAAGACAAACACAAATAAAATATCTGAGCGGAACTGTGCCTTTGGCCCAGGCTGCCTCTGTCTGCTTTGTCCTGCCGCCTAGCCTCCCCGGTATGCCCCCAGGCTGACCCTCGGCCCGGCTCCATGACCTCTTCACCCCATCTCCGTTATCTCAGCCCCCTCACTCCTCCAGCCTCATGCTCTCTGCCTTCATAGCTTCATTGCACCATGACCACCACCGGCTCTGGGGTCTGGGCCCCTGTAGAACTTCACCGAACTTCTTGGTCCCACAGAGCGCCTGTTTGCGGGTTCCTTCCAGAGGTCTTAGTTTCCAGGCCCTTGGTCTCCTCATCCCTTGCCTTTTCTCCCAACCATGGCTGCAGGGGACCAAATTGCTCTCCTGCATCAGGCATTACCCTAGTGGGTTGGGGGACGGGGCTGCAGACCCTCCACAGTAGGGGGTGCTGAGCTGGGGGCAACCAGGCGGAGTATGAAGGCTGTGGCAGCAGGATTGAGTGTGGGCCTGGAGTGGGAGCTGAGTGTGTGAGGGGCCGGGCTGGAATGCGGATCTGGTCAGGGTGGTAGCTGCTGGCCGGTTGAACTTGTCAGGCCCTTTCTGGCCACCTCCTTTGCCCCTTTCTCCTCTGCGGCCCAAAATGGGGCAGCCCCTTCTTACCCATTTCTCAGCTCGGTGCTTCTCCTCCTTCCCTGCCTTCCTCCCTGAGCTGCTGGACCTGGGACTTCCTGTGTCTGTCCTTAGTCGTGTTGCTTTCTTCATGGGTGTTTTGTGTGACTGGTTCTTCTCGCTTGTTCTCGTGCACGTTCTCATATTTGCTCACGTGCTTCTGTCTCTAGGTCACAGTCTCTCCCTCTTTGCCTGGTCAGAGCTTCCAAGATCCTCAGTTCCCTGTCCAGTAACTCCGATGTTCTTTCTCGTGGGTATCGCACCCAACTCCGTGCACGTGCTCTTGGAACCTCTTGTCTTCTCTGCATCTCTTGCCCATCGAGACCTTCCTGATCTCTCTCAACACGATCCCACCTCTCCATGTCTGTCTGTCTGTATACAGCTCCCCCCACCCCCTCTGTCTAACATGTTTTCTGTTTCTCTCCCTCTCCCTGTCTCTGCTTCTGTCTCCTCTCCTCTTCTCTCTCTTCTCCCCATTTCCCCTGGTTGTTCCTCCTCTTCCTCTTCCTCCTCTTCCTCCTCCTCTTCCCCGCTGCCCCCATCTCCCCTTGATCCGTCCACTGCATAGTCTAAGGAGCTGCAGATCAAGAAGCAGTTCCAGGAGACGTGTAAGATCCAGACTCGGCAGTACAAGGCTCTGCGAGCACACTTGCTGGAGACCACGCCCAAAGCTCAGCACAAGAGCCTCCTTAAGCGGCTCAAGGAAGAGCAGACCCGCAAGCTGGCGATCTTGGCGGAGCAGTATGACCAGTCCATCTCAGAGATGCTCAGCTCACAGGCGGTGAGGCCTGGGGTCCAGGGAGGGAGTGCGCTAGAGGCCAGGCTCTGTACTTTGCTTTAGAGAAATGGACGGTGCAGGGCATGCACAGAGCTGGGGCTTTTTTACTTGGGAAACTCACATACTCTCCCTCTGTTCGTGTTCTCCACAATGATTTATTTCATATTCTCCTCAGTGGTTTTATTCTTTCTCTTAGTATTTTCTTAAGGTCTTGACAAAGCCATGTGCCTATTCCCAAGAACCACCAAGGAAAAGAGTGGCTATTATTTTTTTCCTGGGCCTGAGTTAGTTTAATGGGTAAACAGGGTGCAGATTAAAGTGAGTGTGGCCCTCAAGCCCATTTACTCAGACTTCTGGAGGATTTTGAAAGTTGCTGTTCTAAAAAAATGATCACACCTAACACTGGAATGGGCCACTTAAAATGTGCGGAGAGGGTGGAGAGTGGAAACGCCCCACCCAAGGCTGTTCTCTCACCCAGTCCCACCTCTCCCAGGTAACTTGTTAATAATTAACTGTATTTTGTGTTTTTTCAGTGCACATTTTGAAAAATTATATGAATTTTAAACACAGATGGAATCATACTTTACATTTACTTTCTGTAACTTCTTTTTTCCACTTAATATTTCTTGGACATCTTCCCCTGTCAGTACACCTGTCTCATTTTTTTTACAGCATAGAATTTTCCATGGTATGGCTGTACCATAATTTATTTAACCCATCCCTTATTGGTGGACATTTAGGTTGTTTCCAGTATTTTGCTATCACAACGCTTCCGTGAACACCTCGAGCACATGTGCAAGTATACCTGGGGGATAGATTCTGCAGTGTAATTGCTGTGCCACAGGGTATGACCATCTTCCATTCTGATAGATGTTGAGACCGCTGCTTCTTGAAACCTTAGGGCCCAGGCCTACCTGGGGCAGGGGAGGATAGTGGGGGTGGGGGAGGAGATCCCTACAACTGGTTGTTCATCTTCCCCAGCTGCGGCTTGATGAGACCCAGGAGGCAGAGTTCCAGGCCCTTCGGCAGCAGCTTCAACAGGAGCTGGAGCTGCTCAACGCTTACCAGAGCAAGATCAAGATCCGCACAGAGAGCCAGCACGAGAGGGAGCTGCGGGAGCTGGAGCAGAGGGTCGCGCTGCGGCGGGCACTGCTGGAGCAGCGGGTAAGGGGCCCAGCCTCCAGGACTGGGGAGGGAGGGTGGGCTCCTGCCCCCGACTCTAACCTCTGTTCCGGATGCCCCAGGTGGAAGAGGAGCTGCTGGCCCTGCAGACAGGACGCTCCGAGCGAATCCGCAGTCTGCTTGAGCGGCAGGCCCGTGAGATCGAGGCCTTCGATGCGGAAAGCATGAGGCTGGGCTTCTCCAGCATGGCTCTGGGGGGCATCCCGGCTGAAGCTGCTGCCCAGGGCTATCCTGCTCCACCCCCTGCCCCAGCCTGGCCCTCCCGTCCCGTTCCCCGTTCTGGGGCACACTGGAGCCATGGCCCTCCTCCACCAGGCATGCCCCCTCCAGCCTGGCGTCAGCCGTCTCTGCTGGCTCCCCCAGGCCCCCCAAACTGGCTGGGGCCCCCCACACAAAGTGGGACACCCCGTGGCGGAGCCCTGCTGCTGCTAAGAAACAGCCCCCAGCCCCTGCGGCGGGCAGCCTCGGGGGGCAGTGGCAGTGAGAATGTGGGCCCCCCTGCTGCCGCGGTGCCCGGGCCCCTGAGCCGCAGCACCAGTGTCGCTTCCCACATCCTCAATGGTTCTTCCCACTTCTATTCCTGAGGTGCAGCGGGGAGGAGCAGATGAGCTGGGCAGGGCAGGGGTGGGTGGAGCCTGACCCTGGAGGGCACTGAGCTGGAGGCCCCTGCAAGGGTAGGGGACAAGATGTAGGCTCCAGCTCCCCTCAGACCTCCTCATCTCATGAGCTTCTTGGGGCTGGCCAGTGGCCCAGGGCCAGCTTGGCGATAGGTGCCTCAAGGCTGCCTGGGAGCCCCGCCTCCCTACCATGGTGCCAGGGGTCTCCCTCCGCCACCTAGGAAAGGAGGGAGATGTGCGTGTCAAATATTCATCTAGTCCCCTGGGGGAGGGGAAGGGTGGGTCTAGACATACTATATTCAGAGAACTATACTACCCTCACAGTGAGGCCCTCAGACCTGCCACAGGGCAGAGCAGGTCTGGGGCCTGAGGCAGGGAGAATGAGAGGCCACCTTACTGGCAGGAAGGATCAGGATGGGGTCTTGGGGTCAGGATGCCTGGGTCTCTTCCCGTAACTGTCTGACGTCCTGTGCCGTCTTGTCCTTTATCTTTTTTTTTTTTTTTTTAATTGGGATCAGGGCTGGGGCGGGGAAACAAGGGAAGGACCTTGGAAGGGGCTGCTCCCAGGCCTGGGGGGCAGTCGTGGGAGCCCCTCTCAGCTGTGGGGCTGGCACAGAGCCCCAGGCAAGCTTTTAATAAACTGTTGGTTATTCTAACAGATCTCAGGACTCACCCTTCTGTCTTTGGTGTGCGTGAAGGACTGCTCAGTGGCCACTGAATAGTACTGCTTGTGTTTTATAAAGAGAATTTATTGGGCTGTGTATCTAAACATTTCAGTGATTTTAATGACTTTAGGTGTGACCAGATCTCGGATCTCAAAGGTGGTCTTCAACCCCTTGACCTCTAATTCGTTTTCTTTGCTTTGACTTCAAAGATTCTTAGGTTTGCCTCCCACACAGACCCCAGGCAGCTCCATGCTCACGAATCTTCCCGCAAGCCTCAGCAGCCAGAGTTCAGTGGAGACCTCATGTGACTGCAGAGGCTGGGCCTGTAGCCAGAGGCCTAGAGGGCTAGGACTGGCCCAGGAGGTATGGGCTTTTCCCCACCCCTTTGAGGCTAACAGCCCATGGACAAAGTGGCTGTTTGCATAAGGGAGAAGGCTTAAGCACTGGCTGCCCTCAAGTCATTCTATCCCTCTCCCAAGTGGGCATTAGGTTATCAGACTAGGCTAAAAGCAGAGGGGCCACGGGGTAGGCGGGCAGCACAGGAGCCACACACCCTTCTCCAAAAGGGTCTGGTGGCTGTTGGATGACAGGGTCTGGAGGCAGGGACTTCTTCCAGGAACCCGGGGGAAATTAAAGGGAACCAGGCCAGGGGAGGAGGTGGAGGCAGTGACTACTGCTCAGTTTCCTGGCCCAAAATACAGGAGGTGAGAATGGGGGACCAAATTTGATGAGGTGATTAAAAACACTCCTTTATTGAGTCTTAAAAAATAAACACCTTAAAGGGACAGCGTGAAGCTGAGAAGTAGCATCCCAACAGCTTGTGTCCTTGGGAGCTGCAGTCTTCTCTGAAGGAAGCTGCTTCTGTTCCACAGACACAGGGCAAGGGGTGCTATGTATGCTTTGTACATGTATCAAGGGTCCCTCCTGGGGGTGGCAGAGCTCAGTTACTCTCGCCATCACTGCTGATGATGCCACGCATATGTGACCAGTCTGGGGGTGCGGGACGGGGCCGCTCTTCATCTGAGTCCAGGGTCCGTCGGTACAGCTCCCCTGGGGGTGCTGCTTCTCCTAAAGGGTTCCAGGCTGTACGTCTGCGTGGCCGGCCTAGGGGAAAGGGGAAACGAGAGATCAGATGTCTGAGAAGGTCCAACCCCACCTATCTGCTCCTGGGCAGTGAGAGGAAACCCCTTACCCGAGCCACTGATGATGTTCGCAACATCCAAGGAGGCCACCTCAGCTGCCTCCTCCCTCTGCTCCTTCAGGGCCCGACACTTCCCTAGGGAAGGGGTACCTGGGGCAGAAGAAGCTGGTGATTCTCTCCTCCCCAGCAGGAAGGCCCTCTCCTGCAGCCCCCAGGGCACGCCGGGCCTCACCCTTCATGCCTAGCGCTTCCAGTTCTGCCCGGAGGATACTCAGGCGCTCCTTGTGTGAGCAACAGGAGCCCAACAGCTTCTTGTAGTTTCGATGGGCACCACAGGCCCGAATGTAGCGCTTCAGCCTCATCACAGCCGGGTGGTCCTCTCCACGGCGACCTGAGCCAGCCTAGCAAGGAAAGAGCAGCTGAAGGCCAAGCCTGCTGGGCCTGAGGCAGGGTCTCCCTCTTCCCTAATAGTGGCCTCCCACCCCTCCTCACCCTCACCTTCCCTCCTTTGGCCTCTGGACTTCCATCTGAGGAGGAAGAGGAGCTTCGTGTCCTGCCTTTCCTGGAGCTCTTCTTGGAAGAGCGGTTCTTCCTCTCCCCCTGGGGGCCTCCCCCTGCCTCGCTGTCACTTACCTCCCTCTCCAAGTCACTTTCCTCACCACTGGTGCTGCCCAGTCTGGCCATCTTTCTAGAGCCTTTAGCTGTGGGTTCCCCCTTCCCACTGTCTTCCTCGTCCTCGCTGCTTCCACTCAACCTCTTCCCACCCTTAAGCTGGGTCCTGTCCTCACTCTTCCTCTGCACTGGGGGTTCTCTATCTCTCCCACTGTCATCCCCACTGCTGGCTGCCTCTTTCTGCTCTTCCTCGCTGTCTGAGTCTCCCAAGAGCCTCTTTGCCTGGCTTTTCTGCTTACAGCTCCTCTCCTCCCTAGCTGACTTTCTCCGGCCATTGCTCCTGGTTCTGGGTTTCCAATCCCCCTTTTCCTCATCCTCTTCTTTCTCTTCCTCCTCCACTTCCTCCTCTCTCTGCTCTTTCTTCTGGGCTAGGATCTCCTCTTCACTCTCCTGTTCACTTTCCTTCAGGCTTTTAGTTCCTTTATTTCCCTCCACCTTCTTTGCTGTCCTCTGAACGGGTTCTGCCTCGCTCTCCTCACTTTCTTCCCTGGCCTGCTTCCTACTGACTGAGGCCTTGCCTGGTGCCTGCTTCTTTACCACAGGTTTCTTCCTAGTCTTCCCCTTGTACCCCTTTTCCTCCTCCTCACTGCTCTCCTCTCCCCTCTGTGCGGGCAGGTCCCTCTGCCGTTCCTCATCACTGCTCTCCTCAACTGCCTTTGAGGCTCGCCTTGGATTCTCCTCTTTGGCTGGGCTGACTTCTGCTGCCACCCCATTCTTTGCTGGGGGTCCAAAGTAGTCTGGGCTGGAGGCTTCAGAGCCGGACTCTGGAATATGGAGAGGAGAGAGGGTTGAGACAGGCTCCTCCTGTCCCTTCTCCCTTCACTTCGGATAGGTTGCCTCGAGCCCTGCCCTGACAGTTGGAGGGGCAGCAGGAAACAGCTATCTGTACTTGCTGTTCCCGGTTCCTGACTCACTAGCCTTGCTCCCTCATCTAACGCCTGGGGACATAAGAGATGCGCAGTGAATGCTTCTTGAGTGAACCAACGATGCAGAAGGCCCCCACAGCAGGGAGGAAGCACTAACCCGACTCTGAATTGAAGCGGAACCTTTTTCTCTCCGGGTCGCTACAAGGGGTGGGAGGCCTCTTGCCCTTCTTGGTAAGGTCCAGTTTGTCTTCCCTGGAAGCGGCTTCATCCACCTGTGTGTGCGCCAAGAGGGCAAACTATGCACCAAGGCTGCGCTCACCGCGCCCCGTCAGGCCCCTCCTCCTCAGCAGCAAGCCCCGCCTCCGCCTCCCGCGGCCCAGGCTCCGGCCCGGCACACCTGCATCTTCAGCAGCTCCTCCTCCACCAGCCGCTTCAGTGCCTGCTTCTCCTCGGGCTCCAGGTGGCTGCGGCCCGAGTGAGCTAAGTACCTCCGCCGCACGATGGAATGCGTAAGCGTGCTGCAGGGACATGGTGTCAGGACGGAGTCCCGACCCACCCGCGCCCTTTCCAACCCCATCTCCAACCCCCTGGGCACCTGAGGTCCGGGCGGCCTCGGAAGAAGCTACGGGTGAACTCCTGCATCTCCTTCTCCCGCGCCATTTTGCTCAACCCGGGATTGACGGCTCCCGCCTTTTTTTCTTCTCGGCCTCCGTCAGCGCGTTTGACAGCGGCTCGCGCACGCGCAGTGCTGCGGCAACGTGGGGCGAGGGACCGTTGGCCCTTGGCCGCGGACCGCGTGGGCCGAGAACTTTGCCAGACGAGACTTGTTTTCTCTGGGCAGTTGGAGGGTCTCGCGGCTCCTACCCTTTTTTGGAACGGATCATTTTAAAAGTTCTCGTTAGAAACCAATTCGGCGCCGGCACCCTTTGGGTGAAACCTAATCAGCCCGCGACGCTGCCTTTCTCACTGGTCACGGGCAACAGCTAGGCTGCTGTTATTTCGCAAGGCAGAAGAGAAAAGGCATCCTCGCGAGCAGATGAGGAACCTCGGGGATAAATCCTTTTGTGGCTTCAAGTGTCTAAGTACATTAGAGTCAGGAACGGCGCTTTCCAGCGTCCGCCATTTTTGTGGCGTCACCGCGTCGCTGCTACGCCATCCCCAGCGCAGTGGCTGCCGCGCTCCTGTCCCAGTGTCCCCCGGGAGGTCGGCCCGTGCGGTGACGCCCCTGAGCGCGGGGTACGCCGGGAGTTGTAGTCCTGACGGCACAGCCTTGCAGCGTCTCCGGAAGTGGAGGCGGGAGCGGCACGGCAGCCACTGCTTGGGGTAGCGGGAGGGCAGACTCTGGGCGCCACTCCCGGGCCGGTCATGAACGGGCCGGCGGACGGCGAAGTGGACTACAAAAAAAAATACCGGAATCTGAAGCGGAAGCTCAAGTTCCTCATCTACGTGAGTGCTGCCGCGGGAAGGCTGTGGGGGATGAGGCCTGGCGCGGACAAGATCTCAGTTTACCCAGGTGTAAAGTGGGTGGGGCGAGCGGCCGCTGGTTCCGGGGCCCTTCACGGAGGACCGTTGGCCCAGCGCACCCCTTGCCCGTGATACAGGAGCACGAGTGCTTCCAGGAGGAGCTGAGGAAAGCGCAAAGGAAATTACTGAAGGTGTCCCGGGACAAGAGGTGAGGCACGTTGCAGGGGCGGAGGGCGATGTGCTTCCTAGGAAATCTACATTCGGACCCCATCCCCGAGTAGGGCCACAAGTGCATGGGCTCTTTCAAGTATCCGATGGGCCAGCTGGGAGGGACAGGTACCCAGGAGGACATTGCTGCGCTGGAAAATCACTGTCCGTGTCTCCTTCCCTCCCCTCAGTTTCCTCCTAGACCGACTTCTGCAGTACGAGAACGTGGATGAAGACTCTTCGGGTGAGCAAGGTCTTCAAAAATTGGTGGAGAGCATGGTTCCTGGTACTTAGCAAGCTTCCTGGGCCCCCGCCTTTTAGGCAGTGGTGGCTGATGCAGCCCCCAGTGGTCCTTAAGCCTAGTTGCTTGCCTTCCACCTCCACCGTTCTTTCATTCAGGCACTTACTGAGCACCTATTGTGTTTCAGGCACTGTGCTTGGCACAGGGGATACAGCAGAGGCAGAGATAGGCAAAGCCCTTGGCCTCTTGTAATTTATATTCTAGTTGGGAAGAATAAGTAAATGAAGACAATAGACTAGAATTTTAGGTCATAGGAAGGACTTGAAGGTAATGAAAACAGTTATGCGGTAATGATTATAGTAGAACAGGGGTTGATGAATTGTTTCTGCAAAGGGCCAGATGGTAAGTAAGCTTTTTGCAACATACAATCTTTGAAGCACCTACTGAACTCTGCCATTGTAGTAGCAGCCGTACCCCATAGGCAAATACATGAGTATGGCTATGTTTCTATAAAACTTTATAGGCACTGAAATTTGAATTTCATATTTTTCCATATGAAAAATTTTTCTTTAGTTTTTTTTTTTTCCAACCGTTTAAAAGCTTAAAAGCCATTCTTGGCCAGGTGCAGTGGCCCACGCCTGTAATCCCAACACTTTGGGAGGCCGAGGTGGGCGGATCACAAGGTCGGGAGTTCAAGACCAGCCTGACCAACATGGTGAAACCTCGTCTCTACTAAAGATACAAAAATTAGTCGGGTGTGGTGGCGTGCACCTGTAATCCCAGCTACTGGGGAGGCTGAGGCAGGAGAATCATTTGAACCCTGGAGGCAGAGGTTGCAGTGAGCCGAGATCGCTGCCACTGCATTCCAGCCTGGGTGACAGGGCGAGACTCCGTCTCAAAAAAAAAAAAAAACGCCCTTCTTAGCTTGCAGACCACACAAGCAGGCAGCAGGCAACCTCTGAATGGAGTACTCAAGAAAGGCCTTTCACAGAGTGACATTTGAGTTGGGACCAGAGAAGAAACCAGCCTTCCATCCTGGGCAACATAGTGAGACCCCATCTCAATTAAAAAAAAATTAGCCATGTATAGTGGTGTATACATGTGGTCCCAGCTACTTGGGAGGCAGAACCAGGAGGATCCCTTGCCTGAAAGGTCAAGGCTGCAGTGAGCCATGATAGCACCGCTGTGCTCCAGCCTGGGTGACAGAGCAAGACTGTCTCAAAAGAAAGAAACCCCATCCTGGCTAACACAGTGAAACCCTGTCTCTACTAAAAATACAAAAAGTTAGCCGGGGATGTTGGTGGGCACCTGTAGTCCCAGTTACTCGGGAGGCTGAGGCAGAAGAATGGCGTGAACCTGGGAGGTGGAGCTTGCAGTGAGCTGAGATTGCACTACTGCAGTCCAGCCTGGGCAACAGAGCCAGACTCCATCTCAAAAAAAAAAAAAAAACAAAAACCAATCTTGTGAAGAAGTGGGCTAGAGCTGTCCCGGCAGAATAATATAAATGCAGCTACCCTGAGGTAAGAACAGGTCAGGCTTGGTTGAAGAGCAGAGGCATGAAAGAGAGAGAACACTGTTTTCGTCCTTTTATTTGAATATTGTCTGCAGTTAACTATATTTTACATCATAACCAGGGCCCCACATGTTAAACAAAACAAAGTTTAACGAAACATTTTTAAGATCACTGTATCCAATTCATCCTGACACTTTTTAGACTGCTTTTTTCCCCTTCTTTTAATGCTGGTTGCAAACCAATAAATTGATTTCATGACCCACTAATGGCTTGAGACCCACAGTTTGAAAAAGCCCTAAGGTAGGCATTTGTGGGCCTCTTCCTGGGTGAGGCCCTCGTAAGCCATGTCACGTAGAATCACCTCTCTCCGTGGTGCCTTTAAACATTGGTCTGGGCCGGGCACGGTGGCTCACGCTTGTAATCCCAGCACTTTGGGAGGCCGAGGCAGGCAGATCACGAGGTCAGGAGATCGAGACCGTCCTGGCTAACATGGTGAAACCCCGTCTCTACTAAAAATACATAAAATTAGCTGGGTGTGGTGGCGGGCGCCTGTAGTCCCAGCTACTCAGGAGGCTGAGGCAGAAGAATGGTGTGAACCCGGGAGGCGGAGCTTGCAGTGAGCCGAGATTACGCCACTGCACTCCAGCCTGGGCAACAGAGCAAGACTCCGTCTCAAAAAAAAAAAAAAGCACATTGGTCTGAGGCAGGGATTGGCATGTGGCAGCCAGCCACGTTTTAGGACGTAGTGTTTTGTCAGAACGCATGATACCCATTTGCTTGTTATTATAGGAGGATTGTAGATAAGGTTGGGGAAATAGGCAGGGGCCCACTCAGGTAGGTCATAGTAGGAGATTTGGCTTTTATTGTAGCCTCTCATCCCCTGCCTCTTCCTTCCCTAGGGGCTTCCAGTTAACATCCTGTTTGAGGGGAATTCAGGGCAGGAGGTGGGAGAGAACCCAGCATGTTCATGGCCAGAGTGGGTTGCATCTGAGGAGGAAGAGCCAGCGATGCGAGCCCCACTCCCGTCCTGGAGGCCCACGCCCTGGCCAGGGAGACACTCGCAAACGACGCTTTTCAGCACAGTGTGAGGGCAGCCATGACGAGAGTAGAGCGTTCCAGGAGAGCCTGCAGTTAACTGGGCTTGAGGGATTCTGGAAGACTTCACAGAGGAGGTGGCATTTAATCTGCTTCTTAAAGGGTCTGTCTGAGCAGAGACATTGGTAACGGCTTCTATAGGTGTAGCAGTCGTTTGTTCGATGAAAGATGGCCCTTCTAGGCAGAGGCACTGAACTAGGAAATACATTTCTTTTTTGACGAAATAGGTCAGTGTGCTTTAAAGAATACAGTTACGTTAGTTGACCAGAAAGGTACATTGAAGCCAGATTAAGCAGCACCATGAATTCATGCAGGTAGTGGGTGATGTCATCAGGAAGGATGTGACCAGGTTTGTTTTAGGTCACTCTGGGGTTGGGGGTGGACAGTGGGTGGCACGGTGAGGTGAGACTGCTTAGCAGGTGATTTTGACGTGCTGGTGGCCTGACCTGTGTTAGTTGGTGTGGGGAGCAGTGGATGAAGGGGAGGACTTCAGGGGTAGATGAACAGGACCCTGGTTATGGGGAGTGGGGCAGAGGCAGGAGTTGAAGACTGCTCAGCTCAGAGGCAAGGAACCAGTGGCATCAAACAGCCAAGGAGTCACAGACCTGGCTTGGAGTCTTAGCCTCACACCTTACTTTCTGAGCCTCGGTGACCTCATGTGACAAGTGGAGGTGCTGCCCTTCCCATCCTTCCTTGGATCTGATGACAAGGAGAGGTGGTGAGTGGGAAAGAGCCTGGCACCCTGGCCATGCGTGGCAGGTGTGTTACGGAGGAACCAGAGCGGGCGGGGGGCTGGGGAGGCTGGAGAGGCTATGGGCCTCCCTGGGACAGCTCGAGTGTGTGGTGCATGCGTGTGCCCACCAGCTGGTGAGTCAGATTCCCCCGGGGCCCTTCTGTTAGGTTTTGGTTTGTTTCATTTTTTTGAGGCAGGGTCTTGCTCTGTCACCCAGGCTGGCGTGCAGTGTTAAAATCACAGCTCACTGCAGTCTCAATCTCCGAGTAGTTCTCCTGCCTCAGCCTCCTGAGTAGCTGGGACTACAAGCACACGCCACCATGCTCGGATAATTGTTTTTGTTTTTAATAGAGATGAGGTCTTGCTAGGTTGTCCAGGCTGCTCTTGAACTCCTGGCCTCAAGCGATCTGGCCACCTCAGCCTCTCACAGTGCTGGGATTCCAGGCGTGAGCCCCCGCACCTGGTCTTCCAGTGCCCTTCTGTAGTGTAGAGGAGGTTATACCTTTCTGGGATGGACTGGGATCCCCCCATCCCCACTGACCAGCTGTCCCCATCACAGACTCAGATGCCACTGCATCATCAGATAACAGCGAGACGGAGGGGACACCCAAGTTGTCTGACACACCGGCCCCTAAGAGGTGAGAAGAAGATGCATTCCTCTCGCTGGGGAGGGTCAGGTGGGGCGCCTGGGCTCCTAGCCACATCTGACCTCGCCCTGTCCTTTCTCCAGGAAGAGAAGCCCTCCGCTGGGGGGCGCCCCCTCTCCCTCCAGCCTCTCCCTGCCTCCTTCAACAGGGTTTCCCCTTCAGGCCTCCGGGGTCCCCTCCCCATACCTGAGCTCGGTGAGTTGGGGTCAGGGATGGGAAGTGCTTGGGAGTAAGGTGGGCGTCATTTGGGCAGAAGGGCTGGGCCTCGGGGCAAGGCCAGCCCAACTTTGGGGACATCTGTCTGGGTGTGGCCCAAGTGTCCCGTGGAGGGTGTGAGTCGGGGCTGCCCCCTTCTCTCTGGTATAGGAACGGGGCCAGGCCTGACTGAGGAGAGCAAAGCCCAGGACAGCATCCTGCTGCTGCCCGGCCCTTCTGTGCTCGGGAGCCCCGGGAGCCGCACTCATCACCATCTCTTTTGTTTTTCCATCCTCCTTCTGTTTGCATTTCTTCCCCCACCCTCACCCCGGTCCATTCCGCCTCCCATCTCCATCCCCGCTCCCGCCCGCAGCTGGCCTCCTCCCGCTACCCCCCATTCCCTTCTGACTACCTGGCCCTGCAGCTGCCCGAGCCCAGTCCCCTGAGGCCCAAGCGGGAGAAACGGCCCCGCCTGCCCCGGAAACTCAAGGTACCCTGACGTGGGGGTGCTAGGGAGGGGCAGGACGGCAGGAGGACAGTCACCTGAGGGAGGCTGAAGGCGGGGGCCTGTCAGAGAACCATGAACAGTTAATTTGGGGACCCAGTCAGCACTTAGCACTGAGGGGTGGATCACAGAAGTCTCGGCTTACAGGCTTGTATGGAGACAAATCAGGGCAGAACCAGCCTTGGAGGACCCGGTGTGCAGATGCCAGGGATCCCGCCCTTTCATGGCTGCAGTGTAGCGGGGCCAGGCTCATTTTCCCAGGGGGGCGTGTTGTGTGATGCCAGGTAGCCCCAGACCGGGTCAGGATTATGGGATCTAGAGTCAAGTCAAGACTGCCTGTTAGAAACCACGTGGCCTTGAGCAGGTCTCTGCTACCCTCTAGGCCTCCTAGGCTTGGCACCTATAGGGCGAGTGGTCCTACTCGATGTGACCAGCAAGCGCCCCTGGAGCGCCTCCTGTTACACGGCAGTGCACAAAGCAGACCAGTGCCTGCCCTCACAGAGCTCACAGTCTAGCAAGATAGGCAGAAAACACACCAGAAAAGTAGGTACTTGTGGAGAAGAACAGAGCGAGGTCCAGAGCATGGGGACGCCAGGGGGACGAGGCTGACACTTAGGGCCCAGCAGTCTGGGATGTTCTTGATCAGAGACTTACAGGAAATGGCAGCAAGCTGTGTGGCTCCTGGGCAGTGTTTCTGTCGGGCAGAGTCTGTGTTTGGGAGAAAAGTAAGCAGGGAATTGGGTCCCGGAGCAGGTCAGAGGGGGAGCTCATGAGGTGCCAGTGTGCAGGATTCGCTGTGAATGAAGCCTTGGAGACAGCAGTTCCCTGGCGGGGCGCAGGTTGCAGGTGTGGAGGGGGAGTGATCTAATTGCATCTTAACAAAATTGCAGACACTGGTGGTCAGAGAACAGACTGAGCGGTGGAGTGAGTTGGGACGGGAGTGAGGAGGCCACCACGGTAAACCAGGCCAAGGGCAGAGGGTCCAGAGGGAGCTGCGGACCCATTTCAGAGAATGAGCATGGGAGTTCCTGGAGGACCTGGTGTGGGCTGTGCGGGAGAGAGGCCAGGATGCCTCCAGGGCTTTAGTCTGAGCACGAGTGGAGTCTCCCTCCCTGGAGATGGGAGGGCTGTGGGACCACAGGCTTGGAGGAAAACTGAGTCTGGCCGCGGATGTGTCAGATGCCATCTGGAAAGGCAGCTAGATAGCGGCCCGTGAGGGGCTGCGCATTTGGAAGCCGCCAGGCTGGCGGTAGATGCAAGCCTTGGGAGAGATGGGGATGGGCTGAGGGGCAGAGCGGAGTGGGGACCAACTGGGCGGCTCCCAGGGTTCTGGAGCCAGAAGCAGAATGAGAGGCCGCATTTGCGGTGGTCTGGAGTACAGGATCTGGAGCTCTAATCCCAACTCTGCCGTTTTCTCCGTGTGACCTTGGCCCTGTGAGGCTTCACCTCTTGAGCCTGAGAAGCAGAGGTGACAGTACTGGCCCTGGTTCTTAGCAGGGGGGTGGCGGGCAGGGTAGGGGGTGGCGCAGCACTGGGGGGCACTTTGAGGCTTTCTGGCTGGGTGCTGAGTCCTGAAGCAGAGTCATGTCCGGGAGCAAAGTTGTAGACATTCTGGAGAGAAGGTTTGAGAGGGTGGCCCAGGTCCATGGCTGTCGGGGGAGGTGGGGAGAAGCCAGGAAAGGCCTCAGCAAGGAGAACGTGTAAGCCCAGGGTGAGTGGATTTGGATATTCCTGGCTGAAGCCATAGTGGGAAGGGAGACAGGGCCACAGGGAAAGCACTGCCTGGGCCAGAGCAGGAGTGGTAAGAAATTGGCAAGAAGAACCGGGTGGGGTGGGGTCATGGAAGGCCTGGACAGTGGCCTGAAGTGGGAATTTGTCTGTTACTGTCAGGGGAGCGGGAGTCCCTGAAGGGCCAGGGGAGTGAGGAGATGGAAGGAAGGGAGTCCAAGCAGAGGAAGGATAGCTGTGAAGACAGAAGCAGGTTGGTTCTGTCAGGCCTGAGTTGGACTTGGCCAGCTTTGAATCCCAGCTCTTCCAGTGCTCACCATGCGACCTCAGCGTTGTCATTTCACTCTTTAAGCCACAGCTCTCTTTCTCCATTCAGTGGCGGCATTGTGCGGAGAATGTGAGTGAAGGGATGAAAATCGCTCGGCCCGTGCCTGGCCCCTAGTAAGCCACAGAGAAATGTGAGCCGCTGCCAGTCAGGCTGAGAGGACGCCACTGAGGAAGTCCAGGCCAGGGTGGGACATGCTGCGCACAGTGGGGAAGGAGAGGAGGTGGCCAGAGGAGGGGATGGTCCTTTCCAGTCATACACGCATGTCTGCTTGTGTGTGTACATGTGGGGGCCTGGTGCAGGGCGTGGGGGTGCTGTTCAGAGTTGGACCCCCCATCATCCATCCTGCCAGCCTCCTATACCCTGAGGCCTGACCCACCCTGGCCCCCACACCACCCCAGCAGCGGAGATGAGGGTAAGTGAGGGCTCCTTAGGAAGCAGAGAGGAGGCCACAGGGCCAAATGTGACACTCAGAAGGGCCACTGGAGACCACGCATGGCGTTTCCTGCCAGCCCACTCAGCATCTAGCCCAGGGCCAGACTGGACACTGCCCCGCAGGACCCAGCAGGCCTAAGCCTCAGGACCTCCATGTCCACACCAGGTTCAGCCTCCTCTGCTGGCACGTGACTTCTCCCCGTTTCCCGCCCCCCAGTGTCCTGAGGCTGGGAGGGCATTAACAGAAACCACCTGACACACAGCAGGTGCCCAGTTTGTGCCCACAGACAAAGCACGGGGACTGCAGAGGAGACCCACAGAGCTCTCTAGGGAGGGTTTGTGAGGACCTGGCAGCGGGGGGGAGCTGAAGGGTTGAGCAGGGCAGAGGCCACTTCCCACCCTCAGAGGACAAAGCAGGACTTCTGACAAATAGAGCAGGATGCCCAGGGGGAGGGGCTGCCTGTCGTCCCGCAGGCGGCACTCCCGCCCCGAGGCCCCGAGTGGCACGGTGACGCGCTCAGGTCTGTGTTTTAGAGCGCGCGCTCTGGCTGCCGTGCGGAGGAGCTGGATCTGGGAGAGGCTGCGGGCAGGGAGTCCAGTTAGGAGGCTGGGACCGCAGCCCAGGTGAGCTAAGAGGAGGGCTGGGCCTAGGCCACAGCTGCCGGGACCCCGAGGAGGGGCCCATCCAAGACATAATACAAGCTTCTTGGGGGCAGATAAGCCGCTGGGGCTCCTGGCTCAGGCAGCCTGCAATACCCTCCACCGAACCAGTGAGTGCCGCAGAAGAGGGAGAGGAGGAGTAGGGAGAGGAAGCTGGTGGCAGGTGGCACCTCCGGGGCCGGCAGGCAGGCAAGCACTCCAGGCCGACTCCGCCTCTGGCTTAACCCCTGTCTCAGGGCAGCCCAGGCGCCTCCCTGGAGAGGGCAGGTGCCCGGGCCTTTCCCTCCCGGTTTCCTGTGAGACACCCCCATCCCCTCATCTCACCTCTATCACCACCCCCAGGCACTTGCTGGTTTGAGGCTCTCGAGGGGCTGAGGGGGGCAGGCCCTGAGTGCAGCATGGGTTGGCCCAGCTGTGCCCAGGGCCTCTTCCCCCTCCCCAGAGCTGCCCTGGGGGGCAAAGCCTAGTCTCCTGAGGCCCCAGTGCCTCCCTGACTAGTCCCCCTGTGTTTCTTCCCCCTGCTGCAGATGGCGGTGGGACCCCCCGACTGCCCTGTGGGAGGGCCGCTGACCTTCCCTGGCCGGGGTTCTGGGGCTGGGGTCGGGACAACCCTGACCCCCCTCCCACCCCCTAAGATGCCCCCCCCCACGATCCTGAGCACGGTCCCTCGGCAGATGTTCAGCGATGCAGGTAGCGGGGACGATGCCTTGGATGGAGACGATGACCTGGTGATCGACATCCCGGAGTGACCGTGACATCACGCCATGCCCACCACGGCCCCGCCCGGCGCCCTCCCCGTGCCAGCACACACGAGTCCAGCTTCCTCGGAGGTGTTTATTGATGCCCAGCTGCCATGCTCCGGCCACTGACACAACCAGAAAAGGCGTAAACATGCACGGGTGTCCCCCAGGAGGGTGGCAGGGGCCCTGCCTTCAAACCCCGGCCCCCTCCAGGGGACAGTTATTTAAACGAGTGGCCGGGAGCATCTGCCACCTGCTGGGGAGGCAGAGACCCTGCAATGGCCACCTCTTTAAAAGGGCAGCTGTACAGGGCTAGGTTTTTTCAATGAAGTTTCTGTATTAAAGGAGTGGCTCTGGGTTTGTTTTTTGTCCTTTTTTTTTGAGACATTCTCCTCCTCTGAACCTCCCCTAATCCGACCTCCTCCCTGTTGGGGGAGAGGGACGGGGCAGCGTGGAGAGGCAGGAGTGAGGAGCGCGGGGGCCTGGGGCCGGGCTCTGAGCACTGCCCGGGTGTGCAGATGATGGGGGGTTTGCATATTTGCAGGGACTAGCGAGTCAGGCAGGAGGTTTGCATATGTGAATATAGAACTCCGCAGCCCCTCATGAGCAGACAGACCCGGGTCACGGAGACTCACAAAAATAGGTAGTGCAGGGTGGGGGCAGCCCACCCTGTGTAAACGTGCAACACACTCGTGCGAAGGTTGGGTACTGGACCCGGCTCGATGGGCCTGTGCCGGGACACTGCTGTCCACTCAGGCTGAGGACAGAGCCCCGGCCGCAGGGGGCAGCTCACTGGTCAGGGTGTGCCAGCGCTCCAGGGCTGCGTCCGGCTGCTGCAGGCAGTCACTCCAGTGCTTCCGAGCCTCGCCTCGGGCACCTGGCCCCAGGGACACGCCACCTGGGGAGCAGGTGGGCAGGGTCAGGGCCACCTCCCTGCCACTTGCCCGCCCTCAACACCCGCAGCCAGCTCCTCCCTCACCAATGAAGTCATTGGATTTGCCAATGTCATAGTCCCAGACGGTGACTTCCAGGGTCTTGGTGGCCAGAGTGGAGAGCTCTATCTCGTAGAAAAACTCCTAGGGACAAGGCCGGCCACCCGTTCGTGAGCCAGCTCCCCAGCCCCTCCCTGGCCTCCCTCCATGTCCCGTCCCCTCCTGGGTACCTCGTTAAATTCTGGGTTGAGAGTCTTCTTCTTCACACACGTCTTATGCTTGGATTTCTTGTCCACATCGGGCCTCAGGTACCTGGGGGTGGGGTGGAGGGAGACGAACTGAGGGGTGAGGGACAGGCCAGGCCCAACTCAGGCCAGGGCAGGCTCCCTGGGGAGGAGAGGGTCAGAGCAAGGGCTCACGTCTTGACGTAGGGGTCCGAGTAACCGTTGACGTCCATGGCAGCCAGATGGGCGCAGCGCAAGATGCCTACCAGCAGTCCCCGGCGCCGCGAGCTGTAGCTGAGACTCAGCAGGATGCGGCCACGCTCCTCCAGCAGCCCCTGCCCCTGCTCCGCCTGCTCCAACTGCGGGGCACAGACTCAGGGTCAGCCTGGGCCCCTGCAGCCTCCCACCCACATGCATCCCCATCCCCATGAGGTGCCTCACCTCCTTCAGATAACAGGAGATGCCCCTCAGCGCCGCTGACATGGAAGAGGGGGACGCCAGCTGAGGGGGCAAAGAGAAGGTTCTGGAAGCCTGGCCTCCCCAGGGCCCCCTCCCCTGGCGCCCCTGCAGCCCCCACACAGACCGGGACCTGGCGCTCGAGGCAGATGTTAAAATGCTTCTTCTGCGAAGGCTTGAGGCGGCGGAGGGGCACGCGGATCTCCCCAATAAACTCATTGTGACTCAGCTTGTCCTCATCACAGACGGCGATCCTGGTCGGGAACTGCAGTGTCAGGGCCCCTGGGGTACCTGAGCCCCGTTCCGGGGTGTAGGAAGGGCCTTGGACCAGCCCAGCTCTGCCCTAAACACTACGTCTCATCTGGAAGACAGGCTGGCACTTGAGAAGGACAAGCAGATTTGCCCATTCCTCTGTCCCTCCCTCTGCAGCCACCCGGCTGTCCCTGGTCCATCAGGACATGCTCAGCCATTGTGGGAAGCCCTCAGAAATCTTGGAGCACGCTGCTCACTGCCTCCATTCAGGGCCTGGGGGCAGGAGCCGAACACCACGGTGGATGTGGCCATAGACACAGGCCGTGAGAGCTAGAAGGGCCTTGGAGCCTTGGGCAGCCAGACCAGTACCCCACGCCTCCTCGGGAACCCCCGTCCTTTTCCTGCATGCAGCAGAGAGCCAGCCCCGCAGGGACTCACTAAGAAATGATTGCTTTCCAGCCACCTGTCCTCCTGCAGTCCCTGCCCTGCCTCCGCAGTGACCCACTACCAGGCTGGGCATCTGTGGCATGGAGGATGGGCAGATCCCAGCCCTGCCACTTCTGAGCCACCTGTGTGACCTTGGGCAAGTCACTTGATCACCCTATGCCTCAATTCCCATCTGTAAATGGAGATAGTCAAGGGAAAGAAAGAAATGTGAAAATGCTAAGCCTGGGCTGGGCCCTGGTGAGCGCTCATTTTTTGGTCTCATTCTGGTTTTGGCCTCTGGCCTCCCCTCCATTCCACCCGAATAGCTGAAACCAAGGTGGCCTCTCTGCTGCACAGCCCTGACCATCAGGGAAGGTCCCAGCTGCAAATCCAAGCACAAAGGCAGAGGTCTCTCCAGAGCCTGGGTTTCGCTGCCCGCCACCTGACTTGAGGGAGTACTCTCCCTACATCTCCATCTCCTAGGATGACGGAGCAAGTTCCCTGTCCCTGAAGACTTCACTCCTTAAGAGATTTTAGGGGAACTCAAGGCACGGAAGGGGCAGACCAAAGCTGCAGAGGTCTGGCTTAAGCCAAGGGCTCTGAGAAGGGGTCTCGGCAACCCAGGAACGTTTTTGGGAGGGGGCAGAGCTTGGACTGAACCTCAGATGAGCGGAATTTAGGCTGGCAGGAAGGAGCTTTCCAGATAGAAAACAACAGGAAAAGTTCAGGAGTTGTGGAACTGGCCAGTTGGAAGAAGGGAGTCCTCTGTTTGAGGGGCAGAAGATACTTTTGTTTTGTTTTTGAGATGGAGTCTCCATCACCCAGGCTGGAGTGCAGTGGTGCGATCTCGGCTCACTGCAACCTCTGCCTCCCGGGTTCAAGTGATCCTCCTGCCTCAGCCTCTCGAGTAGCTGGGATTTACAGGTACATGCCACCACGCCCGGCTAATTTTTGTATTTTTAGTAGAGACGGGGGTTTCACCAAGTTGGCCAGGCTGGTCTTGAACTCCTGACCTCAAGTGATCCGCCCACCTCGGCCTCCCAAAGTGCTGGGATTACAGGTGTGAGCCACCACACCTGGCAGGCAGGAGATATTGAGGGGCAGGAATGGCAGGGAAGAATTTTGGCCTGCTGCCAAAGGGGCTAGGGAGCCGCTGATGGTTCTTGAGCATCAGAGAGGTACGGGCTTAATGGGACATAGATCAACCAACCAGCGGTTACAATGTCAGCTGTCCCCGAGCTGCTGCTGGGTGGTGGGGAGGGGGGCCCTCACCTGAGCACCTTGTGCGTGATGTCGTCATCTGTGATCCCGCTGTAAGTCAGGTCCTCATTCCACACGGGATTCAGTGTGTTCCTCTGAGTCTTCGTTTTTAGCTTATTGGCCTGGGATGTGGGGATGAAAGGTTCTCAATACCTGTCCTCCAGCCCCACAGGCTGGAGTCATGGGCTGGGCCGGGCGGGGCGAGAGGAGGCTGTTACCTTACAGGCTCCAGGCAGCAAGTGCAGCTTGACGTAGGGGTCGGCGAGGCCATTGAAATCCATGGGCTTGAGGCCCTGGAGAGGAGGGCAGGGGAGAGGGCTAGAGGCTCCCGGCACCTCTCTCCATCCCTCTTGTAGAGCTGGACCCTGGAGGAGCCCAGAAGGAGGGGGCAAGGGCAGGACGAAGGAGCAGGCCTGGGAAGGGAAGGAGGAATGGGCCCCCTCTGGGGGCTGCACGCAAACCGGGCCCGGGCTTGGGTGGCAGGGAGTGCCCACCTTGGCCCTGAGGATGCTACAGTGCAGAGTGCAGGAGGCCCGGTCGTAGAGAAGGTCAAACTCCAGCGTGCCTAGGGCGGCTGGAGAGAGAGGAAAGGCAGCATGGGTCGGTATGGAGACAGGTGTGTGCGAGAGGCCAGCAGGTGGGCACTGGCTCTGTGTGTCTCTCTCTCTTGCCAGCCCGCGAGTGTGAGTGCAAGAGGCTGAGTGGGCCCATGCGTGTGTGCGTCTGGGTCCCTGGCTCGGCCGCAACTGGGGCTGTGTGGGTGGTGGAGTGTCTCAGCAGAAATACTGAATATTGAGCCTTGCTGAAGCTGTAATCTCCACGCTGACTGCAGCTGTGGTGGCCGTCCCTGCCACCCCCCCACTGCCCTCCTCCCCTACCTACATGCACAGCCAGCAGGGCCCATCCCCCTCTCCCCCCACCACGGCAAGCCTGGAGACCCCCACCAGCACATGGGGCCTCCAAGCCCCCAGACTCACTGGCATCATCCGAGTCATAGCTGTCCACCTCCGCACCATCCTCAGGCGTGGTGGCCCCAAGGAGGGCTGCAGGGGGGGCCAGAGCCAGGGGGACCAGATGGGCGGGGGCCTCCCCGCCGCCCCCGCCGCCCCCTTCAGGTCCTGGTCCCCGGGGGAAGTAGTCAGAGATCTGGCGGATGGGCCGGATGGGCCCGGGGCACACGTTGATGGCCATGTGCTCCTGGATGTTGATGGTCATGCGATCGCCCCTGCGGCCCCTCATGCAGCACCCCTGGCTAGGAGAGGGCGTGTGAGCCAGTGAGCCCATCATACCTAGCCATCCTGGCTGAGGGCCAGGCGACGGCCTCCTCGGTCTGTGGGGCCCTCACTGGCCTCCCTTCCTAGGTGTCGAGGGAGAGGGTGGTGTGTGCCAGCCGGTGGCAGGTGGGAGGCCTGGGCCCTGCAGACCCCAAGCTGACTCCACAGGGGCTGGGCTGCCAACCCACTCCTTGCAGAAGTCGAGGTTGCACCACCCCGTCCTCACCCACCCACTTCTAGGTTGTCCCTGTATCATCTTGCCAGCTCCTTCCTCTCCTCCGGGGCTCCCCTCTGCTCCTGAGCCTGCCTGTCCCCCAAGGGGCCCTGCAGGGCCCCGCCTCTGTTTCTCGGAGGCTCTGTCCTCCTCTGCACCAGGCGCTGGTCTAGTCAGGGTGTCACCCACCCCTCTAGGCTCCAACTGCCCACTGTCCCCTCATTCAGCCCCAGGACCTGTCTGCCTGCCTGGTTCCCCCGCTCGCTCACCACAGCCCACGGTGGAGACCCCAGCCTCAGATGCCACCTCTGGCTCCTCAGGGGAGCCAGAAATTGCAGCCGCAGGAGAGCCGAACACCCCCGTAGCGCACACAGGCTGGCACGCTTCCCCGCACCCTCACGCCCCCGGCCTGCCCAGCCCCCTGCACCTGCCTCTGCCTCCAACAGGTGCCCAGGCACTGGGGGGACGGCGGGCGCAGGCTGGGCGGCGGCGGCCGGCGAGGAGAGCGCGGAGTCGAGCTGTGCGAGCCGAGAGGGAGGGAGCGCCGAGAAAGTGCGGGGAGGAGGGGGTGAGCGAGGTGGAGGCGAGGATGCAGCCGGCGCGGCGGCGGGGGACGGGGAGGGGCGCTGGGGCTGGGGAGGGGGCGGGATCTCGGACTCCCACCCGGGGCCCGCTCGGGAGCGCACGCGAGCGCGCACACACACGTGTGCTCGCGCGCGCACACTCACGCAGGGGCACGCGGACCGGCACACACTCGTGTGCACACATCCAACCGGGCACCCCCGCGCGCACACGCCCGTGCCCACGTGTGCACGCTCACACCCTTGCACACACCCAGGCGCGCGCTGGCACACTTACCCGGAGAACTTCGCACACACACGCACTCGCAAACACGCGGGCTCCCTGCGCCACCAGGAAGCAGCCGCCAGAATCGCCGGGTGTTCCCCAACTACTCCTGGGAGACCTGGCCCCCCGCCCCCGCCCGCGCGCGCGGCCACGGCGCCTCCCTCCCTCCCGGGTCCCCAAGGCCGGACCACCGGCCTCGTTGTCATGGCGACGCCGGCTCATCTCCCCCCACCCCCGCGCGTCTTCACGCCCCTCCCCCGCAGGGAGCTGGGGCCTCCCTCCTCCCTTCCCCACGTCCGTAGGGACCCACAGGTTGACAGGAGCAGGGGGTCGCCTGCTGTCACCGGCCGGGGATCTCGGGGTCTCCCGAGCCAGGCTGGGGAGCCTCACGATCTGAGGGAGGAGGCAGAGGTCTGATGCTGCGGCTTCCCCCACGCCCCCTCCCTTTGGCCGTTCAGGCCTCTCTCCTTGTGGCCCAACCCAACTCCCAGGGGCCCATGTCCCCTTACCAGGGATGGTATCTCCTTTGGGAACCACCCTCCCCCCTGCCATCCCCAGTTCTGCCCCGCAGGTGGGAAGGGGCGTCGGGGCTTGGCTCTGAAGGTCTCAGAGCCCTGCGGTAGTTCCCCATGGGCTGCCATTTCTCACCCAAACCTTGCCACCCCCAAGCCGCCCCCCTGCCCGGCCCTGCGCCTGCCACGGAGTGTCAGTCCACCCCTGGCCTTCGGTCTTCACTCACCTGTGCCCCAAACTTACCATCCCGAAGACACGAAGGGGCTTATCACCCTCGCTGCCCACCACTGACTCACCCAACCGTTTCCTGCAGTTCCTGGGACACACCTAGACGGCTCAGGCCTAGGGATCTTGGCTCACATGCGCTCCTCTACCTGGGAACCGCGCTTCCTTAGGAAGTCACCGTGGGTCCCCTCTTCCTAGGAGCCTTCCTGGGGCATCCCGCACTGCCCCTCAGCTCCAGCGCCGTCAGGACTCGGCTCAGCACCGCTTCGCCAGTGCCTCCCCCACCAGCAGGGAGTTCCACTGGAGCGGCTGATTCATCTGGGAGTCCCTAATGTCCCAAACTGGGCCTGGCACGAAGTCGGCATCTCTAAGTGCTGTTATTTAAAACAGCAATCTGGTTGCACGACAACTGAACATACCTAACACCACCTAATCTTACCCTTAAAAATGGTGAAGATGGTACATTTCGATATGCGTATTTCACGGCAATTTTTTTTTTTTTAAATAAGAGAAATGGGGCCGAGAGTGGTGGCGGGTGCCTGTAATCCTAGCTACTCCAGGGACTGCGGCGAGAGGATCGCTTGAGTGAAGCCAGCCTGGGCAACACAGTGAGACACAGTCTCTTAAAAAAAAAAAAAAAAAAAAGTAAGAGAAATGTAAAGTCAACAACACTGAGGGGGCGGGGCGCAGTGGCTCACGCCTGTAATCCCAGCGCTTTGGGAGGCCGAGGTGGGTGGATCACCTGAGGTCAGGAGTTTGAGACTAGCCTGGCCAACATGGTGAAACCCCATCTCTGCTAAAAATGCCGGGCGTGGTGGTATGTGTCTTGGGAGGCTGAGGCAGGAGGATCGCTTGAACCCGGGAGGCGGAGGTTGCAGTGAGCTGAGATCGTGCCACTGCACTCCAGCCTGGGCTGTAAGAGCAAAACTCAGTCTCAAAACAAACAAACAAACAAACAAACAAAAAACCCTGAGATATCACTTATTACCCATAAAATGGGCAAAGCCAAAGTGTCTGGGCTGGGGGGAAGCTGAGACGGACTGATCCCTTGAGCTCAGAAGTTCAAGACCAGCCTGGGCAACATGGTGAGGCCCTGTCTCTACAAAAAAAAAAAAAAAAAAAAAAAAAAAATCCAGGCATAGTGGTGTGTGCCTGTGGTCCCAGCTACTCAAGAGGCTGAGGTGGGAGGATCTCTCTTCTTTTTTTTTCTTTTCTTTTTTTTTTTTTTGAGATGGAGTCTCGCTCTGTCGCCCAGGCTGGAGTGCAGTGGCGTGATCTCGGCTCACTGCAAGCTCCACCTCCCAGGTTCATGCCATTCTCCTGCCTCAGCCTCCCGGGTAGCTGGGACTACAGGTGCCCGCCTCCACGCCTGACTAATTTTTTTGTATTTTTAATAGAGATGGGGTTTCACCTTCTTAGCCAAGATGGTCTCGATCTCCTGACCTCGTGATGGTGGGAGGATCTCTTGAGCCCAGAAGGTCAAGGCTGCAGTAAGCTATAATCACTCCACTGCACTCCAGCCTGGGTAACAGAGTGAGACCCTGTCTCAAAAAAAAAAAAAAAAAAAAAAAATCCTTAGACCCAGAAATTCCACTTTTAGGATTTTATCTTACAGATATGCCAACCCATAAGCCAAATAATAGAAGTTCAAATTCTTTTTTTCTTTTTTTTTTTTTGAGACAGACTTTCACTCTTGTTGCCCAGGCTGGAGTGCAATGGTGCGATCTTGGCTCACCGCAACCTCTGCCTCCTGGGTTCAAGCAATTCTCCTGCCTCAGCCTCCCAAGTAGCTGGGATTACAGGGGCGCACGCCCCACACTTGGCTAAGTTTTTGTATTTTTAGTAGAGACGGTGTTTCACCATCTTAGCCCCGCTGGTCTTGAACTCCTGACCTCATGATCCGCCTGCTTCGGTCTCCCAAAGTGCTGGGATTACAGCTGTGAGCCACCGCGCCTGGCCATGAAGTTCAAAATTCTTAAATGTAGCACGTTCCAAAAGACTGGAAACAACTGAGATACCCAGAAGCAGGGGACCAGTTAAATCAGTCATGATGTAATTCCATGCAGTGAAATAGGGTGCAGCCACAAGAGGCTGTTTTGCTCTTGTTTAGAATCATCTTTTTTTTTTTTTTTAAATATACAAGGTCTCACTACTTTGCCCAAGCTGGTCTCAAATTCCTGGACTCAAGCAATCCTCCCGCTTCGGCCTCCCAAAGTCCTGGGATTACAGGCGTGCGCCACTGTGCCTGGCCCTAGAATCATTTCACAGTTTCATTTTAACTTAGAAAAGCCAAGTGCAGGCCAGGCGCCATGGCTCACGCCTGTAATCCCAGCATTTTGGGAGGCCAAGGCGGGTGGATCACGAGGTCAGGAGATCGAGACCATCTTGTCTAACACGGTGAAACCCCATCTCTACTAAAAATACAAAAAATTAGCTGGGCGTGGAGGCGGGCAACTGTAGTCCCAGCTGCTTGGGAGGCTGAGGCAGGAGAATGGCATGAACCCAGGAGGTAGAGCTTGCAGTGAGCCGAGATTGCGCCACTGCACTCCAGCCTGGGCGACAGAACGAGACTCCATCTCAAAGAAAAAAAAAGCAAAGTGCAGGCTGGGCATGGTGGCTTACACCTGTAATCCCCGCAATTTGGGAGGCCGAGGCGGGAGGATCACGAGGTCAGGAGTTCAAGATCAGCCTAGCCAACATGCTGAAACGCTGTCTCTATTAAAATTACAAAAATTAGCTGGGCATGTTGGCGGGCACCTGTAATCTTGGGAGGCTGAGGCAGGAGAATTGCTTGAACCTGGGAGGCGGAGGTTGCAGTGAGCCGAGATCATGCCACTGCACTCCAGCCTGGGCAACAGAACAAGACTCCATCTCAGAAGAAAAAGAAAAAAGAAAAAAAAATCAAAAAAGAAAAGCAAGTGCAGAGAAGCATGCTTGGAATACTGCCATTTGAGAGGGAAAGAGCTTAGCCGTGTTTGCTTAGTTGTTCATATGTTGTTTCTGGAGGCCTGCACAAGAATGGTAACTGTGTCTCTTGACAAGCTGAGAGAGTGAAAAAATAAAAATAATAATAAAAAAATAATAAATACACAGAAGAAAATATAACTATGGTGACCTCTGGGGAGACAGGGCAGGAAGAGGAAAGACTTACTTTTCAACGTACATCCTTTTGTATTTTTTGAATTTTGTGCCACATGCATAGGTTACCTGTTCCAAAGAATACATTAAAATAATAAATTTTGGTATTTCTTTGTTTGTTTGTTTGTTTGTTTGTTTTTGAGATGGAGTCTCGCTCTGTCACCCAGGCTAGAGTGCAATTGCTCGATCGCGGCTCACCGCAACCTCCGCCTCTCGGGTTCAAGTGATTCTCCCGCGTCACACTCCTGAGTAGCTGGGATTACAGGCACCCGCCATCATGCTCGGCTAATTTTTTTGTATTTTTGTAGAGATGGGTTTTCACCATGTTGGCCAGGCTGATCTTGAACTCCTGACCTCAGGTGATCCGCCTGCCTCGGCCTCCCAAAGTGCTGAGATTACAGGCATGAGCCACTGTGCCTGGCCAAATTTTGGTCTTGTCTTTTTCTTTCTTTTCTTCTTTCCTTCCTTCCTTCCTTCCTTTCTTCCTTCCTTCTTTCCTTCCTTTTTCTTTTTTTTTTTTTTTTTGAGACAGGGTCTCACTGTGTTGCCTAGGCTGGAGTGCAGTGGCAAGATCATAGCTCACGACATCCTCGAACTCTTGGGCTCAGGCGATCCTCCCACTTTAGCCTCCCATGTAGCTGGGACTATAGGTATGCACCACCATGCCTGGCTAATCTGTTTTTGTTTGTTTGTTTGTTTTGTAGAGATGGGTCTTACTATGGTGCCCAGGCTGGTTTCAAACTCCTGGCCTCAAGCCATCCTCCTACCTTGGCCTCCCAAAGTGCTGGGATTACAGGTGTGAGCCAAAGACCATGCCCAGCACAATAATATATATATATATATATATATATATATATATATATTTTTTTTTTTTTTTTTTTTTTTAGACAGAGTCTCGCTCTGTTGCCCAGGCTGGAATGCAGTGGCACGATCTTGGCTCACTGCAACCTCCACCTCCCAGGTTCAAGCCTCAGCCTCCCAAGTAGCTGGGATTACAGGTGCACACCACCATGCCTGGCTAATTGTTGTATTTTTAGTGGAGATAGGGTTTCACCATGTTGGCCAGGCTGGTCTCGAACTCCTGACCTCAAGTGATCTGCCTGCCTTGGCCTCCCAAAGTGCTGGGATTACAGGCATGAGCCACTGCACCCGGCCAATATTTCTAAAGTAAAGGCAACCGTTAGGTTTCCTTCGTGGCTCTCCAGAATAAGAAAGGAAGCAGGACGAAGGGAGACACAGTGCAGTGTGAAAGCCGGTGAGTTTAGCAAGAGGGTGTCCATGACCTGGGCGCAGGGGGCCTGCAGTGAGGGGAGGGGGACACTCTGGTCAAGGAACCTGTCGAGTCCTCTCTCCTGTGCTCTCTTCCCACGGTGCTTGCTCAACCCCAGCCCTGCCTGCCTCCAGAAGAACTTGTTGAAGACAGGTAAGGATGAGGCTGGAGTTCAAGCCAATTTCAGAGGAAAATGATGGACAGTGCTGAGCCCTGCTTTGTCCAGAGACGGGAGGCTTTTGCACCAGTCACCCAGTCATTCAGTAAATATTGACTGAATATCGACTATAGATTGTGGGGATACAACCAGGCCCAAGGTCAATGAGCTGTGACTTCACAGCCTCATAGGGAAGACAGACAAATACACAGACAATCCCCATCCAGGGAAACTGACGTGGGGACAGGGGATGGTCAGAAGCCATGGGAACTCAGGGTCCTATGAGGTAGGAGGGAACAAAGATTAACACCTCACTTCCCAGAAAAGGAGTTGTCTCAACTGAGACCTGAAAGATGAGGAGGAGTTACCCAGGTCAAGCTTGGGGGCAAGTGTATTCTAGGCAGAGGTGTGTGCCAAAGCTGGGAGGCAGTCCAGAGTACGGCATATTCAGAAAAGAAATCATTCTACCAGCCTGGTCAACATGACGAAACCCTGTCTAAAAAAAAAAATTAGCCAGGAGTGGTGGTGTGCACTTGTAGTCCCAGCTACTCGGGAGGCTGAGGCAGGATGATCGCTTGAGCCCAGGAGTTTGAGGCTGCAGTGAGCCAAGATCAAGCCACTGTACTCCAGCCTGAGTGACAGAGTGAGACCCTGTCTCAAAAAAAAAAAAAAAGAGAAAAAGAAAGAAAGAAATCATTCCACCAAAAAGACACCTGCACTTGTGTGTTTATTGCAGCACTGTTCACAATAGGAAAGACACAGAATCAATCTAGGTGCCCACCAACAGTGGACTGGATAAAGAAAATGTGATATGTATATGCCATGGAATACTATGCAGCCATAAAAAAGAATGAAATTATATCCCTTGCAGCAACATGGATGCAGCTGGAGGCCATTATCCTAACTGAATTAATGCGGAAACAGAAAATCAAATACCACATGTTCTCGTAAGTGGGAGCTAAACATTGGGTACCTATGGACATAAAGATGAGAATAACAGACACTGGGGACTCCAAAAAAGGGGAGGGAGGGAAAGAGTCGAAAAACTACCTATTGCCGGGTGCGGTGGCTCATGCCTGTAATCCCAGCACTTTGGGAGGCCAAGGTGGGCGGATTGCTTGAGGCCAGGAGTTTGAGACCAGCCTGGCCAACATGGCGAAACCCCATCTCTACTAAAAATACAAAAATAATTAAGTGGGCTTGGTGGCATGCGTCTGTAATCCCAGCTACTCAGGAGGCTGAGGCACAAGAATCACTTGAACCTGGGAGGTGGAGGTTGCAATGAGCTGAGATCGTGCCACTGCACTCCAGCCTGGGCAACAGAGTGGGACTCTGTCTCCGGAAAAAAAAAAAAAAAAGAAAGAAAAGAAAATTGAGGCTGGGCGCTGTAATCCCAGCACTTTGGGAGGCCAAGGCAGGAGGATCCCTTGAGCCCCGGAGTTCAAGACCAGCCTGGGCAACATAGTGAAATCCTATTTCTACCAAAAAAAAAAAAAAAAAAAAAAAAAACTTAGCTGGGCATGATGACTTGATGATGCAGTCCCAGCTACTTGGGAGGCTGAGGAGAGAGGATTGCTTGAGCCTGGGAGGTCGATGCTGCAGTGAGCTATGATTGCACCACTGCACTCCAGCCTGGGCAACAGAGTGAGATGCTGTCTCAAAAAAAAAAAAAAAGAAAGAAAGAAAATTGAACCAACAGATCTTTTTATTCTTATCTTTTACAGATGGGATTCTCTGTCACCCAGCTTGGAGTGTAGCAGCACGATCATGGCTCACTTCAACCTTGAACTCCTGGCCTCCAGTGATCCTCCCACCTCGGCTTCCCAAATTTCTCGGATTACAGGCATGAGCCCCCGAACCTGGCCTAACAGGTCTCAATTTGGGGTTCATTAGGTGAGAGATAAGGAAGCAGGATGATTCCTAGGTTTCTGTGTTGAGCAGACCATCTAGAGGAATGATGGGACCATCCACTGAGACGAAAAGATGGGAGCAGAGCAGGTCTGGAGTAGGACTCCATTTGTGATCCATTGCCTTGGAGATGTATTTGGACATCACAAACAGACATCTCGGAGTCTGGAGCTCCAAGGAGAGGTCTGGGCTGGAAATATACATTTGTGAGTCACTGGCATATAGATGGTATTTAAAGCCACGAGTATGGATGAGATCACCTAGGCAGAGAATATAGATAGCAAGACAAGGCCCCATGCTGAGTTGGCTGGAGAAGGAGTCCTGAGAACTGGTGAGTGTGGTTCCAGGGCTCTGAGTCAGGGACAGGTGCACCTGCTGGGAGGCAGACGGAATGGAAAGAGAGAGAACCATTTGATTTGGCAGATTATGAGCTCTTTTGTGGACTTGATCAAAGCAGCTTCAGTGGATTGGTGGGGACTAAGCCAGATTAGAAGAGGTTGAAGAATTGGCTGGGCGAGGTGACTCATGCCTGTAATCCCAGCACTTTGGGAGGCAGAGGCAGGCAGATCACCTGAGGTCAGGAGTTTGAGACCAGCTTGGCCAACGTGGTGAAACCCCATCTCTACTAAAAATTAAAAAATTAGCTGGGTGTGGTGGTGGGTGCCTGTAATCCCAGTTACTCAGGAGGCCGAAGTGGGAGAATCGTTTGAACCCGGGAGGCAGAGGTTGCGGTGAGCCGAGATCGCGCCACTGCACTCCAGCCTGGGTGACTGAATGAGACTCCATCTCAGAAAAAGAAGAGATTGAAGAGTCCATTAAAGATGAGGGAGTGGAGACAGCAGGTGTAGATGACCCAGAGTTGCCCGTCTACTCTAGAATGATGCGCATCTATGAGTTCTCTCCCTTGTCATTCTTGAGGTCAGGGACCGTGCCGTGGTGATTTCTGAGTCATAAATGGAGTCCAGCCAGTGCGTAGCAGGAGCTCAGCACGTTTATGTCATGGATGAATAAATGGGTGAATGGATAATGCATTGTTTGGGTCAAAATGGCCTTTACTAGTAGAGATAGCTTAATGTTTTTGAAGCATTTGAGGAAACAAAAGAAAGTCAACCCCAAAGGCCATAGGTTCTGTGTCCCTTCTCCCAGCTAACCTCAAGGAGCAGTTGCCTGTGGGCCTGGGGCACGAGCCCTGGCCCAGCGTCGGGAACCAGGTTATTTATTTATTGAGACAGAGTCTCGAGTGTCACCCAGGCTGGAGTGCAGTGGTGCGATCTTGGCTCACTGCAACCTCCACCTACCGGGCTCAAGTGATTCTCCTGCCTCAGATTCCTGAGTAGCTGGGACTATAGGCACGTACCACCATGCCTAGTTAATCTTTTTTTTTTTCTTTTTCTTTTTGAGATGAAATTTCACCCTGTCACCCAGGCTGGAGTGCAGTGGCGCAATTTAGGCTCACCGCAACCTCTGCCTCTTGTGTTCAAGCAGTTCTCCTGTCTCAGCCTCCCGAGTAGCTGGGGCTACAGGCGCATGCTACCGCACCCGGCTTATTTTTGTATTTTTAGTAGAGACGTGGTTTCACCATATTGGTCAGGCTGGTCTTGAACTCCTGACCTCAGGTGATCCACTTGCCTCGGCCTCCCAAAGTGCTGGGATTATAGGTGTGAGCCACCGCGCCCAGCCTTTTTTTGGATTTTTAGTAGAGAGGAGATTTCATCATGTTGGGCAGGCTGGTCTCGAACTCCTGGCCTCAAGTGATCCACCCATCTTGGCCTCCCAAAGTGCTGGGATCATAGGTGTGAGCACCGCGCCTGGCCCAAAAACCACATTACTGAGTCCCTTCTGCTGCCTCTCACATGCCTTGTGGCTTTGGATAAATCCCTTCCTTTTTCTTAGAAGTGATCTGCATGGCGGCTCACACCTGTCATCCCAGCATTTTGGGAGGCCAGGGTGGGAGAATCACTTATGCCCAGGAGTTTGAGACCAGCCTGGGCAACATAGCAAGACTCCATCTCTGCAAAGAAAAAAAGAAGTAGGCTGGGCGCAGTCGCACACGCCTGTAATCCCAGCACTTTAGGAGGCCGCGGAGGGCAGATCACTTGAGGTCAGGAGTTTGAGACCAGACTGGCCAACATGATGAAATTCCGTCTCTACTTTAAAAAACTACAAAAATTAGCCAGGCATGGTGGCATATGCTTTTGATCCTGGCTACTCGGGAGGCTGAGGCAGGAGAATCGCTTGAACCAAGGAGGCAGAGGTTGCAGTGAGCCAAGATCGTGCCACTGCACTCCAGCCTGGGCAACAGACAGAGACTCCATCTAAAAAACAAAACAAAACAAAACAAAAAATAGGCAGGTGTGGTGGTGCACGCCTGTGGTCCCAGCTACTTGGGAGGCTGAGGTGAGAGGATCGCTTGAGCCCAGGAGGTCGAGGCTGCACTCCAGCCTGGGTGACAGATAGAGCAATATCCTGTCTCAAAAAAAGGGAAGCCATCAGCGCAGCACAGGGGAAGCAGCCCACGTGAGCCAGTCCCATAGATATTCGTTTCCCTCCTTCCCCACCCCCGCCCCGCTGCCCCCTTTTTTTCTCTCTCTGGGCTTTTTACTTGTTTAGGAACTCGAAGCGGTTCATGGCAAGTACCCCGAGTCCTAGCCCACCTGCTCTCTGCATAGGGTTGCGGCAGAGCACCTCACACGCGCAGATACACGCCTGGCTTTAGGGGAAGTCGCGGCACTGGGTCTGCAGAGTCCGCTGAGCACGCACCTTCGTTGTGAAACTAAGGAAACCCTGGAGTGTCCTTGGGCTTGGGTGGGATGGAACATGCCCGTGACAGACAGGCCCACCTGCCAATCAGAAGGGCGCTCTCCTTAGCTGGGATGGGGCCGCAGGAGTGGAAATGGCTGTTGGGAGGTGGCAGAGATGGGAGATGGGGTGGCCACGGGGGAGCCGCCGGCCACAGAAGAGGAAACGGAGGTGCAGGGAGCGGAGTCTGCGAAGGACGCGTGGATGGCCAAGAGATGTGCCTCGGAAAGGGCCGAGGGACTTCCTCTGACCAACCCCCGACGGCCATTCCCAGCCATCCGTTTTCCTGCAGCCGCGGATGCAACCTGTGGAAGAGGCGGGAGGAGGCCCGGGAGTCCGCCCCGCTGCGCCTTTCCTAGGGTGGGAGCGTGGACTCAGGCGCGGCCGCTGCTGCCACCTAGTGGGAGACGCCTGCTACTCCTCTCGGTTCCTAACCCCAGGGTCGTTCCCGGCTGAGCACTAAGGAGGGGGCGGGGGAGGACGGAGAGAGCCCTGTGCCCCTGGATCTGCGGATAGGATGCAAGGGGGAGCCTCAGAGAGGAACCCCCCCCCCAGGAAGTGTGCATTGCCCACACTACTTTTCCCCTCTGTGCCGTGATTTCCTCCCGTGTATAAGGGAGGCAAGAGTACCTGCCTCTGGGCTGGGCTTGGTGGCTCACGCCTGTAATCCCAACACTTTGGGAGGCCGAGGCAGGCGGATCATCCGAGTTCAGGAGTTCAAGACCAGCCTGGCCAACATGGTGAAACCCCATCTCTACTAAAAGTACAAAAATCAGCCGAACAGTGATGGTGCGCGCCTGTAATCCCACTCCAGGAGGCTGAGGCAGGAGAATCGCTTGAACCCAGGAGGTGGAGGTTGCAGTGAGCTGAGATTGTGCGTCTGCACTCCAGCCTGGCGGACAGAGTGAAACTCCATCTCAAAAAAAAAAAAAAAAAAAAAAAAAAAAAAGAGTACCTGCCTCTGAGGGTCAGTGCAAGAGCAAATGAACAAATTTGTGCAAGGTACTTGGCCATAAATGGGGTCCAGCCAGCATAGTAATAGGTGTTCAATAAATGCTACCTGCTGGGCATGGTGGCTCATGCCTGTAATCCCAGCACTTTGGGAGGCCGAAGCTGGAGGATCACCTGAGGCCAGAAGTTCGAAACCAGCCTGGGCAACATAGCAAGCCCTCATTTCTACAAAAAATGCAAAAATTAGCCGGGCATGGTGGCACATGCCTGTGGTCCCAGCTACTCAGGAGGCTGATGTGGGAGGATCACTTGAGGCCAGGAGTTCAAGGCTGCAGTAATCATACCACTGTACTCCAGCCTGGGTGACAGAGTGAGACCCTGTCTCTGAAAATACATAAAATAGGCCGGGCGCTTTGGGAGGCCGAGGCGAACAGATCACCTGAGGTGAGGAGTTCAAGACCAGCCTGACCAACATAGTGAAACCCTGTCTCTACTAAAAATACAAAAATTAGCCGGGTGTGGTGGCAGACAGATAAAAGGAAGGGATTTATCCAAAGCTGTAATCCCAGATACTCAGGAGGCTGAGGCAAGAGAATCACTTGAACCCAGGAGGCAGAGGCTGTAGAGAGCCAAGATGGCGCCACTGCATTCCCACCTGGGTGACAGACAGAGACCCTGTCTCCAAAAAAATGAAAATAAATAAAACAAATGTTACCTGTGGTTGATCCAAGGGGTAACCGGAGGTGTGTGGCCCTGTGCCACCACCCCAAATTGTGCCTGTTGTCCAAACACAGCTTCCTTTAGTTCGGGCTTTCAGCAAGATGGCCGTGCCGCATCCCTCCTCTTTGTAAATGCTGGGGCTGCCACCATTATGGTTTTATCATCAGCGACATTCCAGGGGGTGAAGACTGGTCCCAACCTCTCTTCTCCTCTCCTCTTCTGATGAGAGTGAGGGATGGGGGAGGGGTCCCAGCTCCTAGCACTTTCTCCCCTCACCCCAAAGTGCCATCAGAACAGCTCTGGGCTGTGACATCACAGAGCCCCCACCTCATGATAGGAGTCATGAGGCTGTGGCCATGGGTGCTGGTGTGGGTGTGGCTGGCTGCACTAGGGGCCATAGAAACTGGTAAGAAGCTGTCTTGGGAGCAGCAGGAAGGCAGGCAGCTCTGGGAGCATAAAGTGTGATGCCCACTTAGGGACTCGGAAGCCAACCCTGCACCCTCTCATTTTCTCTCCACTCTTCTCTCCCATCCTGCTGGTCCCACCTACCCCCCAACAACCGCGAGCCTTGTCGTGGTGCACCCAGCTGACCCTGAGGGAAATCAAGACCCTCCACAGCCTCTGCAATAAGGCTGGGTGGTCTCACAGGGTCCCAAGTCAGCTTCCGCCTCGAGAGATAAAGGCAGGGGTCAGCTTGGCTGTTGTCACAGAGTTTGCTTGGGTCCTAGCACCCAGACCCAAGCGTGCCACGGCGTCAGCCCTGGGGACAGAGTCTCCGCGCTTCTTAGACAGACCTGACTTCTTCGATTATCCGGACTCAGACCAAGCCAGGCTGCTGGCTGTGGCCCAGTTTATTGGAGAGAAACCCATCGTGTTCATTAACTCAGGTATGAACCAGCTTGAGAAGGGACCTCCCTCCCCGCCAGGGTCTGGAGGAGAGCAGCCCCAGACCCTTCATTGGGCCATCAGAGGGGAGTTAAGGGTCCTGTTTGTCTAGCAGGTTCCAGCCCCGGGCTCTTCCATCACATCCTGGTGGGCTTGCTGGTGGTGGCGTTCTTCTTTCTCCTTTTCCAGTTCTGCACCCACATGTAAGGCCTGCCCCCTTTCTCCAACCCCACCCACCACCACCTTCCTTGGGAGCGGCTGAAGACCCCAGTTCTAGCGGGGCAGGCTGTGACCTCTCCCCTCTGATCTCCATGCCCCACAGAAACTTCCAGAAAGGGGCCTAAAGAGCCGGACAAGGGCTCTGGACTCAACCTGAGCACCCACACCCACCTCCTCTCCTGTTGATGAGCAAAAGTTCCCTGCTTTCCTCCTCCCTGACTGCCCAGCGAGCAGCTGGGGATCCTGTCCCCTCTGTTTCCCATGGCCCAAGCCCCCCACCTCCTCCCTTCCCAGCCCCAAAGAACTTGGTGGCAAGGGCCTTGGTGGCGTTCACGCAGATCGTCTTTTATTAGCGGTCTGTAAAGCACCTCCCAGGGTCCCCCGACCCCAGATTGGAGGAAGCCTTGAGAGGTCAGTAGCACCAGGGACATGGCAGGGCCCGAGGGCGCGATGTGCAGCCGATGGTGAGGGACTGGGCGCCCTCGCCTGCCCCCGGGGTTGTCAGCACTGGGAAGGCTTGGGGGTAGCAGCCACCTCCTTCCCCCAACCCAACAGACTAGTTCAAATTTGGGTAAATAAATAAAATAAATAAGATTCCTCAAGCTGGCCTACCCTGGAGAGGAGCCGTGGTTGCAGCCGGCCACTCGGGAGGCCCGAGGGCCAGCGGGGGTTAGTTGGGGCGTCCTCTCCTCTCGGGTGATGGGGAGCCCTGGGGGATGGCAGCATAGGGGCTGGGATGGCCTTGGCAGAGGCGTCTCCCCACATTCTGACTCCTGGTCCCCTTGAAACCCTGTTGGTGTCCCTCCCCACAAGCCCTCCTGCCCTCAGTGGGTGGGAGGCGGTGCCCCCTCCCCTCCTCCAGCGCAAGGGTGTGCAGGAAGGGGGCAGAGTAGGGGGAAGAGGTCCCCTCTCTCCACCCCCTCAGTCCCCGAGAGATGGGGCCTCTTCCCTTTCGGGGTCATCGTCAGTCCTGGGGTTGTCCGGGCAAGAGGACCCTGGCTCCCAACCCCAGCCATCAGCCCCAGAGCCCTGTCTCCACGGGGGTGGGGGTGGGGAGGGGGAGGGTCCCGGCCCCCGGCCTCAGTCCTGGGCCTGGCAGGCCGGGGGCGGCCGGGAGCGGGGCCAGAAGAGGCGGCAGGCCCCACGGCAGATGAGGAAGAACCAGTAGAGCTGAGGGGCCAGGAGCAGCGCAGCGCCCAGGTTGACGTGGGCAGGGATGGCCAGGGGCACGGCCAGCAGGGGCAGGCCGGCATGGCGCCCGTAGGCCCAGTACAGGTAGGGAAAGAGCAGCACCCGGCAGCAGAGGAAGCTGAGCAGCATCAGGGCCCCGTTCACCTTGTGCAGCAGTGTGTGCTGCTGCTTGTACTGAGGAGACACAGACACAGTGGCCACGGCAGCAGAAGGGCTCGGCCCCCCTTGGCCCTCTCCCTGCCTCCCTGCGACCCTAGCAGGCAGCTCCTCCCAAACCAGACACTTTGCCAGGACACAAGCACCAGGTGCTCAAAATGCACGGGGTGAGGGGGGGATGACGAAGGGGCTAGAGCCCTTGGCAGCAACCTTGAAGGTCCCTCCCCTTCCTGTGACCTCCCCATTGGGCTCCTGCACCCTCCCATGCTCACTCACCTGGATGAGGATCTTGCCAAGGCAGACGAAGGGCGTGCTGACCTCTGCCATCAACATGCAACCCAGAAAGAAGTCTCCCTTACCCTGTCGCCACACCTGGGCACAGAGGCAGGAAGGTGAGGAGCTGGGGCTCTCCCTGGGTTCTTGGGCAGCCCCCGCCCTTCCTCTTTCCCCTCTGTCACTTTGGGAGATGCTTGACTCTGAACATCAGAACACCTGGGTGCAGGGCTGGGTGCAGTGGCTCACGCCGGTAATCCCAGCACTTTGGGAGGCTGAGGCAGGTGGATCACGAGGTCAGGAGTTTGAGACCAGCCTGGCCAACATGGTGAAACCCCGTCTGTACTAAAAATACCAAAAAAATTAGCCAGGCGTGTTGGTGGGCACCTGTAATCCCAGCTACTGGGGAGGCTGAGATGGGAGAATCACTTGAACTCAGGAGGCGGAGGTTTCAGTGAGCCGAGATCACACCACTGCACTCCAGCCTGAGTGACAGAGAGAGACTCCGTCTTGGAAAGAAAAAAAAGAGAAAGAACACCTGGGTGCAGGAGCAGGTGCATGACTTGGCTGCATCCCTCTCACGGTCCTGCAGAAAGACTGTGTCCCTTATGTAACAGGTGAGGAAACTGAGGCTCAGAGACGTGCAACCACAAATCCAAAGAGCCACAGCCGGGCATCGTCCAGCCCAGGGCCAGGCTGCCCCCACACCCTGGTGCCCTGGGCTGGTGCTCAGTGAACCCTGCCTGTCCACAGCTTTCCCTGGGAATACGCTGGGTCTGCTTGGTTGTCAGTACGCAGACCCGGGGCTTCCCAGGCTCCTGCCAGCACCAGCAGGACCAAGGAGCAGGCCACCCGCACCCCGCCCGCCCAGCTCCCCGGGACTCACCACTGAGAGTGGGAAGCACACCAGCACCATGGCGGCATGGTGGAGCACCATGAGGAACTCCTTGTGCAGGTAGCCACGCGCTATGGCCCACGTGCTGCCCGGGGCTCTGGCCGCTCCGTCGTCCCCTCCATGCCCTTTGACCTGGTGCTTGTGCCAGTGACAGAGGAACATGGCGTAGATGTCGTAGATGAAGTAGGGCACAGCAAATTGCGTGTAGGCAGAGGACAGCCAGTGTCTGTTGGGCAGAGAGACGGGGTGGGGGAGCAAGGAGGAAAGGGGACACCAGTGATTGGGGTCAGATCTCAGGGGTCAGCACAGCAGCCCTGGACAGGAGCGGAGTCTTGGGTACAGATGAGGGATCCAGAGGGTAGAGGGTGAGAAACTTGCCCAAGGTCACACAGTCATGCAGCTAGTAAGAGATGGTGCTGGGATTCAAACCTGTGGTCTCAGAACTCACCCATGTTCCTCTCTCTCTGCAGTATAGTCGGGGGAAAAGAAAAGACCAGAAGATGCCCACAGACCAAAAGGCACAGATACAGTGCCAAAATAAGCCCAGGACAGGCAGGTGGGACCTTGCCATGGTTATTTGTCCTAACCTTACCATGAGGTTAGGACCAGCAACAGCTGAAGGGGCGAGAGTGCTGGAGAGAGAGGTCACAGGGGTGGACGCCCATTCCTGCCTCCTGGGACAGGCGATCTTCCAAACTTCCCATGCATAGCCTTATTTACCCCTCCCAAAACCCTGTAAAAGGTAGGTGTGGCCATCATCCCCACTGTACAGGTGAAGAAGTGAGTCACAGAGGGGCTAGGTAACCTGGCCAAGGAAGGGACATGGGCGGTGTGGCTCCACAGCCCTCACTGTCATCCCCACCATCCCCAGAAGATCCGAGAGGCATCAGAGACAGACCCTGTTGGCAAGTGAGAGGTCTTGTCAGCGCTGTTCGCCCTGCCCCAAAGTCACCCAATCTCTTGTCTATTTTGTGTTGTTTTTCAGGGACAGCCAAGCGTTAAGGGGAAAATGCAGAGCAAAAGGAGCCAAGGACAAAGAAAGTTCCATGTACTTGGAGAGTAAACAAAAACGAGAAATGGATGAATAGACAAGACAGCATTTTTCTTCTGGAGTCAGCACATTGGCAGTTTCTCTTAAATCCTGTAGTCCCAAGACTGGCCTGGGGTGGGGGCAGGAGGTCAGAGAGGCAGGACCTGGGGTGCTCGCCCCACAAGGGGTGGAGGGATGAAAGCAGAGTCAGCCAGAAGCCATCACCAAACATGAGGCACGTGGAGGAGGCTGTGGAGAAGTTGGGGCTGAGGCCTCTGAGGATGGGGAGCCTGAGGCAGGCGGCCTGTGAGTGGAGCCAACCCATTCTCCAGCAGGGACGGTACCAGGGAAAAGGGAACCTGAGACTGGTGCAGTGGTGTGGAGCTGCGGCCCAGAGGCAGGGAAAGATGAGAGGGGAGGGGCAGCTGTAGAGAACGCGAAGCGGGAACACAGGGAGAGAGGTCCCAAGTGGCCTGGAGGAGTCAGGGCAGGAAGCTGCCCAGAATGCAGGCCCAGCAGAGGTGATGGGAGATGGGACAGCTGGGCTGGTGCAGGAGACCAGGAGGGGCCACCAGGCCCTGGGCTGTCATGTGAGGTGTTAGATCCCATCCCCACCCTCTTGGCAATTAGGTGCTCAGAAGTAGGAACAGCTGCTGCCCTGGATTAACCCGGATCCTCCCCACCTACCTGAGGATTAAAGCAGGGAAGACGGACAGGAACAGACACAGGGGGGCCTGGGGAGCAGGGGGTACAGAAGCTAAACGGTGACCTCTGCATGTGAAGGCTGGGGAGGAAGTGCTGGATCCCAGGCTCAGCTTGGAGCAGGGGAGGGAAGGGGTGGGCAGAGGCCAAGAAGCAGCCAAGTCCCTGGGCGGGGTCTGAAGAAAGAGTTAAGCCAAGAACTGTCCTCTGCAGCTGCCACTTAACTCAATTCCTCTCGCTGAAGCCCTTCCAGGAAGGGCCGCTGCCTCACCACAGAAGAGGCAACTCATCTTCGGGAAAAGAGGAGGCAAACAGAAACAGGGCACCCCCCATCAGGGGCGTCCAAATGTTCCCTGGGACTCAGTGGCTGCCACAGAAGGGAAGCGGTGCTGAAAGCTACAAAGGGGGCGTTGTGGGCACCTCTAAGGCAACTTGCAACGGGCCACCCGTGGGTCACCTAGGGCGGCCGTCAGCACCACGGACAGGGCCCCTCTCCTCCCCGTCCCCCCGCCTCCTGCCTGCACACCTCTGGGCCTTTTTGGCAACCACCAGACACTGCAGCAGCTGCCTGGCCACATTTTGGCCTCTTCACCCTCATCCCCTCCCGCACTGCCTGGCCGTGTGTGGCCTTGTGCGTGTCATCTCTCCCTTGTCCTCTCCCTCAGGCATGGAGTGGATGCCGGATGCCTGGATTATGGGAAGGGCTGAGGGGTGAGCCTGGCATGAGGAGGGGGCACCCCATCTGGGTGCTGGCTGGAAATGGGGTCTGCCTCCTGGGGTGGAAGGCAGGGAGGAGGTGGGGAACCACGACAACACGGGAGACCTGGAAGCCGACTAGAAAGCGCTTTGAGGATCCTCTCTGATCCCCGCTCCTTCTCCCCCTGGTTCTGACCTTTAAGGACAGGACAGGATAAATTTATCCCTGGGTGTTGAGTTGCGGTTATTGCAGTTAACTTGCTCAGGCCCAAGTTAAGGGCTTGGGGACCACAGACAGAGTTCCCTCCAAGATGTGGGGTCTTCCGGGATTACCCGTACACGCCAACCACTGGCACCTGGGCAGGGGGGTGTCTCGCAGCACTTACTGGTCATCAATGATGTGCTTGCAGGAGGTGGAGACGATGTAGCCGGCAGTGGAGGCCATGATGGCCTGGACAGAGGACACCAGCCTGGGGGAGAGAGGGAGGCGTGCTAGAAAGGCAGAAGGGAAGAGGCGTGTGCCTTGATTTCTCCTCGTTGCTAGTCTAACGACTGCGCTTTGCGTTCAGCCACTTCTCGGGCCAGTCCTTGCCTGCCTTCGCCCAAGGCTGGGCTGCCTGAGGTGTGCCCCACCACAGGTACCTCACGGCTCTCCGGCCCGCTCGGCTGCTGTTCCTCAGTCCACCCCACTCCTTGCCACCTTCTTCCTTCCCCATTTGTGGAAACTGAGTCTCCCTCTTCTCAAGCCCGCAGGGTGTCTGTCCTGAGGTGAGACTGAGAGTGAACTGCTGGCCTGGACCTCTCCCCACGAGGGGAGCCTGGGCCGGTTCTTGCCCCGCTTAGCTGTCCAGTCATGACGCAGGCCTCACTCTGGACCCTTTGTGACCCCGAGTTCCCCAGTCACTTTCCCACTGTCTCCTGACTGCCACCAGCCTCCACTCTGCACTCTGGCCCTGTTCTAGGGGTGTAGAGTTGTACCATCCACTCCTCCATCCCTGGCCCCCAAACACTCACCCTGAATGACACCTAGCTGTCTGGCCCTGGCCTCAGTCCCTAATGTCTTATAGGAATGTCTTCGCCGCATGCTGGCCCTGTTTTGGAGGGTGGGAGGGTGTACGGGGAAGAAGAGAGAGGCGGGCTGAACACTAGTAGACCAGATGGCCGGGCTGGATGAGGTCTCCCAGAACAGTGAGCAAGGCAGGCAGTGAGGAGAGAGGAAGCCTGGGGGTAAAGCCCCGGACCCCCACAGGAGCTCCCAGTCCCCCACCGCTGAGGGTCCAGAGAAGTGCCAGGTCCCTTCCATTCCCTGAGAAGCCCAAGAAGCAGACAGGGGCTGAGGGGAAAGAAAGTGGTTTACCTGGCTGAGACAATGACTGCGTCGGCCTCCTCCCAGCGTAGCTGGGGCAGCCGCTGGAGCGTGTTCTTGGAGAGGAGGAAGAGTCCGGGGAACACCACCCCCCCGGCCACCATCGGGGTCAGCATGGTGGCTCAGGACTTGGGCAGGGAGGCAGGCGGGCCGTGAAGGGGCAGGGAGGCCGAGTGGAAGGAGTTAGGGGTGGAGAAGGGACGCCAAGCCCGGGAAGGAGGGAGAAAACGATGAGAAGGGGCACAAAGGGGCCAGGGCGGGGACGGGATGGGGCCAGGGAGTCCGATGAAACTGGGGAGTCGGGAGGGGGCTGGCTGGGCAGAGACGGGGGAGGGGAGGATGGGAGAAGGGGAGCAGGAGCAGGCCAGCGAGGGATGGGGAGAGGCAAAGAGGGGATGGCTTGGTGAGGGACAGAGAGGAAGAGGGGACAGGAGGAGGAGGATGCGGATGGGGGAGGGGAGGGAGCCACCAGGCAGGTGGGGAGGGGAGGCTTACGTGAGAGGCTGGGAGGGCCCGAGGAGGCGGGGAGGGGGTGGGGGTGGGTCTGAGTACCAGCCCCAAAGGAAGGAGGTGGGCGGGAGGGAGCGGAGGAGCAGCCGGGCAAGCGGTCAGCGGTCACCACCGCTCTCCTGGCTCCACTGCCTCCTCTCGCTGCCGCCCCAGTCCCTGCCGCCCGGCACAGACACCGCACATGGCATCATCATAGAGACTCCGTGCCCAGCCCCCTGCCCCCTCGGTGGGGAGGGGGAGGGGGAGGGGAAGTGGCCAGCTTGGGGAGGACGGGGGAGGGGCAGGAAAATGATGGCACCGACCAGACACCGAGAAACCGGACCTGCAGCGGCGTCTCCCCATGCAGCTCTGAGCCACAGCCGCGGCTGCGACAGAGATGGGGGGAGCAGAGAAAGAGGGAGGGGGAGGCCCTTAAAGGAACAGCAGCTGCGGTGGCACAGGGGGCTGCTGGGGACAGGGGACAGGGGCCAGCTCTTCTCTTGGGGAGGAAGGGGGCCCAGGGCTCCTTGGCCAGCTGGGAGGGGGCCCTGAGCCCCCACAGGGGCCTGACCCTGCTTCCCATCAGCACTTTGCAAATGCCTGGCATCTCCTCCCTCACCAAGCCATCCCTCTGTGGCCTGCCCCGGGTCCGAGCTTTGGGTGGCCATTCCAGCGGAAGAGAGCGTTCCCTGGGAGAGGGAGTAAGTGGTGCTTTCTCAGAAGGAAGAGCTGAAGGAGGGGATAGGAGCAAAAACATCTCAACACAGCATCCTCAGAGCCAGAGGCCCCCTCACCCGATGGCGGGGAAGGAAGCTGACATTGGCCAGAGGGGGCACCTGACTGTGCTGCAGGGCTGCCCATGTCCTGTCTGCTGCAGGAGCTCCGAGGTCACTGCGTCTGTCCTTCCCACAGGGCCATCAACGATCCTGAGGCTCCCTGAGGTCACCCAGTTCAGAAGTGGCACAGCCCTCTCATTGCAGGCGTTGGAGGGGCAAGGAGTGGAAGAAGGGGAAACGGTGGCGAGAGCGCGGGGCAGCTGCCTCTCAGGAAGTCCCAGGGAGCCCTAGGATGCCCAGGCCCTGTTCTTCAGACTGCCAGCCCCTCCTGGCCTTCTCTAAATTCCCACCCCTCACTTTTTCCTCAGTTTCCTTAATGCTACTAGCTCCCCTTTCTCTGCAACTTCCACATACAGCCTAGTTTCAGAGTGGGAAAGGACTGCGGGGTGGGCTGGTGCAAGCTCCTCACTGGCCCATAAGGAAAGTGAGGCCTGGGGACTGGGCCCGGGTGGAGCTGTGGGACCTGAGCCAGAGACACTGCCCCCTTTGACTTCTGGCCTCCCATCCTGCTCCCAACTGTCCTGTGGACTTCAGCATGACAAGGGCCTGTTATGCAAACTCCTTTGGTCTCCAAGTTCAATAGTCAACCCTATGGTTTGCCTTTCTCTGCCAGAGCCCACTCCTCGCCTCCCCCAAAGAAAGGCCAGGGACTGGGATTTGCTGTTTTGTGCTGCCCTCTAGCGGCAATCTGTAGGAAAGCACCCAAGAAGTCTCACGCTGATTTAGAGACGGTTGTAGAGACAATAGCGGACCTAGCTCCTGTCCTCAGCCCTTCACGGGAGGGGGAAAGGGGATCCAGCTCCCTGAGTTTTTACTACATGCTGGGCACAGTACCAGGTGATTTCTACTGGTTCTTACTTGGTATCCCTGTTTTACAGAAGAAACAGGTTTAGAAATTTTGTGGGGTTTTTTTTTTTTTTTTTTTTTTGAGATAGGGTCTCATTCTGTCCCCCAGGCTGGAGTACAGTGGCGCGATCATGGCTCACTGCAACCTCAACCTCCCCGGGCTGAAATGATCCTTATACCTCAGTATCCCCAGTAGCTGGGACTACAGGCGCACACCACCATGCTCAGCTAATTTTTGTATTTTTTGTAGAGATGAAGTTTCACCACGTTAGCCAGGCTGGTCTCAAACTCCTGGGCTCAAGCGATCCACCCACCTCTGCCTCCCAACATGCTGATATTACAGGTGGGAGCCACCACGCCCGGATGAAAGCTGGGTTTCAAACCCATGGTTGCAGCCGGGCAAGGTGTCTCACACCTGTAATCCCAGCGCTTTGGGAGGCCAAGGCTGGCGAATCATGAGATCGAGACCATCCTGGCTAACACAGCGAAACCCCGTCTCTTCTAAAAATACAAAAAATTAGCCGGGCATGGTGGCATGCGCCTGTAGTCCCAGCTACTTGAGAGGCTGAGGCAGGAGAATTGCTTGAACCTGGGAGGCGGAGGTTGCAGTGAGCCGAGATCGTGCCATCGCACTCCAGCCTGGGCGACAGAGCGAGACTCCATCTTAAAAGAAAACAGAAAAACCAAAAAACCATAGTTGCATAACCCCAAAGCCACTCATGAGCAAAACTGCAAAAAGGACAGAGGCTGGGGAGGCTGGGTGATGGGCGGCCACCGTAACTACTCGATTGAGGACTACAAGGCTGGTCATGGAACTGTGGTTTCACTTTGGATGAGTAGAGACAGGCTTTTTTTGTCTGCCAGGGAATCCACGTAGACACCCTAGTAAAATCTGTGTTCCGTGTACCTCCTACGCCTCCTGTGGTTTGCTGATACTGCACTTTTATGGTAAGCTTTGTCACACAGGTCATAGATCTGCAGCCCAAGGGCCCAATCCGGCCCACAGACATGTTTTGTTTGGCCAGTATGCAGTTGTCAGTATAGTAGTTCTTAAATAAATTCTTAGTTACTTATCAGTATTCAAGAATTGGAAGAGGTTGGGCGTGGTGGCTCATGCCTGTAATCCTAGCACTTTAGGAGGCCAAAGTGGGCAGATCACCTGAGATCAGGAGTTTGAGACCAGCCTGGCCAACATGGTGAAACCCCGTCCCCGTCTCTACTAAAAATACAAAAATTAGCCGGACGTGGTGGTGCACACCTGTAATACCAGCTACTCGGGAGGTTGAGGCAGAAATGTTGCTTGAACTTGGGAGGTGAAGGTTGCAGTGAGCCAAGATTGAGCCACTGAACTCCAGCCTGGGCAACAGAGTGAGATTCTATCTCAAAAAAATAAAAAGAATTGGGAGACAGCCCACCACAATGACATGCACCTGTAGTCTCAGCTACTCAGGAAGCCAAGGCAGGAGGATCACTTGAGCCCAGGAGTTCAAGACCAGCCTGGGCAACATGGAGAAACCCCGCCTCTACTGAAAGTACAAAAATTAGCCAGGCATGGTGGTGCACACCTGTAGTCCAAGAAACTCAGGAGTCAGCCCGATTCTCAGGGAGAATCACTTGTCAGGGAGGTCAAGGCTGCAGTGAATCATGGTGGTGTCACTGCACTTCAGCCTGGGTGACACAGTGAGACTCTGTCTCAAAAAAAAAGAAGAGGCCGGGTACAGTGGCTCATGCCTGTAATCCCAGCACTTCGGAGGCTGAGAAGGAACAATCCTGTGAGCCCAGGAGTTCAAGACTAGCTTGGGCAACATAGTGAGACCCTGTCTCTACCAAAAAAAAAAAAAAAAAAAATTAGCCAGGCTTGGTGGTGCATTGCCTGTAGTCCCAGCTATGGCAGGAGGATTGCTTGAGCCCAGGAGTTCAAGGCTGCAGTGAGCCATGATCGTGCCACTGCACTCCAGCCTAGGCAACAGAGCAAGACCCTGTCTCAACCTGTCTCAACAACGACAAAGAATCATAACTCCGAAAATATTGGCCCACGTTCTAACCATATAACATTATCAGTGGCTGGAGCTGAGCAGCACTGGCCCTCAGCAGAGAAGGTGAGTCCTCCAGCCTATATCATCCCTGCAGAGCCCACAGCCCTCATATTATCTGCAGCAGTTTTCAACCCCTGCTCTACAGACGCTGATTCATATGATCCTCACACAACATCTCCACGAAGAAAGGAAAGTGGGGTGTTATTATTAAGCCCATTTACCAGTGAGGGATCTGAAGTTCAGAGAAGTTAAATGACTCACAAAAGACCCCACTGTTGGTGTCTTTTTTTCTTTTTCTTTTTTTTTTTTTTGAGACAGAGTCTCACTCTGTCACCTAGGCTGGAGTGCAGTGGCGCCATCTCAGCTCACCACAACCTCCACCTCCCGAGTTCATGTGATTCCCCTGTCTCAGCCTCCAGAGTAGCTGGGATTACAGGCACCTGCCACCATACCTGGCTAATTTTTGTATTTTTAGTTCAGACAGGGTTTCACCATGTTGGCCAGGCTGGTCTTGAACTACTGACCTCAGGTGATCCACCTGCCTCAGCTTCCCAAAGTGCTGGAATTATAGGCGTGAGCCACCACGCCCAGCCTGCTGGTGTCTTTTGACTCCACATTCCAGCTCCACTCCACACTCTGCTTCTGCTTTCACCACAAACTCATTCTGAAAGTAAAAGATCAGTTCCACCAGCCATGGCCCCAGGAAGGACACCCTCACCCTGGTCCTCTTACTTGGATGCTACCAGGACAGCCTCTTGTCTCTCCATCTGCAGGTTGGTGTGGTTCTGCAAGCCCCAGCGCAGGGCAGTGAAGCACAACGGGAAGAAGACGCAACCCACTGCGAACAGCAGGGTCATGCCTGCCTGCAGCCAAGAAGGCAGAAAAAGACGGCCATGAGAACACCTCAACACAACACCCTCAGACCCCCCAGCAGCCTTCTTCACCCCCAATGAGGCAAGCCCCAAGAGACCCATCCATCTGTGGCCATTGAAAGCCACCAGGCAAACCTCTTCTCTAAGCTCCTAGCATCCTTATTACTCTTTTAATATTCCTCATCCGGGGCAATTCGACATCCTAATTATCCCAATTTTTTGTTTTAAACACTCAATTTAGACAATTTCTTTTCTTTTCTTTTCTTTTCTTTTTTCTTTTTTTTTTTTTGAGATGCAGTCTTACTCTTGTTGCCCAGGCTGGAGTGTGGTGGCGTGATCTTGGCTCACTGCAACCTCCACCTCCCGGGTTCAAGCAATTCTCCTGCTTCAGCCTCCTGAGTAGCTGGGATTACAGGCGCCCGCCACCATGCCCAGCTAATATTTGTATTTTCAGTAGAGACAGGACTTTACTGTGTTGGCCAGGATGGTCTCGAATTCCTGACCTCAAGTGATCTGCCCGCTTCGGCCTCCCAAAGTGCTGGGATTACAGGCATGAGCCACTGCACCCAGCTCCTCCTACTCTTAAACTCCACCATTTTCCATCTTCTGCATGCCCCGCCCGCCGCCCACCCTAAGTCACCTCTACCTTCTCCCCAGTCCTCACCTCAGAGGGACAGGTTGGAAGACAGAAAGGGAGGTTGATGTTTCTCCTCAGCACCCAGAACTTGGAAAAAGGAAGGGAGGGGGTTGTCAAGATATTTGGAACTTTAAAATGACATTTGTTGAAAAAACAAAATAAAGCCAAAGCGATTGTTGTTCCATTAAAAAAGAAAACAAAAGAAATAACAGGTGCAAGCCTGAAACTACATATATTTACATAGATATCATTTTTGTTTAGAAAGACCTCCCCTCCCATCTACTCTGGGGAGCAGAGGTGTGGAGCAGGCACAGGCAGGATGAAGGGAACCAGGTCCTGCCATCCTGCCTTCCTGAAGTGTCTTCCAAGGGACCTTCTCGGGATAAAAGGAAGGTGTCAAACTGCAAAGGCACGAGGCTGCTCTGTAGAGGCAGTTGGGGAGGGCAGGAGTATGCTCTTCCATTGGTGGAGTGGCTAGAAGGTGCCATCCTCCTAATGGCCCGCCAGTTGATACATGTGCCCTATCATTTGCTTCCTGTGGGGGCTGGGGGGCGGTTCCAGCAAGCCTTGCCTAGAATTGGCCAATTAGAATCCATTGGTGACTTGATGGACAGCTATGTTTCAGGGACAGGGCTCAAAGAAAGAAAAGGAGAGGGGAAATAAGAGCAGGTGCAGGGCCGGGCGTGGTGACTCACGCCTGTAATCCCAGCACTTTGGGAGGCTGAGGCGAGTGGGTCACCTGCGGTCAGGAGTTCGAGACCATACTGGCTAACATGGGGAAACCCTGTCTCTACTAAAAATACAAAAATTAGCCAGGCGTGATGGTGGGAACCTGTAATCCCAGCTATTCAGGAGGCTGAGGCAGGAGAATCGCTTGAACCCGGGAGGCAGAGGTTGCAATGAGCCGAGATCTCGCCACTGCACTCCAGCCTGGGCGACAGAGACTCTGTCTCAAAAAATAAATAAATAAATAAATAAATAATAAAATAAAAAAAAAACAGCAAGTGCAGTGGTTCAGGCTGGAATCCCCGCACCTCAGAGACCGAGGTGGGAGGATCACTTGAGGCCAGGAGTTCAAGACCAGTTTGGGCAACATAGTGGAACCCCTGTCTCTACAAAAAATTAGAATAATAGGCCGGGCACGGTGGCTCCCGCCTGTAATCCCAGCACTTTGGGAGGCCGAGGCGGGCAGATCACGGGGTCAGGAGATCGAGACCATCCTGGCTAACACGGTGAAACCCTGTCTCTATTAAAAATACAAAAAATTTAGCCAGGCGCGTTGGCGGGCGCCTGTAGTCCCAGCTACTCCGGAGGCTGAGGCAGGAGAATGGCGTGAACCTGGGAGGCGGAGCTTGCAGTGAGCCGAGATGGCACCACTGCACTCCAGCCTGGGCGACAGAGCGAGACTGTGTTTCAAAAAAAAAAAAAAAAAGAAGAAGAAGAAGAATAAAATAGTCCAGTGCAATGACATATACCTGTGGTCCCAGGTACTTGGAAGGATGAGGCGAAAGAATGGAAAGAATTGCTTGATCCCAGGAGTTCAAGGCTGTAGTGAGCTATGATCATACCACTGCACTCCATCCTGGGCAACAGAGTAAGACCCTGCCCCCCCAAAAAAGTAGTCCTAAGTAATTATTGATTTAAAAGGCGGTGTAGGATAAAAGGTAAAGAAGGCCATTTCTACTGTGGGTGTACATGGACTTCAAATTCAGAGTCCACAGATAATCAAAGAAACATTTCACTTCCCTATTGCTGAAATAAAGAAACAAATAAAGAAACACACTGTATGGCTCTGTTTACATCAAATTCAGAAAAGCAAAACATCTATCATGAAAAATCTGAACAGCGTTTAACTTGGGGAAGGTATTGACTGGGAGGAGACCCCAGGGAACCTTCTGAAGTGTTGGAAATGGCCTTATATTGATCACCAGTGTATACATATGTAAACATTCTCGAGGCATCCTCTTAAAATGTGTGCCCCTTAAGTGAAGCTGCAGTTTTTAAAATTCTAAATTTAGGCTCTTCCTTTCTCTGAATGATGGTGGGCAAAGCCTTTATGGGCCTCAATTTCTTCATCTGTGAGGTTGGGTTAATAATTAGTGTCACATCATTAAATGCTGCTTAGACTACAGGTCAGACATTGATCTGCATTCTCTGACTCTAAAAGAAAAAAAAAAGGCCAAGTGTGGTGGTGCACACCTGTAGTACCAGCACTTTGGGAGGCCAAGGCAAGAGGATCACTTGAGGACAGGAGGTTGAGGCTGCAGTGAGCTTTGATCACGAGACTGCACTCCAGCCTTGGGCCACAGAGTGCGACTCCGTCTCTAAAAAAATCAATTAAGGGCTGGGCGCAGTGGCTCACGCCTGTAATCCCAGCACTTTGGGAGGCCAAGGCGGGCAGATCACAAGGTCAGGAGTTCAAGACCAGCCTGACCAACATGGTGAAACCCCATCTCTACTAAAAATACAAAAATTAGCTGGGCATGGTGGCATGTGCCTGTAATCCCAGCTACTTGGGAGGCTGAGGCAGGAGAATCGCTTGAACCTGGGAGGCGGAGGTTGCAGTGAGCTGAGAAGCCGAGATCACGCCACTGCACTTCAGCCTGGGCGACAGAGCGAGACTCTGTCTCAAAAAAAAAAAAATTTAATTAAAAATATCAAGTCATTTATCCAAAGCAACCTTGTGGGTAGGGATTATTACTGCACCTCTGTTTTACAGATCAGAAAACAGAGGCACAGAGAGGTTTGGTAACTTGTCCAAGGTTAAACAGTCAGGAAGTGAATAAAAATTTTTTAAAATCATATTTTCTGAATTTATTTGTCCCTATAATGTTAGGCAGATATAGAAAACATAAACTTATTTTCCTAAGGAACTGAAAGGCTTTTTTAAAAAGGAGGGAAAAAACACCACTGAATACAATTTAGACATCCTCATTCATATTTTCAGAACTTATCCTTCTCCTCCTCCTTCCTCTCTTTTTTTTTTTTTTTTTTTTTTTTTTTTTTAGATGGAGGTTCGCTCTTGTTATCCAGGTATCCAGGCTGGAGCGCAATAGCGCAATCTCAGCTTACCGCAAACGTCGCCTCCCAGATTCAAGCGATTCTCCTGCCTTAGCCTCCCGAGTAGCTGGGATTACAGCCATGCGCCACCACGCCTGGCTAATTTTGTATTTTTAGTAGATATGGGGTTTCTCCCTGTTGGTCAGGCTGGTCTCGAACTCCTGATCTCAGGTGGTCTGCTCACCTCAGCCTCCCAAAGTGCTGGGATTACAGGTGTGAGCCACTGCGCCCGGCTTCTTCCTCATATTCTTTTGAGACAGGGTCTCACTCTGTTGTCCAGACTGGAATGCAATGGCATGATCCTACCTCATTGCAGACTCAAACTTCTGGACTCAAGCAATCCTCCTTAGCCTCTGCCTCAGCCTCCAGAGTAGCTGGGACTACAGGTGTGCACACAACACTCAGCTAATTTTTGTATTTAAAAAAAAATTTTTAGCTATGTTCTATGGAAAGGAATCTTTGTACTTTTTATAGAGATGGGGTCTTGCTATGTTGCTCAGGCTGGTCTTGAACTCCTGGCCTCAAGCAATCCCCTTGCCTTGGCCTCCTAAAGTGCTGGGATTACAGGCATGAGCCACCATGCTCGGCCAGTGTTTGCTTCTTTAGCTACTTTATTTTCTTCCCTCTGGATGGGACTCTGAAAATTAAAAGTTAAACCAAGAGCGGCCAGGCATGGTGGCTCACGCCTGTGATCCCAGCACTTTGGGAGGCAGAAGGGGGTGGATCACCTGAGGTCAGGAGTTCGAGACCAGCCTGGCCAACATGGCGAAACCCCATCCCTACTGAAAATACAAAAATTAGCCAGGTATGGTGGTGCACATCCGTAATCTCAATCACTCAGGAGGCTGAGGCAGGAGAATTGCTTGAACCCAGGAGGCGGAGGTTGCAGTGATCCGAGATGGTGCCACTGCACTCCAATCTGGGCAACACAGCAAGACTTTGTCTCAAAAAAAAAAAAAAATATATATATATATATATATATATGAAAAGATCCTGAGCTGGGGTCTGAAACCAGGCAGCCTGCCCTGCTATTTGCCCAGCTCCTGCATAGCTCATTGTGAGGACTAAATCATGCCAATGCATAGAAACTACAATACTTCACACGGTAGCCAGTAGCCAGTTACTGTCATTCTGAGCACCCACTGTATGCCAGGCACCAGGCTGAAATACTTTATATACATGTTCCCGTTTAATCATCTATGCCACCTTACAAATAACTTCCTCATTTTACTGCTGAGAAATCTGAGTCTCAGAAAAGTTGAATGACATGCTTCAGACCATACAGTACATGACAAAATCGGTAAATGTGACCGCTGCCTTCCAAGTCTGGAGAAAAGGAGGCGAAGAGAGGGGAAGGCATGAGGGGAGGAGAGAAGGTGGGAGAGGGAAAAAGGGGAAGAGAAGGGATGAGAGTAGGAGAGGCAGAAGGAGTGAGGAGGAGTAGCACCCCTCTGCAGTTATTTTCTTTTTCTTTTTTTTTAAATTTGAGACAGAGTCTCACTCTGTCACCCAGGCTGGAGTGCAGTGACACAATCACAGCTCACTGCAGCCTCCACCTCCCGGGCTCAAGTGATCCTTCCACCTCAGCCTCCTGAGTAGCTGGGATGACAGGCGTGCACCACCACACCTGGCTAATCTGGGGAGGTTTTTTTTTCTAGAGATGGGATCTTGCTATGTTGCCCAGGCTGGTCTTCAACTCCTGGGCTCAAGCGATCCTCCTGCTTCAGCCTCCCAGAATTCTGGGATTACAGGCGTGAGCCACTGAGTGTGACCAGGGATGGTCATTTTCCTCTGCACCTGTGCTTACCCTAGACAAGAAAATGTGGAAGGGAGGAAAGTTTACAGGCCATGAGCTGGTTAGAGTCAGGCCCGAGTCTCACTGGAATCTGGACTCTCTCCTACATTTCTTCCTTTCCTTGTCGATTTCTTCTTGTTGAGAGCAAAACAGTCCAAGGCTGCACAGGCTTGTCTGAGAGAGAAAATATGAGAGGAGAAAATTGTGGTTTTGAGCAATGGCTTTAAATTTTTTTAATAGTGACCCACAAGAGATATCTTTTATTTTATTTCTTTATGTATTTATTTTTTGTTTGTTTGTTTTGTTTTTTTGAGACAGAGTCCCACTCTGTTGTCCAGGCTGGAGTGCAGTGGCACAATCTCAGCTCACTACAACCTCCACCTCCTGCGTAAATGATTCTCCTACCTCAGCCTCCCAAGTAGCTGGGATTACAGGTGCATGCTACCACGCCTGGCTAATTTTTGTATTCTTAGTAGAGACACCATATTGGCCAGGCTGGTCTGAACTCCTGACCTCAAGTGAGCTGCCCGCCTTGGCCTACCAAAGTGTTGGGATTACACACGCCTGTAATTTTTGTAAAATACAAAAAATTAGCTGGGCATGGTGGTGGGTGCCTGTAGTCCCAGCTACTTGGGAGGCTGAGGCAGGAGAATGGCATGAACCTGGGAGACAGAGCTTGCAGTGAGCCGAGATCACGCCACTGCACTCCAGCTTGGGCCACAGAGTGGGACTCTGTCTCAAAAAAAAAAAAAAAAAAGTGTTGGGATTACAGAGGTGAGCCATGGCGCCCAGCCGAGATATCTTTTATTTTGTGACTGCAGTTCATGCACCCACACGTTGAATGGAAAACCTTTGCACAACACATTCTGACTTACTATATGCAGTGCCCTGTGGAATTTTCTAGACCATTTTTCCACCAAATATTGATCATGACCCATTAAGCCAATTTCACTGCCCACTAGTGGCTAAACAAGCCAAGCGGGAAAAATCTTGGTTTGGAGAGCAGTGTTTCTCAATTTTTCTTTCATTATTGTTCCCCTAAGGAGCCCTTTTTACACTTTTTTTTCTAATCGCTGCCTATCACGAAAGTTTAATAACACAGATATATTTATGTCTATTTACATATATCTTTTCCATATTAAAAAGAGTAAGTTTTTTGCCCCCTTGGGGGCGATATTATACCAGTTGAGAAGGCATCATTGTCCTAATGCTCATTTTCTGAGCCGCCTTTATTTATTTATTTACTTATTTATTTTATTTTATTTTATTTTTTTCAGATGGAGTTTTACTCTTTTGCACAGGCTGGAGTGCAGTGGCACGATCTTGTCTCACTGCAATCTGCCCCCGCTGGGTTCAAGCGATTCTCCTGCCTCAGTCTCCCAAGGCGCCCACCACCACACCCAGCTAATTTTTGTATTTTTAGTAGAGACGGGGTTTCACCATGTTGGCCAGGCTGGTCTCAAACTCCTGACCTCAAGTGATCCACCCGCTTTGGCCTCCCAAAGTGTTGGGATTACAGGCATGAGCCACCGTGCCCTGCCTCTGATCCGCCTTTATACACATCAATCCCAACATCCAATGAGATAGGATTAGTTCCATTTTGCAAGTGATTAAGTGGAAGCTGAGAGGTTATATTAATTATTGAAGATTGAAATGGCTGGCAATTAGACTGGGAATCCAGAAACTTACCAATATCCTAACTCAGCCTCTAGCTTCTCCAAACCTTTGTTTCCCCACAAAAAAAAACCTCAGTTATGGTCAGTTATGGGTGTTTTTTGTTGTTGTTATTGTTGTTGTTGTTTTTCTCTATTTGACCTAATAAGAGCAAACATTAGGCCAGGCACAGTGGCTCACACCTGTAATCGCAATGCTTTGGGAGGCCGAGGTGGGTGGATCATGAGGTCAGGAGTTTGAGACCAGCCTGACCAACATGGTGAAAGCCCATTTCTACTAAAAATACAAAAAAAATTAGCCAGGCGTGGTGGCACACGCCTGTAATCCCAGCTACTCAGGAAGCTGAGGCAGGAGAATTGCTTGAAACTGAAAGGCAGAGGCTGCAGTGAGCCGAGATCAGACCACTGCACTCCAGCCTGGTGACAGAGTAAAACTCCGTCTCCAAAAGAAAAAAAAAGCAAACATTTATAGAGCATTTACTAGACATCCGGCAGCAATCTAAGCCCTTTATATATATTAACTAACATAATATCCACAATAATCTTAAGACAGACATACTGGGGTTTTTGTTTTGTTTTGATTTTTGAGACGGGGTCTCTCATTTTGTCTCCCTTGATGAAGTACACTGGTACGATTAGCTCACTGTAACCTCAAATTCCTGTGCTCAGGGGATCCTCCTGCCTCAGCCTCCCAAGTGGCTGGGACTACAGGCTCTCAGGCTCATCACTACCAGCTTATTTTTTAAGTTTTTCCTACAGATGGGGGTCTCGATTTGTTGCCCAGGTTGGTCTCAAACTCCTGGCCTCAAGCATTCTCCTACCTTGGCCTCCCGAAGTGCTGGGATTATAGGCACAAATCACGTGTCAGGTGAGACATACTCTCAGTCACTGTTCGGATGAGGAAATTGAGGCACAGAGAGGTTGTGTGGCTTGCTCAAGGTCATGCAGGTAGAAAGTGGCACAAGCGGGGATTTGAACCAAGTAATCTGATTTTCAGAGCACAGGTTGTGCGTTTTGTTTTGTTTTTCACCATGTATTATTTTTTGAGATGGGGTTCTCACTCTGTTGCCCAGGCTGGAATGCAGTGGTGCCATCTCAGCTTCCTGCAACCTCCATTTGCCAGGCTCAAGTGATCCTCCTGCCTCAGCCTCCTGAGTAGCTGGGACCATAGGCAAGCCACCACCATGCACGGCTAATTTTTTGTATTTTTGGTAGAGACAGGGTTTCGCCATGTTGCTCATGCTGGTCTCAAACTCCTGAGCTCCAGCAATACGCCCGATCCTCCTGCCTCGGCCTCACAAAGTGCTGGGATTATAGGTGTGAACCACCATGGTTAGCATGAGCTAACCATGTCCTTTTTTTTTTTTTTTTAACTCTGTCTCCCAAGCTAAAGTGCAGTGGTGCGATCTCAGCTCACTGCAACCTCCGCCTCCCAGGTTCAAGCGATTCTCCTGCCTCAGCCTCTGGAGTAGCTGGGATTACAAGTGTGTGCCATCACACTTGGCTAATTTTTGTATTTTTAGTAGAGATGGGGTTTCACCATGTTGCCCAGGCTGGTCTCAAACTCCCGACTTCAAGTGATCTGCCTGCCTCACACCTCCCAGAGTGCTGGGATTACAGGCATGAGCCACAGTGCTAAACTAACCATGTACTTTATTTTCTTTCATTTGAGATGAAGTTTCGCTCTTGTTGCCCAGGCTGGAGGGCAATGGTGCGATCTCGGCTCACTGCAACCTCCGCCTCCTGGGTTTAAGCTATTCTCCTGCCTCAGCCTCCCGAGTAGCTGGGATTACAGGTGCCTGCCACCACACTCGGCTAATTGTTTGTATTTTTTTTAGTAGAGACAGGGTTTCAACCTGTTGCCCAGGCTGGTCTCAAACTCCTGACCTCAGGCGATCTGCCTGCCTTGGCCTCCCAATGTGCTGGGATTACAGAAGTAAGCCACTGTGGCTACCATGTACTTTAAAAGGAAACTTTTTATCACTCTGGAAAATAGAAAACCAGTACCACCTGTGATAAACAGAAGGTAACAAAAAATATACAAAATGAAAACACATTTTATAACATTCTAGCTAGATACTATGGGCAGCTGCTCATTCTGAACTGGAGGCTGGCTCTCTCCTTGTTCAAAAAAGAAAGATCAGGCCGGGCGCAGTGGCTCAAGCCTGTAATCCCAGCACTTTGGAGGCCGGCGGGCGGCGGGGGGGTGCGGATTAACTAAGGTCAAGGGTTCGAGACCAGCCCCTGGCCAATATGGTGTAACCCCATCTCTACTAAAAATATAAAAATTAGCCGGGCGTGGTGGCATGCACCTGTAATCCCAGCTAGTCAGGAGGTTGAGGCAGAAGAATTGCTTGAACCCAGGAGGTGGAGATTTCAGTGAGCCAAGATCGTGTCACTGTACTCCAGCCTGGGCGACAAAGCAAGACTCCATCTCAAAAAAAAAAAAAAAAAAAAAAAAAAAGAACAAAAAGATAAGCACAGAGAGAAAGGTGTTAAAGGGTTTCTGGCAGCAAATTGAGAGTTTCTCCTGCAGTAATCAGAAGCGTTGAAAGGGAATTGGAAAGAGAAAGAGAGTAGCTTGTTCAGGGTGTGTGTGTGGTGTGTGTGTGATGTGTGTGGTGTGTGTGTGGTGGGGTGTGTGTGGGGTGGGTGTATGGGGTGTGTGTGTGGTGTTTGTGTGTGTTTGTGTGTGTGGTGTGTGTGTGTGTGGTTTGTGTGTGTGGTGTGCGTGGGTATGGTGTGTGTGGTGTGTGGTGTGTTTGTGTAGTGTGTGTGGTGTGTGTGTGGTGCATGTGTGGTGTGTGTGTATTTGTGTGTGTGGTATGTGTGTTTGTGTGGTGTGTATGGTGTGTGTGTGTGGTGTGTGTGGTATGTGTGGTGTGTGTGTGTGGTGTATGTGGTGTGTGTGTGGTGTATGTGGTATGTGTGTGGTGAGTGGTGTGTGTGTTTGTGTGGTGTGTGTGTGTATTTGTGTGTGGTATGTGTGTTTATGTGGTGTGTGTATGGTGTGTGTGTTGATGTGTTTGGTGTGTGTTTGTGTGTGTGTGTGTTGTGTGTGTTTGTGTGTGTGGTGTGTGTTTGTGTGTGTGTGTGTCTTCTTGCTGACATACCACCTAAAATAAACCCAAGATGGGATGCACCACATACTCTGAACCCTTGTCGGGTGGTCAATGGGTGTTCAGGACATCCCAGCAGAGGAAGGGAGACACACCAGCCTGTCCTGGCCTGGGTGTGCAGCCAGAAAGCATGGGGCCAGGCTGGGCAACACAGTGAGACCTCCTCTCTACAAAAAGTCAAAAAAATTAGCTGGGCGTGGTGCTGTGTGCCTGTAGTCCCAGCTACTTAGGAGGCTGAGGTGAGAGGATCGCTTGAGCTAGGGAGGTGGAGGCCACAGTGAGCCATGATCGCGCCACTGCACTCCAACCTGGGTGACAGAGGGAGACCCTGTCTCAAAAACAAAACAAAAACAAACAAAACATAGAGCATTAGGCAGTCCACCACGTGTGGAGGGGCAGTGCAGGGCAGGGGTATAGGAGGGCCCATCCAAGCCTCTGTGACTTTGGCCACCATCTTTCCTTCCCCTAGCCTGTCTCCCCAGGTGAGTTTCACCCCCAGGCAGTCCTTAGAGACCCGCCACCCAATTTACCCTTGGCCTTGAGTTTACCGTTCTCTGTTCTTCCAGGTTCTGCCGCCCACAGGCTGTTTCACTCATCCTCTCCACCGGGTGCCCTGCGGAGGTGTGCAAGTGTGATATCATCAAAGGCTGTGAATAAGTAAACAATAAGTGGCCAGAAGTGGCCTGTTTCCCACATGATACCCAGGGAAGGGTCCGATTCCCCCCGCCTGGGCTCTGGGGCAAGTCCTGGCTGGCGTGCCAGAGCATTTATTATTTAGTATTTTTACTTACCTGTCCCAGGTTAGGGACTGTCCCAAGCAATGCCAGTCCCACCCTCTATCTGCACACCAGAAAAAGCTGAGGGCACAGCAGGTGATTGGAGTCAGACAGCTAAGGGTCCAATCCCTTTCTTCTCACATAGACTGGCTGTGTGACCTTGGCCAAATTTCACAACCTCTCTGAGCCTCCACTGAGCACACACCAAGTCCCATTGCCAGGCCTAAGTCCTGCTTCTGCCAGTCACTAGCCTGGCATCCTTGTGCAAGGGATTCAACTCCTCTGAGCCTTGGGCTCCTCATCAATGAAACAGCAGCACCTCTACCTGGGGCTGCTGGGGTGATTAAATGAGATCTGTGTAAAGCACAGTTGCTATACACATACGCATTGTGATATTCATTAATAGTCATTCAAAATGTATATATTTAGAGATGAGATCTCGATCTGTCGTCCAGGCTGGAGTGCAGTGGCATGATCATGGCTCCCTGTAGCCTTGAACTCCTGGGCTCAACTGATCCTCCCTCTTCAGCCTCCTAAGTAGCTAGAATTACAGGCATGAGCCACCATGCCCTGCCTGTTGTGTCATCTGTCTGTCTGTCTGTCTGTCTGTCTGTCTGTCTATCTATCTATCTATCTATCTATCTAGCGCAATCTCGGCTCATTGCAACCTCTGCCCCCAGCGGTCAAGCAATCTTCCCACCTCAGCCTCCTGAGTAGCTGGGGCTACAAGCATGTGCCACCGTGCCTGGCTAATTTTTGCTTTTTGGTTTTGGGTTTTTTTCTTTTTTTGAGATGGAGTCTTCCTCTGTCACCCAGGCTGGAGTCCAGTGGTGCAATCTCAGCTCACTGCAACCTCTGCCTCCCAGGTTCAAGCAATTCTCCTGCCTCAGCTTCCTGAGTATCTGGGATTACAGGCACGTGCCGCCATGCTCGGCTAATTTTTGTATTTTTAGTAGAGACAGGGTTTTACCATGTTGGCCAGGCTGGTCACGAACTCCTGACCTCAAGTGATCCGCCTGCCTCGGCCTCCCGCAGTGCTGGGATTACAGGTGAGAGCCACCACACCCAGCCTAATTTTTGTATTTTTTGTAGAGACTGGGTATTCATCATGTTGGCCAGGCTGGTCTCAAACTCCTGACCTCAGGTGATCCACCCGCCTCAGCCTCCCAAAATGCAGGGATTACAGGTGTGAGCCACTGTACGTGGCCTATAATTTTTTTTTTTTTTGAGATAGTGTCTCACTCTGTTGCCCATGCTGGAGTGGAGTGGTGTAATCATAGCTCACTGTAGTCTCAAACTCCTGGGCTCAGCCCTGGCGTGGTGGCTCACGCCTGTAATCCCAGCCCTTTGGGAGGCCAAGGCGGGTGAATTACCTGAGGTCAGAAGTTCAAGACCAGCCTGGTCAACATGGTGAAACCCTGTCTCTACTAAATATACAAAAATTAGCTGGGCGTGGTGGCGGGTGCCTGTAATCCCAGCTACTTAGGAGACTGAGGCAGAAGAATCGCTTGAACCCAGAAGGCAGAGGTTGCAGTGAGTCAAGATCGCACAACTGCACTCCAGCCTGGGCAACAAGAGTGAAACTTCGCCTCCAAAAGAAAAAAAAAAAACCACCACCAACAACAACAAACAAAAAAACTCCTGGGCTCAAGAGATTCTTCCACCTCAGCTTCCCAAGTAGTTGGACCATAAATACACATGAAAATTAGAAAACATGCATGTCTAATTTTTCTTTTTTTTTTGTAGAGATGGAGTTCACTATGTTTCTGAGGCTGGTCTTGAACTCCTGGGCTCAACCGATCCTTTCACCTCAGCTTCCCAAAGTGCTGGGGGATTGCAGGCATGAACCACTGCACCTGGCTATATATTTTAATGAGCCTTCATTCTATGCCATGTGCCTTGCATACATTTTCTCAAATAATCACAGAAAGCCCTGCCAGTCCCTGAGGGTTATCCCCACTTTCCACATGAGTACAACTGAGGCTCAGTGAGGTCAATTGACTTGTCCAGGGTTGCACAGATATACTGTGGCAGAACTAGAATTCAAATCCAGATCTTTCCTGGTTCTAAAGGCTTTTTTTTTTTCTCGCCCAGGCTGGAGTTCAGTGACATGATCTCAACTCACTGCAACCTCTGCCCTCTGCCTCCCCAGTTCAAGTGATTCTCCTGCCTCAGCCTCCCGAGTAGCTGAGATTACAGGCATGCACCACCACGCCCAGCTATTTTTTTTTCTTTTTGGGGGCGGAGTCTCTGTCTGTCACCCAGGCTGGAGTGCAGTGGTGCGATCTTGGCTCACTGCAACCTTCACCTCATGGGTTCCAGCAATTCTCCTGTCTCAGCCTCCCAAGTAGCTTGGATTATAGGCACCTGCCACCATGCCCAGCTAATTTTTGTATTTTTAGTAGAGATGGGGTTTTGCCATGCTAGCCAAGCTGATCTCAAACTCCTGACCTCAGGTGGTCCGCCTGCCTTGGCCTCCCAAAGTGCTGGGATTACAGGCGTGAGCCACTGCACTGGCCTAAAGGTTTTTTTCGTTTTGTTTCCAACTGGGCCATTATTATTTCCAACCTATAAGATGGAAGTAATTGTTTCTGCCACTCGTGCCTCCTGTAAGGATTAAGTAAGATAAAGTCTGTGGAGAGGCCTCTGTTGACACCAGCTCTAGCTCAGCACTGCTTCTTTATTCCCCCAGGGTAATTACCTAAACACAAGCCTTTCATTTTATACTAAGGAGGCTGGTGAACCTCTTCTTAATCTCTGGGAGATGATATCGTTGGATGTCCATTGGAGGCAGCTGAAAGTATTAGATCAGAATCAGAACTGCCAGGTCCCTTCCCACGTCCAAGCCTGCTGAAGCTTCTTTCATCTTCTGGGAACTCTGCATCTCTGATCTCCCACCCACCCCACGATTATTGGAAGTATACAATCCTGTCTGCCCTTTCCTAGGGGAAGTGCGGAACTACATATGATACATCTGACATCTCCAGCTTCCAACTTCGGGAGAGGAGACTTTGCGGTTAGCTGGCTATTGTGAAGTCAGTTTTTCTCTGCCCCCAGCAAATGTTGTGATGTGGATAGAAGTGGGGCCTCGGCACAGCCAGGCGCAGTAGCTCACATCTGTAACCCAGCACTTTGGGAGGCCGACGTGGACAAATCACAAGGTCAGGAGTTTAAGACTAGCCTGGCCAACATGGTGAAACCCTGTCTCTACTAAAAATACAAAAATTAGCCGGGCATGGTGGCATGCGTCTGTAATCCCAGCTATTTGGGAGGCTGAGATAGGAGAATCACTCAACTTGGGAGGCAGAGGTTGCAGTGCGCTGAGATCGCACCACTGCACTCTAGCGTGGGCAACAGAGCAAGACTCCATCTCAAAAAAAAAAAAAAAGAGAAAGAAAAGAAATGGGGCCTTGGCAAAGTGGGGTGCATACATCATCCCTTGTCTTGGCTTGCCTGGCAACACACAAGCCTGGGGCACTGCCCGTGCTCCTGCATAATGTATGAGCCCATGGTAGGAACAAAACACCAGCACCAGCGAGTCTGGGCACTGCAGGCCACGGACGTGTCCAGGGGCCTTGCCAAGGCTGAAGTCTCTCTGTTGGCAGAATATGCAGAATATGTGTTCCTGGAGGCCTTTTGTAGGGCTGAGGTGAGAACTGGCCTCAACTTGGTCCTCAGGATTCCATCAGACAATAAGACCGCCCAAGGCCGGGCACAGTGGTTCACGCTTGTAATCCCAGCAATTCGAGAGGCTGAGGCAGGAGGATCGCCTGAGCCCAGGAGTTCAAAAACAGCCTGAGCAATACAGTGAGACCCCGTCTATACAAAAAATTTTAAAAATTAGCTGGGTGTCGTAGCATGCACCTGTAGTCTCAGCTACTTGGGAGACTGAGGTGGAAGGATCCCTTGAGCCAGGAGGTCGAGGCTGTTGTGGTGAGCCATGATTGTGCCATTGCACTCCAGCCTGGGCTACCGAGTGAGACTCTGTCTCAAAAAAAACAAAAACAAAAACAAAAACCGGAAGACAGCCTAAGAAGACAATCTTCTTTAGGATCAATAATGGTGACATTAGCAACAGCTAGACTTCTGTTTTCTGGGCTTGAAACGCCCTCTGAGAGGGCCAGGGGTGGCCAAGAGGGTGGCTGAGACCACCTCAGTATGGTTGACAGTGGGAGGGAAGATTTGGATCCAGGGACACAGCCCCTGGCAGTTTCCGTGGCTGCCTCATGGTGTAGGAAACCCCAGGAGCAGCAGCTGTGGTGAGGTATGTTGGGGTGGAGAACATGGACAAAAATAGGTATATGGTGGCATTGTTTTTAGGGGAAAATGCCAGGATTCAGCCATCGTTTAGGAAGTCGGAGGCCTCCATAGAGAGGGGTGCTTGTGTGAGCGTGCATGTGTGGGTGTGTGCAAGTGTCTGTGTGTGTGTGATCTAAAAAGGTTAGGAATGAAACGGGGAGGTCTGAGTGCCTTGAAAGCCAAGGAAATTAGGACGTGTGGAAAACAATGCTTCATTCGTGGATGGTGTTTGGTTTCAATTCATTCATAGAATCAGTGAGTATTGGCTGAGTGCAGTGGCTCTGGCCTGTAATACCAGCAACCTGGGAGGCCGAGGTGGGAGGATCATTTGAGGCAGGAGTTGGAGACTAGCCTGGCCAACATAGTGAGACCCCATGTCTACTTTATTAAAAGAAAAAAACAGGCCAGGCGCAGTGGCTCACACCTGTAATCCCAGCACTTTGGGAGGCCAAGGCGGGCAGAACACCTAAGGTCGGGAGTTCGAGACCAGCCTGACCAACATGGACAAACCCCGTCTCTACTAAAAATACAAAATTAGCTGGGCATGGTGGCACTTCCAGCTACTCTGGAAGCTGAGGCAGGAGAATTGCTTGAATCCAGGGCGGAGGTTGCAGTGAGCTGAGATCACACCATTGCACTCCAGCCTGGGCGACAAGAGCAAAACTCCGTTTCAAAAAAAAAAAAAAAAAAGAAAAGAAAAGAAAAAAGAAAGAAAGAAAGAAAAAGAATCAGTGAGTATTCACCAAGGCTCCCAGGGCTAGGCCAAGTACTAGAGCTCAGGATACGGAGATGACTCAGACCAGGCCCCAGACACTTGCAGTCTAATTGTGGAGCCAGACATGGAAGTGAGGAATTCAAGTATCTTGTGAGAAGTGCGAGAACAACAGTATCTGTAGGATGCTGTGGGAATTCACAGTCCAAAGCAGCCACCTCTGCCTGAGGTTGGCAGGGAGACCTCACAGAGGCAAAACTGAGGACGTGCTTGAGGGATGAGGAAGAGGTTTGAGGGGAAGACAGAGGGTGTTCCAGGCAGAGGGATCAGCAACTGCAAAGCTGTGGAAATGTGAGACCCTACACACTGGTTCAGGAAGCTTCAGCAGATCCTACTGAAGGTGGCTTATGCCTGTAATCCCAGCTACCTGGGAGGCTGAGGCTGGAGGACTGCTTGAGCCCAGGAGTTCAAGACCAGCCTTAACAACATAGCAAGACCACATCTCTAAAAATTCAGAAAAAAAGGCTGGGCACAGTGGCTCATGCCAGTAATCCTAGCACTTTGGGAGGCCAAGGCGGGCGGGATTGCCTGAGGTTAGGAGTTCGAGACCAGCCTGGCCAACATGGTGAAACCCCGTCTCTACTAAAAATACAAAAATTAGGTGTGCGTGGTGGCAGTCGCCTGTAATCTCAGCTACTCGGGAGGCTGAGGCGGGAGAATCGCTTGAACCCAGGAGACATAGGTTGTAGTGAGCCAAGATCACACCATTGCACTCCAGCCTGGGAGATGAGCGAAAATCTGTCTCCAAAAAATAAATAAATCAATTAATAAATAAATCAGTAAAAAAGAACCGGGCCCGGCGCGGTGGCTCACGCCTATAATCCCAGCACTTTGGGAAGCTGAGGCGGGCGCATCACTTGAGGTCAGGAGTTCGAGACCAGCCTGGTCAACATTGCGAAACCCTGTCTCTACTAAAAATACAAAAATTAGCCGGGTGTGGTAGTGCGCGCCTGTAATCCCAGCTACTCGGGAGGCTGAGGCAGGTGAATCACTTGAACACGGGAGGCGGAGGTTGCAGTGAGCCGAGATCGCGCCACTGCACTGCAGCCTGGGCGACAGAGCGAGACTCCGTCTCAAAAATAAATAAATAAATAAATAAATAAATAAATAAATAAATATAAATAAAATATAAAAAGTAGCATTGATGTTTACAATATCCCTGAGCGGCAGGCGTTTCTCCCTTTTGCAGATGCTCAGTGGCTTGGCCGGAGATACATCCAAGTGGTGGGTGTAGCCTGGGGGTTCAATCCTCCTGTGGCGCCCCAGAACCCGGTGCCTCCTCCAACGTCCGGCATCTGATGAGGATCCGACCCAGGCGGGCGGCGGCGGGATTCGCTCTTCCCCTTCGCTCCCCGCGAGAAAGCCCCGAGGGCCGCGGCGGCGCAGAGCCGGTGACAGTTGAAGCTTAGGCGGGAAGAGGGAGGCGCGAGGCGGGAAGAGGGAGTTTGGGCCTCGGCAGCCGCCGTACAAACACCGCTCTGGTCACCATGGCAACAGCGGGATGCCGCGAACGGCTTCTGGGCGGGGCCGGTCCCTCGGACGATTGGACCTAGCTTGGCGCGGAATCCGTGAATTGCCCGCGGCCCGAGGGTGCAGGTGATGGGTGCTGACCGACTGGGGAAGCCCGGAGTGTGGGGACTGAGGAGGGGAGTGGCCTGGGGCGCGCTGGAGCCTGCGAGGAAGGCGCCGCCTCGGATCCCCCGCCCCCCATTCCCCTTCCCGAATTCCACCCTCCGGCCCAGCCATGGCCTCAGTTTCCCCAAACAGGAAAGGGAAGGAGGGTGGGCACCCCGGTCTAACGGTGCCTCTCAGCCTCTGAGACCCAGAACCTTCCTTCTGCAGCTCCCGGACTGACTGGCTCTGCCCTTCCCCATGGACGTAAGTCCGGGCCCCTTCCCCTCTCTGGGCCCCCTCAGCGCCCTCTCCTAACCCCGAATGGGCCTGTCTTCCAGCACGGACTGGGGAGGGGGCTTCTACCCAACAGAGACTACAACCTGCCAGCTCAGGACGAGAGCTGTCAGGAAGAGTCCAGGAATGGACTTCCCACGGGAGGGCACATTTCTGGTATTCCTGGCAAGATAAGGAGTTGACTAAGTAATCCACGAGAAAAGGCATTTCCGGCAGAGGAAACAGTCTGGGGGTGAGAGGGAGGCTGCAGCATTTGGGGAACTGCTAGGGCTATCGTGTGTTTGGAAGAGGGGGAGGGAGAGAGGTAGGCAGGGCTAAATTGGGAATTTTGTCACTGACATAAATTTTAAGTGCCAGGCGTGGTGGCTGTCGCCTGTAATTCCAGCTACTGAGGAGACTGAGGTGGGAGGATCGTTTAAGCCCAGGAGCTCGAGGCTGCAGCGAGCCATGATCATGCCGCTGCACTCCAGCCTGGGTGACAGAGTGAGACACTGTCTCTAAAAAAATTGACCAGGTGCGGTGGCTCATGCCTGGAATCCCAGCACTTTGGGAGGCCGAGGCGGGCGGATCACCTGAGATCAGGAGTTCAAGACCAGCCTGGCCAACATGGCAAAACCCCCTCTGTACTAAAAATACAAACATTAGCTGGGCGTCGTGGCGCGCACCTGTAATCCCAGCTACTAGGGAGGCTGAAGTAGGAGAATCGCTTGAACCCGGGTGGCAGAGGTTGCATGAACCAAGCTTGCCCCACTGCTCCAGCCTGGGTGACAGTGATACTCCGTCTCAATAAGAATAATAATAATAAAATAAATAATAGAAAAAGTTTTAAGTGAGTTACTGGGAGCCATTGACGGATTGTAAGGGAGGGAGGGATACTACACAAGGACATCTGGTGTGGAAAGGGGCAAAATTGCAGGTTGGATGACAGGAGCCGGTAATGTGGGCTGAGGGATGGTAAAGGAGTGGCAAGGGAGTCAGAGACAAGAGATCTCTTTGGAGAGGCATTCCAGAAGGAAAATCAGCCCTAGAAGACTCTAGAATGCTGAAGTGCTTGATGTTGCTGAACTGGGAATGATAGGGAAAAAGGCAGGCTCAGGGCACAAGATAATGAGTCAGGGTGTAGTCCTGTTGACGCTCTCCCCACCATCTGGTGGCCGTTCCTCTCCCAGCCACCTCCTCGTCCCTCATGGTATTCCCGTGTTCCTGCAGCCCCTCTCCATCTCCTTGTCACCCCTTCCTCCTGTACTCGTCCAGGCCTCCTCTAGCCCGTGGAATCCAACCCCGGCTCCTGTCAGCAGCCCTCCCCTGCTGCTCCCCATCCCTGCCATCGTCTTCATCGCTGTGGGCATCTATTTGTTGCTGCTGGGTCTAGTCCTGCTGACTAGGAACTGCCTGCTGGTGAGGGGTCTGGTCGGGGATAAAGGGTGGGCTCTGGGGAAGAGGAATCCCGGTAACCTGTCCCTTCATCTGCAGGCTCTTACCCTGAGACACTTGACATTTAGCCCTTGCATCTATCCGTTTTGTGGTACCAGGGGGTCCCTCCTCTCCTGTCCCCAGCCAAACCTTTTCCTTTCCCCTCGGGAAAGCTGCCTTGGCTGTCACTACCTGCTGCCTATTCCACATCCTGAACCCTGTGACCTAGGCCCAGGGCTGCTGCGCGGACGGTAGCTCCCCCTGCAGGAAGCAAGGTTCCTCCGGGCCCCCAGACTGCTGCTGGACCTGTGCAGAAGCCTGCAACTTTCCTCTGCCTAGCCCGGCCCACTTCCTGGATGCTTGCTGCCCCCAGCCCACCAGAGCTGTGAGTTCCATTCCTACCCCCTGCCCCACTGAGCCCTGATCTAGGTATGATCGGTGCATTCATTTTTTTGCTCAACAACATTTATTACTGAGCACCTTCTCAAGGCCAGGCACGGTTCCAGGGCATGAATCATGTGCAGCCAGGTAAAAACAACCTATCAGATAATGCCTGGTGATGAAAGCTACTTGAAGAAAATAAAATAGGGTGCCAGCTGGAGAAAGGTGATGTGGGTAACATGTAGAGTACATAGCCAGCACTTCTAAATGAAAGTGAGCTAAATGAAAGTTAGCTAAATGAAAAAACAGCTCACACAGCTCCTTTCCGTTCACCGAATGAACTGTGTTCTAGGTATAGGGCCTCTTTACGGACCTTTGTTTTTCCCAACAACCCTGAGAACTGAGAACTAAGTTGTTTTTTTTTCTTTCCTCCCTCCAGAGCTGGGTCCTCCCGTCTCCTCCCCTCCCCTCTTCTTTTCTTTTTGTTGTTGTTTGAGACAGGGTTTCACTCTCTCGCCCAGGCTGGAGTGCAGTGGTGCGATCTAGGCTCACTGCAACCTCCACCTCCCAGGCTCAAGTGATTCTCCTGCCTCAGCCTCCTGAATAGCTGGGATTATAGGCTCACACAACTACCATATGGCTAATTTTTATATTTTTAGTAAAGACGGGGTTTCATCATGTTGGCCAGGCTGGTCTCGAACTCCTGACCTCAAATGATCCACCCGCCTTGGCTGCCCAACGTGCTGGGATTACAGGCGTGAGCCACCATGGCCCAGCCATGGTTTTTTTTTTTTTTTTTTTTTTGAGACGGAGTCTCGCTCTGTTGCCTAGGCTAGAGTACAGTGGTGTAATCTCAGCTCACTGCAATGTCCACCTCCTGGGTTCAAGCAATTCTCCTGCCTCAGCCTCCTGAGTAGTAGGAATACAGGCGTGTGCCACCACGCCCAGCTAATTTTTGTATTTTTAGTAGAGACGGGGTTTCACCATGTTGGCCAGGCTGGTCTCGAACTCCTGACCTCAGGTGATCCAGAGCTGGGTATTTTTTAAAACCTATATGTTTTTTCTGATTACAAAAAGTATTATTTACAAAGTATACATATAGAAATACATGGAAAGTACCAATCACTTTACAAACCCGCTCTCTATCCCAAAGTTGCTGTGTTTTACATGTATCTCTCATATACTAATACAGTACTATCACTGCTGTATTTTACCATTATTTGGCAAAAATGGGGTGGTATCATGTAGGTTATTTCATCATACCTGCTACTGTCCCCCTATCCCCCGCCTTTTTTGAGACACGATCTTGCTCTGTCACCCAGGCTGGAGTCTGGTGGTGCAATCATAGCTCACTGCAGCCTCTACCTCCTGGACTGAAGCAATCCTCCCACCTCAGCCTCCTGAGTAGCTGAGACTATAGGTGCATGCCACCACACCCAGCTAATGTTTATATCTTTCACACAGATGGGGTTTCATGTTGTTGCCCAGGCTGGTGTTGAACTCCTGGGCTCAAGCGATCTGCCATCCTCAGCCTCCCAAAGTGCTGGGATTACAGGAGTGAGCCACCATGCCCAGCCTCTACTTGCCCTTTTTTTTTTTTTTTTTGAGACGAGTCTTGCTCTTGTCACCCAGGCTGGAGTGCAATGGTGCAATCTCGGCTCACCGCAATCTCTGCCTACTGGGTTCAAGCTATTCTCCTGCCTCAGCCTCCCAAGTAGCTGGGATTACAGGGATGCGCCACCACACTAGGCTAATTTTGTATTTTTAGTAGAGACAGGGTTTCTCCATGTTGGTCAGGGTGGTCTCGAACTCCCGACCTCAGGTTATCTGCCTGCCTCGGCCTCCTAAAGTGCTGGAATTACAGATGTGAGCCACCGGGCTCAGCCTCTACTTGCCCTTTTTAACCTGACATCACACTTCGCCACCTATCCATGCCTGTATGTGTAGACACATAAGGGTTACTGTCCTCCTCCTGAAGTGGGGAGTAAGCTGGCTTAGGGAAGTTTAGTGGCTTCTCCAGAGTGTTACGCAGGAGAGCCTTGCATCGCAAATAGCTCCACAGCGTTAGCTGAGGTAGAATCCTCAGGGGAGAAGCCTGGCTTGGAGAAGACAACCTGTTTCTATTTGTGGGTTTAAAGATGTTAAATGTAATCGACCACCGTCCTGAGGAATGATTATTTTGAGCTCAGCGATTCAGACAGCAAAGCCCCTGCCCTTGGAGTGGTGACATTCCTTCCCTAGGATGGAAGGGGAGGATAAAAGCAAATTCATAACTTGGGCATATGGTGATTGGTGCTAATCCCTGGCATGTTTTCAGTTTTGAAGTAAATTGTGGGGCAAGGAGCGCTTTTTCAGATAATCACCTTCTGGTTTGCCAGGGGCAGTCAGCAGAGGGGTCTCAGGTTTGGGGCTGAGGGGCAGAAGGGCAAAAGGAGGAGACCTTGGGTTCTGAAAACTCCTGTCTTGGCGTGGTGGCACTCGCCTGTAATCCCAGCTACTGGAAAGGCTGAGGCAGGAGAATAGCTTGAACCCAGTAGGCAGAGATTGCGGTGAGCTGAGATCATGCCACTGCACTCCAGCCTGGGTGACAGAGTGAGACTCTGTCTCAAAAAAAAAAAACCAAAGCAAAAAAACCTCTTGCCTTAGAGGAGATGCTCCATTAGAAAATGATTTCTGGCCCCCTGTCCTGGGGATGCCGCCCCCTACCCCTTCTGTCTATTTGAAGTGAATAGCCAGGGACTCATCACCTCCTTGGGAGAGAGGATGGGTGAGGTGCATTGTAAGGATAGACTGGGCCTTCCCACCTTCCCCACAGAGGGCTGCAAGAACTTTCAAACCTGGAGACATCAGGCCCTGATCCTCTCTGGTTTCTGCTGGAGCTAGGAAGGGATTTAACAGGGTGGAGGACAGGGCAGGTTCTTTCTGTCCTTGAGCTGTCTTTCCACAAAGTATATTTAAGTCCCTCCCTCTTCAGTTTCCTTGTAATAACAGCCCAGAAGGTTACAAATGTCTTGCCACTTGGCAGCTGTAGACACTGAGGCTTACGGAGGTTGGAGTGACTTGGAGGTTATATGGCTGGATCAGCTGGAATAGAAACCCAGGTTTCTCTTCCTTACTGAGGGAGAAACATGCCTGCTCGCCTGCTCTGCTTCTTTTTTTTTTCTTTTTTCTTTTTTTTTTGAGACGGAGTCTTGTTCTGTCACCCATGCTGGAGTGCAGTGGTGCAATCTTGGCTCACTTCAACCTCCGCCTCTCGGGTTCAAGCGATTCTCCTGCCTCAGCCTCCTGAGTAGCTGGGATTACAGGTGCCCGCCACCACACCTGGCTAATTTTTTGTATTTTTAGTAGAGATGGGGTTTCGTGTTAGCCAGGATGGTCTTGATCTCCTGACCTCGTGATCCGCCCGCCTTGGCCTCCCAAAGTGCTGGGATTACAGGCGTGAGCCACCACGCCTGGCCTGCTCTGCTTCTTTCATGTGCATGTTGCAAGGTTCTCATTCATTCATTCATTCATTCATTGACTCACTCACCAAAGATTTATGGAGTTACTGTTGAGGCACTGTCTAGGGCCTTGGGGACTCAGCAGAAACAAGATGGAGAAGGTCCCCAGCCTCGCAGGGCTTCCATTCTGGTGATGGAGAGAGAGAAATAACCAGGCCATTACAACAGAGGGTGAGAAATGACGTGCTATGGAGCAGCGGTTGCTCAGCCCTGCATGCGATCAGAAGCAGGTATAGGACTTAAAAGGAAAGCCAGGCATCTAGGCCCCACACTGAGGTCTGGGCTGGGGCTAGAGTTTGTGAATCTTTTACAAGTTCTCATATGATTCTGATGCACACAGGTTAAGAACCACTGCTGAGGGAAGAAGCTATGATAAGAATAGCTCTCTTTCAGGCCGGGTGCGGTGGCTCATGCCTGTAATCCCAGCACTTTGGGAGGCCAAGGCGGGCAGATCACAAGGTCAGGAGTTCGAGACCATCCTGGCTAACACGGTAAAACCCCGTCTCTACTAAAATACAAAAAAAATTAGCCGGGCGTGGTGGCGGGCGCCTGTAGTCCCAGCTACTCGGGAGGCTGAGGCAGGAGAATGCTGTAAAACCCGGGAGGCGGACCTTGCAGTGAGCCGAGATCGTGCCACTGCACTCCAGCCTGGGAGACAGAGCAAGATTCCGTCTCAAAAAATAATAATAATAATAATAATATCTCTCTTTCTTTTTTTTTTTTTTCCCAGGCAGGGTCTCTCTTGTCACCCAGGCTGGAGTGCAGTGCTCCCTCTGTTGCCCAGGCTGGAATGCGGTGGCGTAATCTCGGCTCACTGCAACCTCCGTCCCCCAGGTTCGAGTGATTCTCCTGCCTCAGACTCCCAAGTAGCTGAGATTACAGGCACCTGCCACCATGCCCGGCTAAAGTTTGTATTTTTAGTAGAGACAGGTTTTCACCATGTTGGCCAGGCTGGTCTTGAATTCCTGACCTCAGGTGATCCACCTGCCTTGGCCTCCCAAAGTGCTGCGATTACATACAGGCGTGAGTCGCCATGCCCGGCCAAGAACAGCTCTCTTTCGTCCAGCACTCATTACTTACCAGGCATCGTGCTTAGTTCCTTCCACCGATTCCCGACAATGGCCTTATGAACTAGGTCTTATATTTTTTCATTTTATTTTATTTTATTCTTTTGAGATGGAGTCTCACTCTGTTGCCCAGGCTAGAGTGCAGTAAAACAATCTCGGCTCACTGCAATCTCCATCTCCTGGGTTTAAGCAAGTCTCCCACCTCAGCCTCCCAAGTAGCTGGGACCACAGGCGTGCGCCACCATGCCCAGCTAATTTTCGTATTTTTAATAGAGATGATGTTTCACCATGTTGGCCAGGCTAGTCTTGAACTCCTGATCTCAGATGGTGCGCCCACCTTGGCCTCCCAAAGTGCTGGGATTACAGGTGTGAGCCACCACACCTGGCCTTAGGTGTTATATTCCTATAAATGAGGAAACTGAGGCTGAAAAAATGAATTAGCCAAGCTGAGGTTCAAACCCAGGCCTTACTGACTCTAGGGCCTGAGCTTTAACCATCTATACGATGATGGCTGGCTCTCACAGAGACAACAGGAAAAATTCAAGTGAAAAACTCTCCTGAGAGCCAGGAGAGACACAAGGGTTAACAGTCTTGCGGAGTCCTTGTTTAATGTACTTAAACAGCAGATTCCTTCCAGAAGCCACATGGCTGCTTGTAACGGTTGAGAAATCCATTAGCCAGTTATTAATGACAAGATCTAAACCCTTCCAAGGGAGAGAGCCAAGAAATGCTTTTAATACCCTCTTTTCTGAGGTAATGGCAGCAGAGCCTCTCTCAGCCATGGGTTCTGTGCACAGAATGATGGTGTGGTCCTTCAAAAGCCCGCAGAAGTGATTTCATCCCCAGACTGAGACTCCCTAGAGACACCCCAAATCACACCCTCATCAAACACAAGAAAATCACTTCTCTCTCCCCCTTCCACCATGACGGTTCTAGCCTCCCCCAAGGAGGCAGTTCTGTTGACAGTAGCACAGCCCAATTCAGACCCCTGTCCCTGCAGGTGGCAGGTCCCCTCCCCTCACTGCAGCCCCTAGTGATATCTGATCTCACCAGCCATCTGACACCACACCCTGAAACCTCAGCTGTTGGAAAGGTCATTCCCCTATTCCTGGCTTGGCCAAGTTTCTGATTGAACTGTACAACTGTGACTGTCACTACCTCTGCCTCTGGCCTCAAGGAGCCAATCTTCTGTCACACAGCCATCCTGGGCCACTTCAGCCATTTGGCCTGACTCCAGCCCATGCCTAAGGCAGTTGCGGGTCATCCCTGTCCCAGGGGAGGACAGCAGTGCACTGGATAGACCAGTTCTCCCTTCTTGTCTCTAAGGACACGCTGCTCCTATTCCCCAAAGAGACAGACATTGTTTCCTCCAGGAGCTGAGAAGCCCTCTTCTTTCTTCTTTGCCTAAAGAAGGCAAATGATATGCTTAGATTCATCCATTCATTCAGCATTCATTTATATCTCAGACACCTGCTGAGCATGAGTCCAGTGCTAGCTCAGTGGAGAATATGGGATGAGCTGCCCCTGCCCTGGCAGACCCAGAGAGAGGCTGATGCTCCTGGCACTGGGAGGCAGAGGGCTCAAGAGGGATTGCAGGCAGGACTGTACATCCCAGCTCCATTCCCATCACTTGCCTCTCTGTCTATGCCTCCATTTCCTTTTTTTTTTTTTTTTTTTTTTTTTTTTTGAGGCAGAGTCTTGTTCTGTTGCCCAGGCTGGAGTGCAGTGGGTCGATCTCGGCTTACTGCAACCTCTGCCTCCCAGGCTCAAGCGATTCTCCTGCTTCAGGCTTCTGAGTAGCTAGGATTACAGGTGCACCCCACCACGCCCAGCTAATTTTTGTGTTTTTAGTAGAGAAGAGGTTTCGCCATGTTGGCCCAGCTGGTCCTGAATTCCTGACCTTAAGTGATCCGCCCACCTTGGCCTCCCAAGTTGTTGGGATTACAGGCATGAGCCACCATGTCTAACCATCCATTTTCTCTTTTGTAAAGAAGCCCATTACTCAGGATTCTGGTAATTAAAAAATATAAGGCTGGGCGCGGTGGCTCACACCTGTAATCCCAGCACTTTGGGAGGCCGAGGTGGGCGGATCACCTGAGGTCAGGAGTTCGAGACCAGCCTGACTAACATGGTGAAACCCTGTCTCTACTAAAAATACAAAAATTAGCTGGGTGTAGTGGCGGGCGCCTGTAATCCCAGCTACTCAGGAGGCTGAGACAGGAGAATCACTTGAACCCGGGAGGCAGAGGTTGCCCCAAGCTGAGATCCCACCATTGCACTCCAGCCTGGGTGACAGAGCAAGACTCCGTTTGAAAAAACAAACAAACAAATAGATCTAATTCTTTTGAAAACATTAAAATTGATTGGGCGCAGTGGCGCATGCCTGTAATCCCAGCACTTTGGGAGACCAAGGTGGGTTTAGCCCAGGAGTTTGAGACTAGCCTGGGCAACATGATGAAACCCTGTCTCTACAAAAAAATACAAAAAATGAATTAGCCAGGCGTGGTGGCACGTGCCTGTAATCCCAGCTACTTGGGAGGCTGAGGCAGGAGAATCGCTTGAACCCAGGAGGCGGAGGTTGCAGTGAGCCGAGACCGCGCCATGGCACTCCAGCCTGGCAACAGAGCGAGAC